>NW_025791769.1:0-300000 GCF_000001405.40 Homo sapiens | reverse complement strand
TAAGGTCACTAAGATTTTTCCCTCTGTTTTCTTCCAAATGTCTTATAGTTTTATTTCTTGCAATCAGGTATATATTCCATGTAAGTTAATTTTTGTATATGGTGTGTTATAAGATTTGAGGTTAATTTCTTTTTTTTTTTTACACTTGGCTATCAAATTGTGCCAGAACAATATGTTGAAAAGACTTCCATTTTCCCCATTTAATTTCCTTTACACTTTTGTCAAAAACCAGTTGACCATGTATCTATATGTGGATTTACTTCTGTACTCCATCTTGTTCCATTAGTAGGTTTCTCTAACTTTATGCCTATCCCACATTTTCTTGATTATTGTAGATTTATAATAAGTTCTGAAATCATGTAGCACAAGTTCTGAAATTTTGTTCTTGCTTTTCAAATTTGCTTTGGCTATTTTAAGAGTTTTAAATTATCTTCCAGATTTTGGGATCAGCTTGACAATGTACAGAAGTATGAATAATACTTACAGTTGGCTGGGCATGGTGGCTCATGCCTGTAATCCCAGCACTTTGGGAGGCCAAGGTGGGCAGATCACTTGAGGTCAGGAGTTAAAGACCAGCCTGGGTAACATGGTGAAACCCTGTTTCAAAAATTACTAAAAATTCAAAAATTACCCAGGTGGTGGTACACACCTGTAATCCCAGCTACTAGGGTGACTGAGGCACAAGAACTGCTTGAACCCAGGAGACAGAGGTTGCAGTGAGCCAAGATTGCACCACTGCACTCCAGCCTGGGTGACAAAGCGAGACTCTGTCTCAAAACAAAAACAAAAACAAAAAAATGCCTCCTGGAATTTAATTGGAATTGCCTCGAATCTGTAGGTTAGTTTAGGAAGAATTAGTCTCTTAAAAATATTTAGTCTTCCTATTCCTGTGTTTTGTATATCTTCATTTCTTTAGATATTTTTAAATATGTCTCAATAATGTTTTATAGTTTTCAGTGTATAAGCCTTGCACATTATTTGTCAAATTTATCCTTCATTACTTAATATTTTTGATGTTATTGGAAAAGTTGTTTTTCAGTTATTTTTATAATTGTCTATTGCTTTTATGGAAATAAAATGATTTTTTATGTGTTTATCCTACAAACCTGATAAACTCACTTATTGGTCCTAAGTTGTTTTAGAGACTCCTTGGGATTTTTTCCAAAGACTTTATGCCATCTGCCAATAAAGACAGCTTATTTTCTTCTTATCCAATAAGTTTGGAAATTTTCTTATCTTATTGCAGTGGCTGGGACTTCCAATACAATGCTAAATAAAAGCTTTGCAAACAGATGTTTTTGCCTTTTTCCTCAATTGCAGAAGAAAGGAATTAATCCTGTCACTATCAAGTATGATGTTAGGTATAAGTTTTTCATAAATCTCTTTATAAGATTGAACAAGTTTTCTTCTATTTCTAGATTTCTTGGCACTTTTATCACAAATAGACATTGAATTTGGTCAATGCCTCTTCTGTCTCTAATGAGATGATCATAGTCTATTAATATAGAAAATTCCATTGATTGATTTTCAAATGTCAAAAGAAACATATTACTGAAATAAACCTCACTTAATCATAAAATGTTAACTTATTTTTGTATTGTTAAATTTAATTTGCTAAAATTTTGTTGAGAATTTTTGTGTGTAGGCTTAGGAGGAATGTTTATAGTTTCCTATTTATGCAATATTTTGGTCTGATTTAAGTATTAAGGGCAATCCTGGCCTCATAAAATGAGTCAGAAAGTACCCCTTCTGCTACCATTTTTGAAAGAGATTGTGGAGAATTAGTATCATTTCTTCCTCCAATTCTTTGTAGAATCAACCTGAGAAACCATCTGGGCTTGGTGATTTCTTTTTTTGGAAGATTATTAATTATTTAATTTCCTTAATAAATATAGAGATATCCAGGTTATCTTTTGTGTGTGTGTGTGTGTGCACTTTAGTAGTTTGTGTCTTTCAAGGTATTTGTCTATTTCAAACAGAATGTAACATTTACTGGTATAAAGTTGCTGTATTAGTTCATTTTCATGCTGCTGATAAAGACATACCTGAAACTGTGAACAAAAAGAGGTTTCATTGGACTTACAGTTACACATGGCTGGGGAGGCCTCACAATCATAGTGGGAGGTGAAAGACACTTCTTACATGGTGGCAGCAAGAGAAAAATGAGGGAAAAGTAAAAGCGGAAACTCCTGATAAACCCATCAGATCTCGTGAGACTTATTCACTATCAGGAGAATAGCATGGGAAAGACTGGCTCCCATGATTCAATTACTTCCCACTGGGTCCGTCCCACAAGATGTGGGAATTCTGGGAAATACAATTCAAGTTGAAATTTGGATGGGGTCACAGCCAAAACATATCATTCCACACCTGGCCCCTCCCAAATCTCATGTCCTCACATTTTAAAACCAATCATGCCTTCCCAATAGTCCCCCAAAGTCCTAACTCATTTCAGCATTAACTCAAAAGTCCAGTCCATTGTCTCATCTGAAACAATACAAGTTCTTTCTGCCTACGAGCCTACAAAATCAAAAGCAAGCTAGTTACTTTCCAGATACAATGGAGGTAGAGATATTAATGTTAATCTTGGGGATTAACATTAGGCTCCTTGCTACTTATGCAAATTTCTCCAGCTGGCTTGAATTTCTCCCCAGAAAATGGTGTTTTCTTTTCTATCACATGGTCAGGTTGCAAATTTTCTGAACTTTTATGCTCTGTTTCCCTTTTAAAGCTGAATGCCTTTAACAGTACCCAAGTCACCTCTTGAATGCTTGCTGCTTAGAAATTTTTTCTGCCAGATACCCTAAATCATCTCTCTTGAGTTCAAAGTTCCACAAATCCCTAGGGCAGGGGCAAAATGCCGCCAGTCTCTTTGCTAAAACATCACAAGAGTCACCTTTGCTCCATTTCCCAGCAAGTTCCTCTTCACCTGAGACCACCTCAGCCTGGATCTTATTGTCCATATCGCTATCAACATTTTGGGCAAAGCCATTCAACAAGTCTCTAGGAAGTTCCAAACTTTCCCACATTTTCCTGTATTCTTCTGAGCCCTCCAAACTGTTGCAACCTCTGCATGTCACCCAGTTCCAAAGTTGCTTCCACATTTTCAGGTATCTTTTCAGCAACTCCCACTCTACTGGTACCAATTTACTGTATTAGTTCGTTTTCACGCTGCTGATGAAGACATACCTGAAACTTGGAACAAAAAGAGGTTTAATTGGACTTACAGTTCCACATGGCTGGGGAGGCCTCAGAATCATGGCAGGAGGCAAAAGGCACTTCTTACATGGCAGGAGAAAGAGAAAATGAGGAAGAAGCAAAAGCAGAAACCCCTGATAAACCCATCAGATCTCATGAGACTTATTCACTATCACCAGACTAGCATGGGAAAGATCAGCTCCCATGATTCAATTACCTCCCACTAGGTCCCTCCCACAAAACGTGGGAATTCTGGGAAATACGATGTGAGTTGGGATTTGGGAGGGGGCACAGCCAAACTGTATCAGTTACTCATAATATTTTTTATCATTTTAATGTATATAGAATTTATATTGATGCCCTTTCTTTTATTCTTTATTGGTCATTTCTGTATTCTTTTTCTTTTCCTAATTAGCGCGACTAGAGATATATCAATATTTTGTAATCTTCTCAAATCAGTCATTTTCTCTATGTATTTCTGTTATCTATTTCATTGACCCCTACTTTGATCTTTATCATTTGCTCTCTGAGGTTTATTTTGCTCTTTTTAAAACATTAAGGTGGGAAGGCAATTAGATCTCTGTGACTGTTATGGCCCAAAAGAAAAGTTTCTCTGCTCAAATTTGCCCTGAAATCATCTTCACTCCCACACTCTTTCCAATCATGGGGCATTTTATCAGTAATCATGCTCTAAGTTGAAAGCATTATAGATGTTGGAGTGTGGGCAGAGGCATTTTGCTTGGGTAGTGAGGGAGTTTACACAGATCTAAATGGAGAAACAGGGAGATAATTGGGAACCTTAACTTAGAGAAGGTGCAGAATAATGGTCATGTAAGCAATCCACCCCTACCTAAAGAACTACTTTATAGAATGTGTTAGACTTCTTCTGGTGGTCTTAAAGTATCACTGGATCAATGGGTACAAGCTACAGAGAGGCAAGTTTTACTCCAATCAGAATGTTCCAAATGGGAGTGATCTCTGTGGAGAGGGTGCGAGTTCCCAGTCTCCAGAAGAAGTGGATAGAACTCATATTTGAACATTTGTCAACCTTAAAATTTCCATTTCTGAAGTCAGAAAAGGTATATGTTGAGACTCCACTGTCAGCATATACCAATTGTGTGATCCTGAGCCAGTTACTTAACCTGAGTCCCAGCTTTCCCACATGTTTACTGTAAAGTAAACATGCCTACTTTACAGAATTGCAGAGATTAAATGAGATATTACATAAAAATATGGTTATCAGACTGTTTGATATATAGTATGCACTCCATAACTTTTATTTATTTATTATTAAATTAGTATCAGGATACACTGAAGTCATAATTATACAACTTTGGAACTGGGAAGAACCTTGTAGTTCATTTAGTCTAAACCTATTATTTCATGGCTGGGGAAGGTGAAGCAAAAGCAAATGGCTTCCCAAAAGCCCCATAGTTTGTCATTTGATAAAATGAGCTCTGGAGCCCAGGTATTGAGATTTATGGTCAACTGACTTTCTCCCCTCTCCACATCACATACTACATAGTGGACTCAGGAGGCAGGAAACTCAGTTCTAAATTCCAGCTTTTTTGTTGGTGAACTATGTGATTTTGGGCAAGTCCTTTCTCCTCTCCAGATCTCAGTCTCCTCATCCATAAAGGGAGACAAGCCAATATTTCCAAAGGCTTTCCTGAGTTCAGTGTCTTGTGTTTTAAAAAGGTAATTTAGGCTGATATGGAAGGAATTGGTCCATTTAAATTGCTTTTCTTGAGAAGGCACTTCCATTGCTTTGCCCACAGTGGAAAAAAAAAAAAAGAATGCTTTTGTTTCATATTTTATTTTTAAAAGTAACTCTATCATTCATTTCTAAGCTTGCTTGTTTACAGCTGCATTGAGTGAAATAGCATGCCAGGCTTAAGGCAAGCCAGCGCTTCCCGGGAATGCAGTGTAAGGCTGATACTTTGCTTTCCTTATCTCCGTTTAGGGTGCTGATAATACAGCCTGCAGCATGCCTGTCCCCATCCTTGTCATTGGCTTAGGGATTTGCAGAGACCACACTGTTCCTTCTGTTCCTGGGACCCTCGTCACCAAGTTAGAGATAATCACTCATTCCAGCTGTTCCCACTTTGATGGAAAGCTGGCTCCACTTGCCTGCCTAATGAATGCCTATGTTTACCCACAAAAGAGAAGCAATATTCTAAAAAGACATGTCAATTAACATGCTGCCTCCAAACTTTCTTTGGCTGCTATGAAAGAGATAAATCTTTCCGTTTGTCTTATAGTGTTCATTTTGCAAGTTTTTCTCTATTGTCACGTTAAGTAGATATGCAGCCTATCAGATATGTGTCCTCCCTCCAGGATGTAGTGGGCACCCACGCTGTGCCCAGTGCTCTGCCAAGACTCCGTGCCTGTCCTCAAGTAACTCAGAGAGCAGGAGTAAGGGGAAAATGAGGAATTCTTGGGCTTGCATTGGTATTTTAACGAATATAAATTAAGTGCTAAGAGAATACGGTGTAAGAGGGAGATGAACTCTGCCTGCAACTCAAGAAAGGCTGTCTGGAAATGGTGAAATTTACAACTTTAAAAGATTAGTAGAATATAAAAGAGCAAAAAGAAAAGTCTGCACCACTAGTTTCTTTAACAAATGTCATAACTGATATTAATTGAATGTCAACTTAGTGGCATGTCCTGTGCCAATGAGTTGTTGGAGGGCTTACTTTAGAGAGGGAAAAGATGAACCTTGTGGCCTAAGACAGCATCCTCCCTGAATGGAAGGCCGTTGCACACTTCATGTAGGGAAACTGAGGCAGTCTAGGAGAATTGGCCTATGTAAGGTTTTCTGGCAGTCCAGAGGAAGGAAGGAATAAAGGAGGAATATCTTGCCTTTCCAAGTGCCAGACTAGGGTTTGTTTGTTTGTTTGTTTCGAGACTGAGTCTCATTCTGTCACCCAGGCTGTAGTGAAGTGGCGTGATCTCGGCTCACTGCAACCTCTGCCTCCTGGGTTCAAGCGATACTCATGCCTCAGCCTCCTGAGTAGCTGGGATTACAGGCGCCCACCACCATGCCCGGCTAATTTTTGTATTTTTAGTAGAGATGGGGTTTCACCATGTTGGCCAGGCTGGTCTTGAACTCCTGACCTCAAGTGATCTGCCTGCTTCGGCCTCCCAAAGTGCCAGGACTATAGGCACAAGCCACCGCACCCGGCCCAGACCAGGGGTTTTCAACCTCAGCCCTGTTGACACTATCAGTAGATACTTCTTTGTCGTGGGGATTGTCCTGTGCGTTGTGGAATGTTTAGAAGCATCCCTGTGTTCTACCAACTAGATGCCAGTACAACCCCTCCCCAGTTGGAAAAACTGAAAATCTCTCCAGACATTGCTAAGTGTCCCTAAAGGGCAAAATCACCCATAGTTGAGAACCACTTTGAGATGCAGCTTGATACGCTGGAAAGATCATAAAACCAGGATCAGGGGACCAAGCCTTTCCTTTTTATAGTTTTTGACAATTCACTTCCAGTTTTGGGCCTCAGTTTCTCCACATTAAAAAGAAAGGAGTTGTACTAGACTTATTCACACATTCATTCATTCACTCAACCATTATTTTTAAGTTTCTGCTTTGTTCCAGACACTGTTCTAGGTGCTAGGGATATAGCAATGAACAAAGAAAGCAAGTCCCTGTCCTCAGATGCTTGCATTTTAATTGTGGAAGGCAGATAATAACCAAGTAGACATATACAAATGGAATACAATTTTTTTTCTTTTTTTTGAGATGGAGTGTCCCTCTGTCGCCCAAGCTGGAGTGCAATGGCACGATCTCAGCTCACTGCAACCTCCTCCTCCCCCTGAGTTCAAGCAATTCTCCTGCCTCAGCCTCCTGAGTAGCTGAGATTACAGGTGCCCGCTGCCACGCCAGGCTAATTTTTATATTTTTAGTAGAGACGGGGATTTCACCATGTTGGCCAAGCTGATCTCGAATCCCTGACTTCAAGTGATCCACCCGCCTTGGCCTCCCAAAGTGTTGGGATTACAGGCGTGAGCCACTGTGCCCAGCCACAAATGGAATACAATGTCAAGTAATGATGCATTCTGTGAAAAAAATAAAACAGGGCAATCTTACAGAAAGTGTCTGAGGGTAGAAGGTTACTATCAAAGAATTACTCTGAGATGACATTTGGACTGAAATGTAAGTGATGGAAGGAGTCATCCATGTGAAGCTCAAAGGAAAGGATAGTCCAGGCAGAGAACAGGACTTGCAAAGCCTCTGTGGTGGGAATGACCATGGCCTGTCAAGAGCGTGGTGAATAATGAGGAGAATGCTGAGAGATGAGGTCTGAGGAGTTGACAAGGGCCAGGTCCTACAGGGGCATGTAGATCTTATGTGGATTATTGGATTTTAATTCAATTGCAATGGATGTCACTGGAGTATTTTAAGCAGGTGAGTGATACAATCTAATTGTTTATTTTTATAAAGATCATTCTGGTTGCTTTGGGGATAATGGATTTTAAGGCAGCAAGAATGGGAGCAAGAAACCAAGGTATGAGAAGTTTGCAGTAGACCAGGAGAGAGATTTTGATAGCTTAGCCTAGACTTACAGTAAGGGAGATAGAATTGGATATAGTTAGAATGTCTTTTGGAGGTAGAATCCAATTAGATTTGCTGATGAATTGGATGTGAGGGCCAAGGGAAAGAGAGGTATCAAGGATGATGCCTAGGCTTTGAGGCCAAAGAATTGAGTGGATTGCTTTCCTTTTCCCATTTACTATCAGAGAAAAGCAGATTTAGGTATGAAAGGCAAGATAAGTGTAAAATAATTTCCAACGAGACTTTGGGAGGCTGAGGCAGGAGGATGACTTGAGGCCAGAGGTTAGAGAACAGCCTGAGCAACAGAGCAAAACCCCATCTTTACAAAAAAATAAAAATAAGCTGGGCATGGTGGTGCACACCTGTAGTCCCAGCTACCTGGGAGGTCAAGGCAGAAGAAATGCATTAGCCCAGGTGTTTGAGGCTGCACTGAGCTATGATAGCACCACTGCACTCCAGCCTGAGTGACAGAACACAACCCTGTCAAACAAACAAAAAAAAAATCCAACCAGAAAATTGAATTCTATAATTCAGTATTGTGTTTGTTTTGCTTTCTCCAGAGACCTCAGTCTACCCCCTCTCACTTCCACAACACACAGACACACACCACAGATGCACACACAAAAAAAGTGTAACAAAAACAAATACTTGGGACAATGTAATAGCAGGAAATTAGTGTGGTTTTAAAACTACTTCATGCAAGCAGAGATAGTCTTGTGTCTGACAAGCAATAAGGGACTTTGGAAAATCATATTAGATGAGATCTTGTCAATGGGAGGTTTTGCTATCAAGAAATCTAATGAGGCTTAAAGAAAACTGATAATTCATTAGCATTCTTGAACGTGCCCCCACTTTGCTGCGTGGTAATTATTGAGTAGCTACAGACCAGCTCAGAAATATAGTGACAAGATAGACTACTCCATCCATCAAATCCCAACAGCTATAATCATCTAATGAATGCTACACGAATCAGACAGTGGAAAATAATAATAATATCTTTGCTCCCTGCTGAGCTGTTCAGCACAATTTCCAGTCTACAGTGAATAGACTTACTGGAAAGTTTGGATCCCTCTAGGGTGCAAGGCCACAGCTGTCTAACATCTATAGGACAATGGTACTCCTCAGACCCAAGGCAGAAAGGGGATGGAAGAGGGGAGATAATCTTTCAGCTGAAGAGAAAGCAATCCTTCAGCTTCATCATAGTAGGAAAGCAAGAAATCAGGAGCAGTAATGGCTCTTATGTGAGGCTTGGGGTTTTCAGGATTCCAAAACAAGAATGGGCTTCTCTTTATGGATGGCAAAAGATAGATATTCCTAAAAGCCTTAGATCCATTCCATCTAGCACTGGATGGAGAGACTGCATTGAATGGTGCCAAGCCCAGTGTCTGGAACTCCGAAGACATAAGAGCAAGCCCTAGCTCAAACTCTTCTGACGTAACTGTAGACAAATGACTTCTATTGTCTAAAGCCTTATTTTGTATCAGTAACATGGAGATACTAAAATGTACTCTAAGTTGTCATCATGGAACTGCATATACTTTAGAAATATTCAAGTTTTAGAAAATGTAAAAGGTGTTTATGATGGCTACTTTTTAAATCAGAACAACCTTTGTAAAGAATGTACCACTGATTGACAACAAATCCTTGATACAGAAAATTCTCATGCCCATTCCCCCAATATATTTTTTTCCTTATCAGCTGTGCATCAAAGCCCAACAGTTACATCAGAAAAATATACGGATCTTGGGGTTAGAAACTACATTTCTGTGACCTTGGATAAGTCCTTATTACATACAAATATGTTACCTAGCAAGGGCAACACATTGACCTGATTGATGCCATTTTTACTTTGGCAGAGGTGAGTTTCTCAGAGCATCTAACAGGTCACCCAAAAAAGGAGGATGGAAAGAGACATCAAGTCAGAAGAATGGCACTCACATTCTCTCTCTGCTGGAGATTAACCACATGCCCTTCTATGATGATACAACTGCAGATGAGCAGAGACCTTTAAAATATGAGCTCCAGTCCCCACCTTCCTGGCCTTGTTGTGGTATAGGCATTACGGCCCTGCTCCCCTTCTTTCCTGAGTCAATCCTAGAGATCTGGCACATCCTTCAGGGGAGATCTAGAATAATTCACCTTCTTTGACATGCTATTCACTATGCCTAGGTGAACTCTTTTCCAGCATGCTCCCTCACTCAAGCTACAATCTTTACTTGCTTCTAGCTATGCTTGCCCAGTCAATATAAACACACTTTGATACCATAATTTCCTGCTGAGTCTGTAATGTTTATATATACTAGCCACTGTGACTAGGCCTCCACACTCTGGGTCTGGACATTCTCCTCCTCTTGGGTTACTAGATCCTTTTTCTCCTGCCCACCCTATTTCCCTCCAGTTGGTCCTGGGGTCCTGCTCAAACAAGCTGTTCATCTGGACTGTGTCACCATGTTGTTGCAAGTACCTGAGTCAACATCACCATTGCCTGGGTGCTCCTGATTCATGCCCCACAACTCAGGTGGAACTTTGTATTCTGGCTCTACCAGCTCATATGAGTTGAGTTCTCACATTCATCTAGACCATGCAGTTTGAACTGACAGCCACCACATTCAGTCAGCTTGCAAGTCAGGTAAACTCCCAGAGTGGCCTGATTCTGTCCCTTCCACCATCAGTTTCTCTCAAGGTCCTTGGCATGGGATCTCAAAAGAGTCTACCCATAATCTGGCTTTGAGAGAGTGATTCTGACTCTTTTGCAACTTTTTTCTGGAACTCTACTCTGAAAATTGCCATGCAAACAAATCATTCTCATTGCTTTTAAGATACGCCTCTTCTATGATGAAGATGAAATATCTTTGCTTTCTCAGCCCACATCTCCCTTTTGTAATTTTCTCATAAGCATGGGAGAATCTGAATTTGAAGGGCAATTCAATGTATTACCATTTCTGAGACATCCTGTCATCATTGCTCAATAAGTTAGTATTATATTTAAAATAGTTAATGAAATGCTAATTTGCTCTTGGTCAATCCTTTTATTGGATGGAGCTGAGCAACTTCAGCAAGTTTAACACTGCTAAATATATTCTTAAAAGTATAGATAATAACAGCATCATAGGCTGAGATTGCAAAGAACTATAGTGCCATCTGAAATAATGTCTGAGATGAACAGCACTCAAATGGGAGATTGCATTAGTCTGTTCTTGTGTTGCTATAAAGAACTACTTGAGACTGGGTAATTTATAATAAAAAGAGGTTTAATTGGCTCATGGGTCTGGAGGCTATACGAGAACCATGGCTGGGGAGGCCTCAGGAAACTTACAATCATGGCAGAAGGTGAAGGGGAAGTAGGCATGTCTTACATGGATGGAACAGGAGGAAGACAGCCAAGGGGGAGGTGCTACACTCTTCTGAAAACCAAATGTCATGAGAACTCACTCACTATCATGAGAATAGCATGGGGGAAATCCACCCCCATGATCCCATCACCTCCCAACAGACCCCTTCTCCAACATTGGAGATTATAATTCAATTGCAATTTGGGCAGGGAAACAAATCCAAACCATATCAGAGGTGTATCCAGTCAGTGTGGCAGAAAAGACTGCTTAAATCTTCTTGGGGAAGCTGGTGGTATTGCAGTTCAGATTTCAGATATTCCTCCTTTTGTGTGAAATACACTTCAAGAAAACCCATGGATCATTAAGCTTGTTGTAGTTAAAATTTTCTAATTGTTACACAGGGTTGCTATAATAGCTCAGGGCAGTATTCTATGTCTGGGTCACCACACAACTCTTGACCCTCTCTTGGCCTCAGTTCACTCATATATAAAATGAAGGTGATGGGCAATGTGATCTCTCAAGTCCTTCCCACTCTAAGATATATACATATTTTTTGGTTCATTGGCCATGGCAGCCTCAAAAATTCAGCTTAACTCCACATCAGAGTTAGCCTCTAAGTTAGATGTAGGCATGTCTTCAGATTACACCTGGTGGTAAGTTTCCCAAGTTTTAAACTCTTTATTTGCTCCTAAAAATTATTAGACTCACAATACATATAGGACACTAAGTGTTTTGCATGTTAGAGAGTTGTTGTGGAACTGAATATAATTTTCATTTAGCATCTGTTTCTTCAGGGCTCAGAGACTGATCCAGCTCACTCCTTCATAAGACAATCCTTCCAACTTGAAGACAGAGCTCCTTTCTCTCCAGAGAGAATCAGAAAGAGCAGAAGGCAAGGAAGACAAGCTCCATCCTAAACTCCAATCTGCACTGTTGGATTCATATTCTTCCAGAGCTGAAAAAGACTTGTGAAGTCCTATGATCTGTTGCACTGCCTCATTTTACAGTAAAGAAATTGAGGCTCAGAAAGAAATAAAATGGTTAGAACATTGGTGTTTAGAACACAGCTTGAATCAGACAGACCTGGGTTTGAGAACTGGCTCTGAAACTGTCTTTGCAAAAATTATATCAGTGAGAAAAATTATAACAGTAAGCTAAGCCAACTCTCCCCACCCCTTGCCTTTCCCTTAATTATTTCTGGGCTGCTGGGCTAACTTTGGAAGACATTTAGGCGACAGTGTAAATGATAATAGGCCTTGCCCAAAACTCAACTGCTTTTGTAAAGCTAATGGGAGGCCTCCATACTTGGGGGAGGAGAGGGGCCTGAGTCCTGCTAAGGCACAGACATAAATGAAGGCCAGCCATTATTCCGGAGGTTATAAGATATGTAACTTCCCCAATTATTCCTGAAAATAAAACCACTATTATAGATTGGCCTTTTGAGATATCTTTCCAGGTTTTTTTGTATGTCTGAAATCCATGGCTCCAACCCCCTCCTGTGCCCAGAAGCAAAGCAATTCAGAAGGACAACTTAGACTCCCTATGATTTTATCTCTACCCAGCCAATCAGCAGCAAGCACCTGTTACCTGGCCACCCCCACCTTTTCCCTCAAACTGCCTTTGAAAGTCGCCTAACCTATGAGCTTCTGATGAGATGATTTGAGTAGGAACTCCATCTCCCATGTGGTGTGGCTGGCCTTGTGCCTATTAAACTCTTTCTCTACCACAATGCCATGGTCTTTCTTTATGCATTGGGCAGGAAGAACCCCTCAAGCAGTTATAGCTCCATCAATTATTACCTCTATGACTGTGAAACCCCAAAATTTGAGAGAGGTCTCAGTTAATTTATAAAGTTTATTTTGCCAAGGTTGAAGATGTGCACCTGTAACACAGCCTCAGGAAGTCCTGACAACATGTGCCCAAGGTGGTCAGGGCACAGCTTGGTCTTACATATTTTAGGAAGACATGAGACATCAATCAATATATGTAAGAAGTACATTGATTCCCTCCAGAAAGATGAGGACAACCCGAAGCAGGGAGGGGGCTTCCAAGTCACAGGTAGGCAACAGGCAAATAATTGCATTATTTTGAGTTTCTGATAAGATTTCCCAAAGGAGGCAACCGGATATGCATTTATCTCAGTGAGCAGAGGGATGACTTTGAATACAAAGGGAGGCAGATTTGCCCTGAGCAGTTCCCAGCTTGACTTTTTCCATTAGCTTAGTAATTTCGTGGCCCCAAGATTTTCCTGTCACATTTCCCCTCTTTTCTTTTAAAAAATCTTTTGGAGAAAGCATTTTAGAAGGAAATTAGTTTCTGGTCTCAGGTTTCATCTGATCTCTCATGGCTAGGACAGTTTATTTCTAGATGGGTAGCTCCTGAAAGCTCATTTTTAGCAGATTGTGAAGTCTCATGTCCTATGAAGAGAAAGGAGGGGGAGGAAAGGAGAAAAACAACAACAAACAAAAGAAGGATCCTGGAAAATTGATATAGGTCACATTACTCTGAAGTCCATACATTAGTAGGCAGATATGAAAGTGGCTTATGTATGTAAATAGGTTGCTGTTATTTTCTTCTGAAGTTTAAGGTGTCTGGCTTCAGTTCACAGGGTTTTAAGAAAACACAGCTTTGTTTTCAGTGATTTCAAATTAGGACAAAAATGGGGGGAAAAGGAAAAGAAAGAAGAAAAAAATTAAAAATATTATTTTGAAAACTTGTAGCCAGGAAAAATTATAATTTAGCCCAAACTGTAGAAAATAATAAAAATTGAAAAACATTAGGAAAGACTCAAATCTAACAACAAGTGTACAATAGTTTTTGAAACATAATTTTTCTCTCTCCAGTTTTCCATTTTTACTAAAGACAAATCATGGTAGGACTGATTTGCTTTATTATATTTGGTCAGATTATTTGTATAAAGTGCAGCAAGAATAATTATTTTTCACATATGTTTTTAAAATTTGGCTTTGATGGAAGTTTTTACTATAGAAGGAATCTCAGATAAGACTTTTAAAGCTGAACCCAACCATGGACTTGTACCATCAAATACCTATGAGTTGGGTGAATTTCCCCTCCTCTTGAGGTTCCAAGATAAATTTGGGGCTCCTGGGCCTTTCTGAAAATGACATTCTTTACTTACCATAGGTCAGAAACCCTGTAGAGGGACTGTGTAAACTATGAGGCCAGTTTTCCCAAGGACTTTTTTGGTTCCATGAGTCAAGTTTGATTCCTTAAAGGACAACACACCATTCCAGTCAAAGCCTTGGTAAAATAACAAATTTCTCCAATTGTGTCCTGTTACAAATGAAAACAAATTCTTGTTGCACTTATGCAAATAACTGGATTGCCATAAATTAAGAATACTCACAAATAGTTTCCAAATTCTGGAGAAATCAGGTAGAGAGAAACAAATGTGCTCCAAATTTTGTTCATAAGAGTATACTAAATTGCCAAAACTGTCAATAGCTCAGAAGAAAAATTTCAAGACTCTGAAAAACAAAACAAATGATCAGCAACATTTTAAGCAAAAAGTCAAAAAGATTAGTTCAGTCCATGCAGTTAATTCCTGTTCTGGTTGATATTCATGAACATTTTAGCACTCTATGCATGAGTCCTGAAAGTTTTTCCTTTATTCTGATGTCACAGTCTCCAAAGTTATCAGAAACCTGCATTCGAGAGCACCTGTTATAGTTTTATAGATGATTATAAAACCACCTTCCAAAGAGGACCAAAACAACACAACCATTGTCCAAGGATGACAAAAAGTTTTAGGGAACCCATAGTCAAAGACAAAATTGACAAGGAAATTTGTTACCTCTGTGGCAGACAATAATTTTAACAATTATCATTATTACTGGTAAAGTCATATCAGAATTACAGGAGTGTCCCAAAATTTTAGAATACATATCAACAACGTATTTATACAAATTAACAAAGAAAACCAAACACCATTTTATATTTGATAATGCTTCCTATATAATTTTTGTACTACTAAATGTCAAAATTATGTCATTTTTGGACTTTAGGGAAACTAATATCTTAGAGGATTAATTAAGTCAGAAAAAGACATAATTTATAATTTGATTTTGAAAAGTTTGTCAAATATCAAAGGTTTAAAACACTTGATATCACAAAATAGGATCACAAGTCATTGTAAAATAAGTCATTCTTTTAACCAAAGTAATAACTCAAAGATTTCAAAAACAGGCAAAACCTTTATTCTTTTAGAGAGGAGATTTAATTTCCCAAACAATAAGCCCTAATAAAAACAGTATGAAGCCAATTAAATTTGTTTTTCAAAATGTATAAACAATCTATAACATTTAAATCTTTACCATAAGATATAACTTCCAGAAGCCTTTTATAACCTTTATAACCATTATTAAGGAATCAGTTAATGCCTCAAGAAAACCTTGTTAATCTGACACAGGGGCCCATATGCTGGTCTTGCATCAGTGTGCCTTTGACATTAATGATTAATTTATAGAGAAACTGAACTTATTTTTATCTTTTAAAGTTGGCCCTTACAATCTCACATGCCCACCTCTACTGAAATAGTCCCTGGGCCTTGAAGAGCTGAATAGATTTAATTTCTGGCCCTGGGTCTCAGTAATGCAGTTAATTTTATGTGCCATCTATTACAGGGCTGTCAGTGTTTAAGATTTAGCCGGACTTGGTGGCCGTTTTAGATCCAGGAGTCAAAGTCCTGTAACTCAATGTCACAAGGACTTTAAAAGCACATACAGGAAGATACATGAATATAATAAACTTAATTTTTTAAAAAAATTAAATTTCAGTTTTTTCCTGGGAAGCAAAACAAAGTTAATAATAATGGCATACTAATTATTTTGATAAAACATAAAATCCATTACACAAGTTACCAAAAGGCAAAAGAAAATATCTTCCACAGTGCACAGAATATTATGTTGGAAGAAAACATTTCCCTTAGACCTTTAAGAAAATGTACCTTTTAAAAGGGGAGAGAAACAGCAAGATGCAACAAAAGTTAAACTTTGGGTTAAAAAAAGAATTAAAATCTCTTATAATTTATTAAGAGTGAATCAACCTCTTAAGAAAATGTCATTGTTCTAATCAATAACTTAGTGTATAAGTGGTTTTTTTTGCATCAAGCCAAATCTCTAGAAAGAGCATTATAATTTCCCTTTAATTATAAACAACTTGATCATATAAAAGTTTTGGGTTTTTTAAAAATTTTATTTAAGAAATACTTATTGTGACTTACACATACCATTCATGACATGCTTGGACTTTCTGGTTTGTCCTGAACATCTCTATTTCTTAAACAACCAGACATTTTATTTTAGGTCTAAATTTGCCATACAAGATTATTTCTCATATAAAATTATTTCTCTTTCTTTTTTTGAGATGGAGTCTTGCTCTGTCACCAGGCTGGAGTGCAATGGCACAATCTCGGCTCACTGCAACCTCCACCTCCCAGGTTCAAGCGATTCCCCTGCCTCTGCCTCCCAAGTAGCTTGGACTACAGGCGCGTGCCACCACACCTGCCTAATTTTTTGTGTTTTAGTAGAAACAAGGTTTCACCATGTTGGCCAGGATGGTCTCGATCTCCTACCTTGTGATCCACCCACCTCAGCCTCCCAAAGTGCTGGGATTACAGGCGTGAGTCACTGCACCTGGCCAAAATTATTTCTCTTTAAGCTTTCTTACCACAAAAAAAAACCCTCTTTTTTTTTTATAACTTTCTTTACGTCCCTCTTATTTCCTGGTTCCTTTACCTTGTTTTATACATAACCTTTAAATAAGCTTTGAATTAGACAAACTTGTTCGCCTTTTCTTAAAAAGGACAGAGGACACACTATTTTTTTTAGCAAGAATGTTTTCCAACAACATATATTTATTGGAAAATACCCAAATAATGAAATATCTATTATTTAATTTAATATAACTTTATATTCTAAATTATGAAAAGTTAGTCTACAAGTGTTTATCCCATTACGTTTACCTAATTGTTATTTTAATTGTTTACCTAGATTATTTATGAAAACTACGATAGTCATAATTTAAAGTTATGAAACTGCCATTGCAAAATTATAACTGAGGCAGTGAAAAAGATTTGGCCTAGCTGAATCTGTCTTGCTTTTAACCTCCAAGCTGTCCTTGTTCATTCCTGGGCATAGGCCAAACTAAATTTAGGAGGAACTTAGTTTATAGTTTAGCTTTGAAACAAAGATGGTAACAGTTGTTTCCCAAAACAAACCTCCTTACTGCCTGTGGACTAGACTGTCTAAAGCCATGGGATGAGAAGTTATGGTAATCTTACTAAATTTAAGATGCAGCTATTTTCATTAAACCTGTATCAGTGTCTTATTTCTTAAAAATTACATAAGCAAAAATCATTCTGTTTGGGGTTGGGTTTATAGTTTTGTTACCCCATGCCACATTTTGACACCTTGTAGTATTTGGAAGGGATAAGTATGAAATTGCTTGATCAATAAATGCAAACAAAAATGTATGCTGGCAATTCTTAAGACATTTCTAACATTACCAATAATTTTAAAGCTAGCTTATTTATTAAAGATTTTACTTAAGTTACATAAACTTGAAAAAGCATTTAACTAGTCTTTTCTTTTTTTCCTGATAAACCATTCAAGTCAAGTGCTTTTATTTTCTTAAGCCAATTAATTAGAACTCTTTCTATATTTTCAGTAGTGACGCATGTATACAACACATAAATACATAGATGTATTAGACATGCCAATAGAAGCGTATCTTACAGATTTCTAAGACTTCCTTTTTTTTCCTATCTTAGACTTGCAAACCCTTGATAACCTGTTTCCTTACTCTGGCAGTTGTCAGCTAAATAGCGCTAAATCTGTATATTGAAGGAAGTAACTCTTAGATGAAAAATCAGATGGCAAAATTTCCATCTCAAGATTCACAGAGAAAAAGTCTGGTGGTGCTAGAAGAAGACTAAGATTGATGCCAAATCAAATATAAAATTATAGAAATTTTTCAAAGAATTGTATAAGGAGACCAATCTTATTTTGGTAGAAACTACCTTTAAAAAAAAAAAACAAAACTGGGTCTCTGAGCTGTGGGCAGAGCCCACACTGAATCCTGGGTCTCCAAAAAGGGAGAATAATTATGAGGCTAGACCATGTGATGTTTTTACAGTGCATTTAAAAAGTTTTTCTTTAAACAAAGACATTTCTAAGTGTCTAAACTACACTCTGTCAGCCCTCTGAGCCCAAGCTAAGCCATATCCCCTGTGACCTGCATGTACACATCCAGATGGGCAGTTACTGCCTTAACTGCTGACATTCTACCACAAAAGAAGTGAAAATGGCCTGTTCCTGCCTTAACTGATGACACTGTCTTGTGAAATTCCTTCTCCTGGCTCATCCTGGCTCAAAAGCTCCCCCACTGAGTACCTTGTGACCCCCACTCTGCCCGCCAGAGAACAACCCCCCCTTTGACTATAATTTTCCTTTACCTACCCAAATCTTATAAAATGGCCCCACCCCTGTCTCCCTTCACTGACTCTTTTCGGACTCAGCCCACCTGCACCCAGGTGAAATAAACAGCTTTACTGCTCACACAAAGCCTGTTTGGTGGTCTCTTCACACAGACGTGCATGAAATTTGGTGCCATGACTCGGATCGGGGGACCTCCCTTGGGAGATCAATCCCCTGTCCTCCTGCTCTTTGCTCCATGAGAAAGATCCACCTATGACCTCAGGTCCTCAGACCAACCAGCCCAAGAAACATCTCATCAATTTCAAATCTGGTAAGCGGCCTCTTTTTACTCTCTTCTCCAACCTCTCTCACTGTCCCTCAACCACTTTCTCCTTTCCACTCTTCAATCTCTCCCTTCTTTTAATTTCAATTCCTTTCATTTTCTGGTAGAGACAAAGGAGACACGTTTTATCCGTGGACCCAAAACCCCAGCGCCGGTCACGGACTAGGGAAGGCAGCCTTCCCTTGGTGTTTAATCATTGCAGGGACACTGCTCTGATTATTCACCCAGGTTTCAGAGGTGTCAGACCACGCAGGGATGCCTGCCTTGGTCCTTCACCCTTAGCGGCAAGTCCTGCTTTTCTGGGGTAGGGGCAAGTACCCCAACCCCTTCTCTCCATGTCTGTACCCCTTCTCTGCCTTTCTGGGGGACAAGAAACCCCCAACCCCTTCTCCTTCACTTTTAGTGGCAAGTCCCACTTTTCTAGAGGAGGGGCAAGTACCCCAACCTCGTATCTCTGTGCCCCAATCCCTTATTTCCATGCCCCAACCTCTTACATCTTTGTACCCCAATCCCTTATTTCTGTGCACTGACCTCTTATCTCTGTGCCCCAATCCCTTATTTCCATGCCCTGACCTTGTATCTCTGTGTCCCAACCCCTTTCCCACTTTTCTGGAGGGTAAGAACCCCCAAACCCCTTCCCTCCATGTCTCTCTCTTTTCTCTGGGCTTGCCTCCTTCACTATGGGCAAACTTCCACCCTCCATTCCTCCTTCTTCTCCCTTAGCTTGTGTTCTTAAGAACTTAAAACCTCTTCAACTCTCACCTGACCTAAAATCTAAGCATCTTATTTTCTTCTGCAATGCCGCTTGACCCCAATACAAACTTGACAGTAGTTCCAAATAGCCAGAAAATGGCACTTTCAATTTTTCCATCCTACAAGATCTAAATAATTCTTGTCATAAAATGGGCAAATGATCTGAGGTGCCTGATGTCCAGGTGTTCTTTTACACATCAGTCCCTCTCTAGTCTCTGTTCCCAATGCAATTCCTACCAAATCCTCCTTCTTTCCCTCCCACCTGTCCCCTTAGTCCCAACCCCAAGCGTCGCTGAGTCTTTCCAGTCTTCCTTTTCTACAGACCCATCTGATCTTTCCCCTCCTCCTCAGGCTGCTTGTCACCAGGCCAAGCTAAGTCCCAATTCTTCCTCAGCCCCTGTTCCTCCACCCTATAATCCTTTTATCACCTCCCCTCCTCACACCCCGTCCGGCTTACAGTTTCGTTCCGTGACTAGCCCTCACCTGCCCAGCAATTTACTCTTAAAAAGGTGGCTGAAGCTAAAGGCATAGTCAAGGTTAATGCTCCTTTTTCTTTATCAGACCTCTCCCAAATCAGTGAGCGTTTAGGCTCTTTCATCAAATATGAAAAACCCAGCCCAGTTCATGACTCATTTGGCAGCAACCCTGAGATACTTTACAGCCCTAGACCCTGAAAGGTCAAAAGGCCATCTTATTCTCAAAATACATTTTATTACCCAATCTGCTCCCGACATTAAATAAAACTCCAAAAATTAAATTCCAGCCCTCAAACCCCACAACAGGATTTAATTAACCTCGCCTTCAAGGTGTACAATAATAGAAAAGAGTTGCAATTCCTTGCCTCCACTGTGAGACAAACCCCAGCCACACCTCCAGCACACAAGAACTTCCAAACGCCTGAACCGCAGTGGCCAGGCGTTCCTCCAGAACCTCCTCCCCCAGGAGCTTGCTACAAGTGCCAGAAATCTGGCCACCAGGCCAAGGAATGCCTGCAGCCCAGGATTCCTCCTAAGCTGTGTCCCATCTGTGCCGGACCCCACTGGAAATCAGACTGTTCAACTCACCTGGCAGCCACTCCCAGAGCTCCTGGAACTCTGGCCCAAGGCTCTCTGACTGCTTCCCAGATCTTCTTGGCTTAGCAGCTGAAGACTGACGCTGCCCAATCACCTCGGAAGCCCCCTAGACCATCACGGACGCTGAGCTTCAGGTAACTCTCACAGTGGAGGGTAAGTCTGTCCCCTTCTTAATCAATACCAAGGCTACTCACTCCACATTACCTTATTTTCAAGGGCCTGTTTCCTTTGCCTCCATAACTGTTGTGGGTATTGACAGACAGGCTTCTAAACTTCTTAAAACTCCCCAACTCTGGTGCCAATTTAGACAATACTCTTTTAAGCACTCCTTTTAGTTATCCCCACCTGCCCAGTTCCCTTATTAGGCCGAGACACTTCAACTAAATTATCTGCTTCCCTGACTATTCCTGGATTACAGCTACATCTCATTGCTGCCCTTCTTCCCAATCCAAAGCCTCCTTTGCATCCTCCTCTTGTATTCCCCCACCTTAACCCACAAGTATAAGATACGTCTACTCCCTCCTTGGCGACCGATCATGCACCCCTTACCATCTCATTAAAACCTAATCACCCTTACTCTGCTCAATGCCAATATCCCATCCCACAGCATGCTTTGAAAGGATTAAAGCCTGTTATCACTTGCCTGCTACAGCATGGCCTTTTAAAGCCTGTAAACTCTCCTTACAATTCCCCCATTTTACCTGTCCAAAAACCGGACAAGTCTTACAGATTAGTTCAGGATCTGAGCCTTATCAACCAAATTGTTTTGCCTATCCATCCTGTGGTGCCCAACCCGTACACTCTTTTGTCCTCAATACCTTCCTCCACAACTCACTATTCCGTGCTTGATCTTAAAGATGCTTTTTTCACTATTCCCCTGCACCCCTCATACCAGCCTCTCTTTGCTTTCACTTGGACTGACCCTGACACCCATTAGGCTCAGCAAGTCACCCGGGCTGTACTGCCGCAAGGCTTCACAGACAGCCCCCATTACTTCAGTCAAGCCCAAATTTCATCCTCATCTGTTACCTATCTCGGCATAATTCTCATAAAAACACACGTGCTTTCCCTGCTGATCATGTCCGATTAATCTCCCAAACCTCAATCCCTTACAAAACAACAACTCCTTTCCTTCCTAGGCATGGTTAGCGTGGTCAGAATTCTTACACAAGAGCCAGGACCACACCCTGTAGCCTTTCTGTCCAAACAACTTGACCTTACTGTTTTAGCCTAGCCCTCATGTCTCCATGCAGCTGCCGCTGCTGCCCTAATACTTTTAGAGGTCCTCAAAATCACAAACGATGCTCAACTTACTCTCTACATTTCTCATAACTTCCAAAATCTATTTTCTTCCTCATACCTGACGCATATACTTTCTGCTCCCTGGCTCCTTCAGCTGTACTCACTCTTTGTTAAGTCCCACAATTACCATTGTTCCTGGCCCAGACTTCAATCCGGCCTCCCACATTATTCCTGATACCACACCTGACCCCCATGACTGTATCTCTCTGATCCACCTGACATTCACCCCATTTCCCCATATTTCCTTCTTTCCTGTTCCTCACCCTGATCACGCTTGATTTATTGATGGCAGTTCCACCAGGCCTAATCGCCACACACCAGCAAAGGCAGGCTATGCTATGGTACAAGCCACTAGCCCGCCTCTTAGAACCTCTCATTTCCTTTCCATCGTGGAAATCTATCCTCAAGGAAATAACTTCTCAGTGTTCCATCTGCTATTCTACTACTCCTCAGGGATTATTCAAGCCCCCTCCCTTCCCTACACATCAAGCTCGAGGTTTTGCCCCCACCCAGGACTGGCAAATTAGCTTTACTCAACATGCCCTGAGTCAAATAACTAAAATACCTCTTAGTCTAGGTAGACACTTTCACTGGATAGGTAGAGGCCTTTCCTACAGGGTCTGAGAAGTCCACTGCAGTCATTTCTTCCCTTCTGTCAGACATGATTCCTCAGTTTAGCCTTCTCACCTCTATACAGTCTGATAACAGACCAGACTTTATTAGTCAAATCAGCCAAGCAGTTTTTCAGGCTCTTAGTATTCAGTGAAACTTTTATATCCCTTACGGTCCTCCATCTTCAGGAAAAGTAGAATGGACTAAAGGTCTTTTAAAAACACACCTCACCAAGCTCAGCCACCAACTTAAAAAGGACTGGACAATACTTTTACCACTTTCCCTTCTCAGAAGTCAGACCTGTCGTCAGAATGCTACAAGGTACAGCCCATTTGAGCTCCTGTATAGACGCTCCTTTTTATTAGGCCCCAGTCTCATTCCAGACACCAGACCAACTTAGACTGTGCCCCCAAAAAAACTTGTCATCCCTACTATCTTCTGTCTAGTCATACTCCTATTCACCGTTCTCAACTACTCATACATGCCCTGCTCTTGTTTACACTGCCTGTTTACACTGTTTCTCCAAGCCATCACAGCTGATATCACCTGGTGCTATCCTCAAACTACCACTCTTAACTCTTGAAGTAAATAAATAATCTTTGCTGGCAGGACTATGCTGAATCTCCTCAGGCACTCTCTAATCAGATGTCCCGAGTCGTCCCAATATTTAGACCTTTTATACCTGTTTTTCTCCTTATTCCATTTAGTTTTCAATTCATACAAAACTGTATCCAGGCCATCACCAATAATTCTAAATGACAAATGTTTCTTCTAACAACCCCACAATATCACCTCTTACCACAAAATCTTCCTTCAGCTTAATCTCTCCCATTCTAAGTTCCCACGCCGCCCCAATCCCGCTCGAAGCAGCCCTGAGAAACATCACCCATTATCTCTCCATACCACCCCCCAAAATTTTCGCCACCTCAACACTTTACCACTATTTCATTTTATTTTTCTTATTAATATAAGAAGACAGGAATGTCAGGCCTCTGAGCCCAAGCTAAGCCATCATATCCCCTGTGACCTGCAGGTACACATCCAGATGGCCGGTTCCTGCCTTAACTGCTGACATTCCACCACAAAAGAAGTGAAAATGGCCTGTTCCTGCCTTAACTGATGACATTGTCTTGTGAAATTCCTTCTCCTGGCTCATCCTGGCTCAAAAGCTCCCCCACTGAGTACCTTGTGACCCCCACTCTGCCCACCAGAGAACAATCCCCTTTCGACTGTAATTTTCCTTTACCTACTGAAATCCTATAAAATAGCCCCACCCCTATCTCCCTTCGCTGACTCTCTTTTCGGGCTCAGCCCGCCTGCACCCAGGTGAAATAAACAGCTTTATTGCTCACACAAAGCCTGTTTGGTGGTCTCTTCACACCGACGCGCATGAAACACTCTTCCTTAAATTATTTCTCTTTAATTTAGAGAAAAAAAAAAGCTGGGTTTGACTATATGGTAGGCATGTGTTTGGTGGGTCATTACATTTTGTCATATAAATAAAGGCTTACAAACACAAAAGTAGCCTCTGTTGCAATAACTGTTTTAGTCAAAAAATCAGGTGAAAACCAAATTCAGTCAACAGAGAAGAAAAAGAAACTTTTGCTCAAAATAAGACAAGGTCCTAAGAGAGAAAAACAAACAAAAACATGAAGACATGAAGGCCTTTTAAATACAAACATGCACATACACACACAAACACACACACATCTTGGATGTTAACCTTTTAATAAAGGTGACTTTTAACCATTGAGCTCCTTTAAAATATACTTTTAAACCTTTAAATGCTTTACTCCTAAGTTTCTCATTTGTAAAATGGTGATATTGAAACTGGCTTTGCAAAAATTATATCAGTTAGAAAATTATAACAATAAGATGAAATGTCACCCCCCACCTTCTTGCCATTCCCTTAATTATTCCTGGGCTGTTGGGCTGAGCTAACTTTGGAAGACATGTAGGCTATCGTTTAAATGATAATAGGCCTTGCCGCAAAACTCAACCACTTTTATAAAGCTAATGCGAGGCCATCAGGCTGTGGGGCGGAGAGGAACCTGAGTCCTGTAAAGGTGCAGGCATAATTGACATAAGATTGTTAGCCATTATTCCAGAGGTTATAAAATATGCAAATTCCCCAATTACTCCTGCAAATAACACCCCTATTGTAGATTGGACTATTGAGATATCTTTTGAGGTTTTTGCACGTCTGATACCCATTGTTACTGGGAAGGAGTCCCGATCCAGACCCCAAGACAGGGTTCTTAGACCTCATGTAAGAAAGAGTTTGGAGTGAGTCCATAGAGTAAAGTGAAAGCAAGTTTATTAAGAAAGTAAAGGAATAAAGAATGGCCACTCCATAGGCAGAGCAGTGGCATGTACTGCTCAACTGAATATACTTCTAGTTACTTCTTGATTACATGCTAAACAAGGTGTGGATTATTCATGAATTTCCTGGTAAAGAAGTGGGCAATTCCTGGAACTGAGGGTTCCTCTCCTTTTTAGTCTATACAGGGTAACTTCCTGATGTTGCCATGGCATTTATAAACTGTCGTGGTGCTGGTGGGAGTGTCCTTTAGCATGCTAATGTATTGTAATTAGCATATAATGAGCAATGAGGACCAATGGTCACTTTCAACACCATCTTGGTTTAAAAGGGTTTTGGCTGGCTCCTTTGCCGCATCCTCTTTTATGAGGAAGGCCTTCGTGACTGTATCTTGTGCCGACCTCCTATCTCATCCTCTGACTAAGAATGCCTAACCTCCTGAGACAGCAGATCAGTAGGTCTCAGTCTTATTTTACCCAGCTCCTATTCAAGATGGAGTCACTTTGGTTTGAACACTCTGATACCATGGCTCCACCTGGACCCGATGGCTCCACTTGAACTGCCAACCCAGCTCCTGTGGCCCACCCAGAAGTGATTCAGTCTTCAGGAGGACATCTTTGAGCCCCATGATTTTATCTCCACTCCAACCAATCAGCAGCAAGCAGCTGTTACCTAGCCACCCCTACCCCTTCCCTCAAACTGCCTTTGAAGATCCTCTAACCTAGGAGCTTCTGGCAAGATAATTTAAGTAGGAACTCCATCTCCCATGTGGCGTGGCATGCCTCGTGTCTATTAAACTCTTTCTCTACTATAATACTGTGGTCTTTCTTTATGCAATGGGCAGGAAGAACCCCTTGGGTGGTTACAATAATAACTACCAATTTAAAAGAGTTTTGTAAGGATGGATAAGAAAGTGAAAATAAAAATATAATAGAGTGCCTAGCATATCTAAAAACACTAAAATAAAGATTAAATGTATTTATCAGATGCCTTAGGACGAAACCTCTGCCTCTTGCTCCCTTTGATTACATGATGGAGCCCTCTGTTTTATGGATGCAGAAGAAAAAGCTAAGAGAAAATGCCAGTGTCTTGAGTGTCAGAAATGGTTGATTTTCTTGAGATCAAACACCTAAAAAAATAAAGTGAGGCCAATGGCTAGAATTTGATATAAATAAACAGTCCAAGCATGAAGACTGCTGATGAATTGCTTGTAATTGCAGAAGTTGCTGGAGGAGACATCAGGGTGATCTTCTAGAAACAGTTGCAGAGGACATGAGAGGGTTGTGATAAATGGACCATAGGATATGCAGGGTATGGAGACAGATGGCAGTCCTGGCATGTGACTTGGGGAAGGAGAGTGGTAAGGCAGGTGTCTGAAATGGGCAGACAATGGTGGCGACATCAGTCAGCAAGTCCCGGGACCTCAGATATACAGTTGGAGAAAGGGTTGGAGAGAGACGACAGAGCTTTAGTCCTAAGGAGTTTGAGACCTCAAAGCTTGTTTATACATTCCAGTGGGAAAATGTCCAGTTATCATTGACTGGAAAGAGGCCCCCTTCCACAGAGAAGGGCAGCCTTCATGTCCAAGCACTGGAGGAACCCACTTGAGGCAATGAGGAAGGAAGGAGCCACCTACTTAAGTAGTCTGAAGAGTGCAATAAGCCCTGGTCCTAGATGAAGACTCAGATGTTTCAGCCAGATCCCCTTCTTGTTCATCCCAAACAGAGAGAGATCAGTGTACTTTCCAGAGAGTCTGAGCAGGACCCAAGGCAGAGGCTGTAATTTCTGGACCAATTATATGAGATGGGGCTTGATCAGAAGAGTTGGGCAGGAGGAACCCATTTAGAGAGCATGGATCTACACAGGATGAGCCGTCAGGCTGTCTTGATGCCAAGTGTCCTGCACTGCTGGCATAAGAAGCCATAAATCCCCCTTACAGTGATAAGAGTTGGTCTCTGGGTCAGATATGGGACAAGGTCAGCAGGAAGCTAGTGAGAATAGAGTGTGAGGGACCAAGAAGAGTAAGTACCAGGATCAGAAAAGTGCAGGGACCCAGGCAGTCAGTACAACTGTTCAAACTCGGCTTCTTTACAGTACTTTGTCTATATCCCAACTGCAATAATCATTATAATCTACCATGACTATTTGTCTGACTTTCTGGACTATGAAATACTTAAGGCAGAGATTTTGAAAGGCGGTGGTTAATAGTATCCACTCTGGAGCTATACAGCATAGATTCAAATTCCAGCTCTAAATGTCACTAGCTGTGTGATCTCAAACAAGTTTCTTAACTTTTCTGTATCTTAGTTTTTTCATCTGTGAAATGAAGATAATAATATGCCTCTTATTATTGGAGTGAAGATTAAGTTATGTATTAATAATAAAGCAATTAAACCAGTGCATAGCATGTAGTAAGTGTTGTGTAAGTATTTGCAAAATAAATGAAAGTTTACCCCCGTATTCAGCTTTTGACATGGTGTTGATTTTCAGTGCTTGATAAGTAATTGTTAGAGTGAAAAATTAAATGATAAGGCTGGGTATATTTGCTGAGTGATAGTTGGAAACCTAAGTCCTGGCCCACACTCTGTGACTTCACCTTGCCCCAAGACACTGGCAACTAAGGGACTGAATTGGGTGGATGACCCCAGTGCTCAGTCATGGAGGTAGCAGAGCTGTCACCATGAATTCAGTGGACACACACGTTTCAGCCTGTGCATCCCTGTGAAAAATCTATCCCATCAGGCTGCCACAGGAGACAATGGCTGCTGGTCCCCCAGCTCCCACCCCACTGGCCTTCTTTTCTCAATTGGATTCTGAACATGGGTGCAGGCAGAATTACAAGGGCTCTGCGAGGAGAATATCTGCAGTGCACAGTCTCTTGAGCACATAATGGGTTCATAATGAAAGAGCATAAATCTGGAAGATGAGGGAGATGGATGTCATTAAAGGCTAAAGCACAAAGCAAAAGGATGAATCCCACCACTACTCAGACAAGTCTTCACCTCACTTCAAAGGACTTTGTCATCTGAGCCTTCTGCCCCACTAGGGTTCCCTCTCCATGCCACTCCACTTTCCAGTCCTTACTTTTCCCATTTTCCCCAACATCTACCACCCACAAGATCTGCCACCCACCTGCAGAACTGGGCATGCGTCACTAATTTGACTTAGTTCCAGAACACAGAGCCTCAGCTCCTGCTACCCCATGTCTAATGGGGAAAGTGACACCTCATGGGACTCCAGTGAGAATGAAAGGTACTGCATGTGAGAAAGTTTTTTTAAAAGTGTTCAGTGTTGTGCAAATTCAGCACAACCATTGAAAATTGTATTATTTATATAGCCATAGCCAATGGTTCACTTTTTTCCCCCTAAATTAACACTCCTTCCCTACCATGGATTATTTCAGTTTGTATAAAACTAAATACATGGTTTGTATAAAACTGATAAAGTTCAGTTGTGTTTTGAATCAGAGTAGGTACAGCTATATATTACGTGAGTCAACATAAAGCATTTTTAATGGCGTCTTATACTGGCGAACACTATGTAAGGGAAGGCTAATATTCATGCAAAAATGACATGAACTAGAGGCTCCCAAACAGGACTCTAGATCTGATTCTGCGTTTCTGTTTATCTTTAAAAAAATGCTGATATGTGTACTTACCCTGCCTACTTTGTACATGGAGTAGTGTTCAGGAATAAATTAGCAATGTAGGTGGGTAAAATTCCTTTATTAACTATACTATAAACATTGTAAAGATAATACATGTATCTATGTTCATATGCCCCTCTTTTTTCAAATATTTCCATTTTTGCTCCCCTTTTCTTTGTTTTTGTTTTTTCTTTCTTTCTTTTTGACAACTGGAACACAAAATATCAATCAGAGTGATTAACCAAGTTTAAGACATTTAAAATTTACTATATAATAGCCAGGACTTGAAAACAGTACAGATATTCTCTCTCTCTCCATCTCTCTCTCTCTTACACACACACACTTTTGAAACACTGATGCTTACTATCCACAAGGAGTCAAATACTTAGCCTGAATGAGAGCAAAACAATAAAATCTTTCCCCTGCAGTGTTAATTTTGACCTACAATGTAATTGAACTTTGCCAGCTGAGTGGGGAATAGGAGTAAGCCCTTGATAGGATTAGAAAGCTTATCTAAGAATTTTTGCTTAATAACCTGATTGTTGAAATCTGTATTGCTTTTTCAAACACTGCACCTCCTGTGACCTTTCGCCACCCACCAGAATGGCTTCCTGGAGCTTCTCTATTCAGAGTGGTGTCAGATTGTATTCAGTACAGAAGTTGAGTTCTACCATGTTTTATTTTTCTAAGAGAAATGAATATTAAGGTTTAAGGATTCGAGGTTAGATGATAAAAGTGTGACTATGATCATAGGGATACTGGCATGACTCAAGTCTTAATGTACAACGTGATATTGGACTGGACAACAGAACACCCAGATCTCATCCAAGTATAATTGTTACTTAGCTGTGTGAGCTTGCGTAAGTCATGCACACTCTCTGAGCCTCAGTTTCATGAGTATCTGCAAAATAGAAACAACAGATAGTGTCAGCCCCACCTATTTCAGATTTGCTATGAGTGCCATATGAGATCCTATCCTTTGTTAACCAGACCCTGGAAACAAATCCAGAAGTTTATGAAGACACCCACACTTGCTAATAAAGAAAATGATTGCTTTGAAGAGCTCTCCTACTAGAGAAGGGAATTCTCATGATGCATGATTCAGTTTTCAGAGAAACTGAGGACAAGTATTGACCAGTTTTGGTCTTCAGAACAGCTAGAATTATTGCCTAAAAAGAGAGAAGTGCCGGGCATGGTGGTTCATGCCTGTAATCCCAGCACTTTGGGAGGCCAAGGTGGGCGGATCGTCTAAAGTCAGGAGTTTGAGACCAGCCTGGTCAATGTGGCGAAACCCCGTCTCTACTACAAAAAAAAAAAAAAAATTAGCTGGGTGTGGTGGCACACACCTGTAGTCCCAGCTACTTGGGAAGCTGAGGCAGGAGAATCACTTGAATCTGGGAGGTGGAGGTTGTGGTGAGCCAAGATCACACCGCTGCACTCCAGACTGGGTGACAGAGCGAGACTCCATCACAAAAAAAAAGAGAGAGAGAGAGAGAAGCATGCTCCCAATTTTTCTCCAATTTTACCTATGGATCAAAAATATAATTCTCTTTTAGATTTTTTCCATGCATTTCATGCATTGAGGGTAGCTACAATGTAGAAGATGTCTATTGACATAACAATGAACAACAAGGAACATTTAGTGAAGTTTTGAAGATACAGTAGTCATGCTTCCTGAACTGTGATGCGGCTGAGATGGGTCCTGCAGAGCACTTTCCTGGCTCTGCCTGGGTTAGAAAAGGTTTTATCCTCAAGGAGATTTGTGTTGGCAACACTACCAGGTAGATTGGAATTCTGGATGTGTCTCTCCCAGGCCTTTCTGTCTTCTGTCTAAGGCAGATGCCCAGACCATTACCTCTGGTGAAGACGCTGCTTGCCTGCAAGAGTCACAGAGATTCCTTCCCTGAAGACACCTCTTCTCTGACACCACATTTGCTCATCATGCTACCAGCTCCTCTGGGCCTGGGCACTGCCCTGAGTGTGTGTGTTTGTGTTTGGTGTGCACTGTCTCAAGGAACTCACAATACATGGGAAGAGACAGGCCTGTGGCCAAGTGTAGCCTTCTGGCTGCAGTAACAAGTGCTTATTCAGCCACAGTGGGGATCCCAGGAGAGAGTGACAGGTGGTGAATATGTTGAATAATAAGCCACTGTAATTTTTCTTCTCTATCAGATTGTCTTGGGATTCCTTTCTCAGTCACTTCTTTCTACCTTCCCTGCCTCAGCCCCAAGACAACTGCCAAGGGGAGAACCAAGTATAATGGATAATATTCAATTCTGAAATCACAAGAACTGTGTTTGAATTCCGGCTCCACACTTTGCCAGCTCTGTAACTGTGGACAATTCACCTAAGTTCTCTAAGTCTCAGATTCTTCCCCGCTAAATTGTCAGTTGTAAAGATTAAATATGAACACATAGGAAAAACTCCTGGCCCTTGATAGAATCTCAATAAAGCTTAAAACAACAATAGTAAAGTGATCCTTCAGAATACCATCATTATAGTTTAACAACCTTTTTCACTTGCAGAAATAATAGGAGAGTGGCTCACCCACCGTCTGTATGAAGTGGATGAATGCTTGCATCAGCCCTTTGCAAACAGACTGATCGATGGAGCCAGTGATCAGGAAAATTGAATTCCACTGAATACACACTGCTGTCTGCCTGGCATCATCATATTTCAATGAAGTGGAATTGTAAATAGTGGGAGGTGTTTTTGATGAGCTATGTGTTTGGGAATAGGGGATTTTGAAATGTCATTTTGAGCTCAAATTAATCAAATTTTGAATAACAGAGTTTGGAGAAACAAGTTCAATAGCATCTAAGTAGGGAATAAGGGAGAATTTAGTCTGAGCCATAGAATAGCCACAGACAATAAGGACTCCTTCATGCTTCCTTGAACCTTAGGAAAAAAAGCCTATATTATATGCTTTTTATGTTATTCATTCTCCAAAGATTTATTTAGAGCATCCCATGTGCCAAGACTTGTGCCCAGAAAACTGGGATGCATGGAGATAGGCCCTTCCATCGGAAAACCCACAGTTCAGTGGGCATAGAGACTGCTTAAAAAGAATTCCGATAATGGATGCAGCCTCTCTGCTCATTATAGGTGTGGCCAAATCTGGCCTTAACACACATTCCACAACCTGTGATAGTCTAAAGCCCTCTCTAAGGTTTCTGTGAGAGCCCTCTGCTTATTCTTGTCTTTATGCCAGTGCTCATGTGACCTGTTTTTCCCTGCAATTCCCTGGACACAGACACACTGGCAGTGCCCTAAGAAATCTACTCTTATAAAATATTTTGTAATAATTTTATAGAATACACTCAGGATTTTGAGAAAATCATAGTGTAGGTCATATTGCAGAGTGGATGACCTCCTTTCTTCTCTCTGGAATGACTAGCAATCCCTCTTTGACTTTGAAAATGCATTTCTGAACTGTTTTTTACTCCTCTTGGTATGAAATTTTGCCCCAAGCACTCATATTTTTTTCCACAAGAAGTTCTTACAGCTGCCATGGCAGCCCCTCTCCCTCGACTTGTTATGCAGATGAAATGTCATAACATGTGAGGTTAGTGCTATTAGAGAATCAAGAGAAAAAGGGTTCATCTACCTGAGCCTGGGATAGTCAGAGGTGGCTGCGCAGGGGAGGAGAATTCTGCATGAGTTCTGGCAGGATAAGTAGGCAAGAGTAAGAAAAACGCTGCAGCAGGAGCAAATGGCAAAACAGTTTGAAAGACAGTGGCATGTGTGATCTTCTTTTTCCAAGACAAGGAGAAGCTATCCCAGGTGTCCTGCAGGCTTGGACAGAGCGGTGAGTAGCACATCAATGCCAAATGGAGACAGGTAAGAGGCATCAGGGCATCAGGAAAAATCCCAACAGAACAAGGAAACCTGCTGAGTGGACTCAGCCAAAAAATTAGAAAGAGAAGAAATTCCAAGATAGAAGGCACGGGATGGAAACTAGGTTAGGGAGAAGATTTGAAGGGATTTGGGGGAAAGTGGATCTAGAGCAGTGGTTCTCAATTTGGCTGCACATTGAAATCACCAGGCAAGCTTCCAAAACCCCAATGCCTGGGTCCACCTGGGGATCCCTACTTAATTGGTCAGGGGTTTGGCCTGGGCATCAGGATGATTGAAAGCTTTCCAAGTGATTCTAATATGCTTCCAAGGTTGAGAGGTACTCTTCTAGGAGGTATCCAAAGGTGATGCTAATGATAGTAGCAGCTTGTTTTAAACAACTGCCACTTTTGTCATGCTTGGAGACAGAGGAGAAGGGAAAGAAAGGGGAGTGGGACATTTTTAGGACATAGGCCTAACCTAGACAGTTTTGACAGCCATGAACCAAAGCCAGGTTTTCTATTTAATATATAATTCTCCAGCAATATTTTTCCAAGTATGATCATTGAATGACTTCATCAAAATCACCTGAGAATACTCACTAAAATGCATGTTTCAGGGTCACCCCTCAAAATCATTTGAAGTGAGATGAGACTGAGAATCCATATTTTTAACAAACTCCATAGGTGATTCTCATGCACGTTAGAATTGACGAATCACTATTCTATGGTAGTTAGTATATTTTATATTGTGGAGGATAACACATGACACCAAGAATAATGCCACCTTTAACTGAGCACTTACTATGTCCAAATGCTGTGTACACAGATCATCTCATCTTATCCTTACATAAATAATTTGAAGTAGGTATTTTTATCTTTGCTTTACAGATGAGAAAACTGAGGGTCAGAGAAGTTAAATACTTACATAGAACCATGGAGCTACTCTGCACAGTCACCTCTGACTGTCCCAGGCTCAGGTGGGGATGGACCCTTTTTTTCTTGACTCTCTAACAGCACTAACCTCACATCTTATGACATTTAATCTTTGTAACAAGTCGAGGGAGAGAGGATGCCACGACAGCTATAAGAACTTCTTATGGGAAAATATAAGCCAGCCACTGAGCCAGTGCCACTGTGTCAGAGGGCTCCTGCAGCCAGCCCACCGTGAGCTGGATTCTTGAGCATTTACTGGTGTGCCCTGAGTTGCTATATCCATTCATAAAAAAATCTGTTGCACAGAATTGAAAAGGGACCTCTGGCTTTGCTTGCCTGGGAGAGAGATGGACCCTTTCAGAAAATATAAATGACTTGGAAGCCTCTGCCTCCCTGTACCTTCAGCAGGGACACCAAGTAAGCCCAGTTTCCTTGCGGCCTGGCTTATTCTACCTAGTCCAAGCTACAGCCACGTGCTGTGTTCTCTCTTGCTTTTTTGCCTGAAGTCCAGGAAATGTCTGGCTCCAGGCCAGATTGGCCAGCTTTGTTGGTCTTCAGCTCAGCTTATTAAATGAGTTTAAGGTCCCTCTGGGACCTAATTCTCTTTCTCTCTCCATGGGTATTTCTAAATGTATTAGTCCCAGATTTGGTGCTTAGGAAGGCAGTCAATAGGCCTAAATTACATTCTCTGAGTCAGGTTTGACCAGATAGCCCCTTATCATGGATTATCAGGCCCCAGCCTCAGTGGCAAAGTGGCAGTTTTCTTCCCATGCTGCTGTAATTTAGTGTGTGTTTAGCAACATCCAAGAAACCTGTGCTCAAGACAAGAGCCAGGCATTCCTGCGTCATGGGCCAAAATATCCTCATTATGCAGCCAAAGCTTCTTTCTTTATTCCTAACCATGTCCGTATGTTTGCATCTGCCACATCCCCACGTCTCATTCTGACTAACAGACTTGAGATGCTGTTGTTGTTGTTTTGTTTTGTTTTGTTTTTTAATCTTCCCCATCCCCAGCTATTCAGTCAGTGCCTGAAACATAGCAAGGGCTCAGTGCTACTTGATGGGTTAAATAATGCCTGAACCTACTAACAACTCTAGTGAACACAATGCACACACACACAGACACACACACATATCATCATCATCATCAAAGGACAAAACAAGAAAAAAATTGATGCTAAGGGAATTTGGACCTCATGCTGTCATTTCTCAATTGGCTGATTTTGGTTGATTAAAATCATGAGGAGTCCAAAAGTGGAAGAATTCGTCATATTTGACGTGGGCATATTTTAACCAATTTTAAAGATTGCTTCCGCATCAGCAACATGACCAATTTACATGTACTTAGGTAATGAAGAAGAAAAGATGCAGACACTGAACGTGAGAGGCAGAATAACCAGTAGGGAGGCGAGAGGAGGGGCCATCCCGAAAGAAAGAGGAGAAAAAAATAAGAGGAAAGGAGGACAGGAAAATCATGTAAGACAATGAAAAACAGAGAGTAATGAAAGAGAAGATAGCAGAATAGACAAATGTCTCATCATTCAGATTAAGAATGATAGAGCAGCAAAGAATTTTAGATTCCTAATGTGTGGAAGAAGAAACTAAGGTAAAGAGGAAACACATTATCCAATGTCACTCACAGTGTCAGGGCTGGACTGCAGGTCTCCTGGTGACACAGTGTAGTGCTCTTTTCCCTAAATCAGGCTAGTGCCGTGGTACATCATAGCTTTTTTTTCAGTGTGACCAGTTCCTCATGTATGGTAAGTGCATGCACAATAATTGTTTGTGGAATGGAGAATACGATGGAACATGCTGGCATAGTAAGAAACCATTTGTATTATTATTGGACCACTGGCTTTTATTTTTTAAGGCAAAGATATTTTAAAAGGCATATGTTTCATTACCCCTCCACAGTGCCTTTCTGCTGTGCTTTACCAGGCACCCCTCTCCCATCCATGCCGCCGACTTCCTAATCTCCTAAAGCTCCTTATTTATTTATCCTTTTATATATTGTGATGGCCACTTTTTACCTGTGGTATCCACCCTTCTTTTTATGCATCTTGTTTTCCTTACTTGATAGTAAACCCTTTGAGATGAGAGATCCCATCCAGTTGTCTATGATACGGGGTCAACTGCATTGAATTAGGAGAGGTGGTAGAGAGCCAGCTTTGACCCTGTTAAAACTGAAGGTCAGTTTCCTCATCCATAAAATGCCGATAAGTAGTTTCTAGATTCTCCATCTCAGAGGATGCTGATGAAATTCACTTGCAACGTTGTGAACCGCTACAACAGTTCATTTGAATGTTCTAAATGAGAAGAGTGTGGTTGCTGTTGACGTCTGCTTCTCTTGTAGCACTTAGCATAAGTTAACCACCCTGCAGGCACATTTTTGTTGAATGAACAACATAGCAATCACATTAGCATCTTCCATTTTAAACTGGCCCCTTCTCCTTCCAAAATTAACAGAACTTTCTGTTTTCCAAAGCTTTGGTGATGAATTCCAAAACTTCATTTGTATTTCTTTTTTTAGTTGAGAAAACTTCTTATAAATCCTTTTGGGTCACTCCATTCTCTTCCCATCATTCTTGGACAAAAATACTGGATCAAGCCCCTCAAAGATCCTTAGTCTATGCAAGGCAAAGGCATACATATGCCAGGCACTTTCTATGCACCATCGAGTTGGTGCCTCACCATGACTATATGAGAGAAGCACTATTATTAGCTCCATTACACATGAGAAAATTGAAGTACAGAACTAATTTACCCAAGTTGCTTTTCTCTGTTCATGTGAAAATTTATAAAACATATGGAATAGAAACACCATCTTCTATCCCCACTTCCCTGACAACTGTGACATATTATCTGAGATCATTGATTTGGCTAATAAAAAAGGATCAGAATCATGAAATCATGTATTTTTATTTCCCTCTCAAGTCTGATTTTTTTTACCACTGATTTTTTTTTTGTGGTATCTTGTCATCTGATATCTTCCCAGCTTGACTTGGTAGAAGTGACAGATCCTCACCCTTAGTCTTCATGGAAAAATCCAGTCAAGTCTCCATGCAGAGACTTTTGAAATACTGCACTCTCAGTCAAAGGGGGCTAGAAAGACTCTGTTTTATTAAGTCAAGCTGTTTCATATTGCTGCTGTAACAAATTACCACAAACGTAGCGTATTGAAACAATACATTAATTCTTTTACATTTCTAGAGGCCAGAAGTCTAAAATCAAGGGATTGGCAGAATTGTGTTCTCTTGGGAGACTCTAGAAGACATTTTGCTTCCTTGCCTCTTCCAACTTCTAGAGGTGCCTTTCTTGTGTACTTTGTCTCATGGCCCCTTCTGTTTTCAAAGCGTATCATTCCAATGTCTGCTTCCATCTTCAAATCACGTTCTCCTCTTTGTGGTCAAATCTCCCTCTGCCTCCCTGTTTATAAGGACAGTTGTGACTGCATTTAGGATAATCCAGGTTCCCTATCTCAAGGTCTTTAATTTAAACATATTTGCAAATTCTCTTTTTTCTATATAAGGTAACATTCACAAATGCCAGGGATTAGGATCTGAATATCTTTGGCACCCATTATTCAGTATACCACACCACCCAGGGACATTATAAAGAAGCATATAATGTCTTCATTGAGATTCTGTGTTGATAAAAAAAAAAAAAAAAAGAAAGCCTTTCATGCATCCATTCTATGAAGGAGCTTAGAGTTAAAAAAAAAAAAAAAGTACACCACCTAATCACTGTGGGAATTCCTATACCTTAACATTTACATTAAAAAATGTTCCTGGGGTCATGATATTTCTGGGGGCACCTACCAAAAGCAACTGCAATGCTTTTCTGCAGGGACACTTCCACAACCCAGACCACATCTAATTTCTACCCATCTCCATATTGTCACTGAAAATGTGCTCACATTCAAAAATTATAGAATATATACGAAAAAAATGACAGTAAACAGATACAAAAAATGAGAGTTTGCATGCTAAGAGCTTGAGATAAAGCCATCTAAGGGAGACTACAAAATAAATGTTTCAAATAATTAAAGATGTGAAATTAAAAATAAAACAGTAAGAAAAAAAAATACTCCATGAAAACAGAATAGGCAGATTTGAGAAACAGCCAAATAGTACATACAGAAAAAATAAAATTATTGAAACTGAAAATTTGCCAGACAGTTTAGAGAGGAGACTAAACACAGTTATAGAGAGAATTAGTGCACAGAAGACAGATTTTGGATATTAGAATGCAGACAACATTCTTTTAGTAGGAGTTTAAAGAAATGGCTAAGAATTTTTTATAGTTGAAGAAAGATATGAAACTTTAGATTGGAGATTTACAATACATTCAGAGCAGCAAAAAGAAAAATGAATTTATACCTATGAGGTGGGAGAATAGAGCCTGGAGGCAAGGAACCTAAGGACTTCCTAGAACTCAATCAAACAGAAACACTTCAGCTATGATAGGAAATATCCTCTTCATTTACGTAGAGTGTACACCAAGTTAATAGCTTTGTAACTTCACTTCAGCCTCTTCATTTACGTAGAACATATACCAAGTAACCAATGAAAGCCTCTAGAGGGTATTTAAACCCCAGAAAAGTCTGTAACCAGACCTTTGAGCTGCTTGCTCAGGCCTGCTCCCACCCTGTGGAGTCCGCTTTCATTTTCAATAAATCTCCACTTTTGTTGCTTCATTCTTTTTTGCTTTGTTTGTGCATTTTGTCCAATTCTTTGTTTAAAAGGCCAAGAACCCAGACACCCTCCACCGGTAACACCTAGATTCTTTGAAATGAAAATACAGAACAAAACAAGGAAAAGATCTTAAAATTTACCAGAGAGAAAAGAGGAATTACACACAACAAAACAAACTGGACAAACAGCAGACTTCTTAGTAGCAAAACTAGAAACCTGAAGACAATAGAATATTATCTTCAATGTGTTAGAGCAATTAGATAAGAAAATGTATAAATAACATGTGTCTAAATCCAAATAAGCACAAAGTATTAAGAAAACAATGACTAATTGGGATGCTTAAAAGAGGTAGAATTAAACAGTCGACAATTCCAAATACATGGAATTTAGGATGAGAGTTATTGGATTATTGGTGGTTTTACATACTGGTATGAGAAAGATTTTGATTAAATGAAGATCATTTTTAATGTTAAGTAGGCATATTAACAATTTAAGGGTAACACCTAAAAGAAAAGAGATACAAAGTATAATTCCAACCAGTAGAGGGAAAAAAAGAATAATATTCAATGAATTAAATGGAAAATGGATGTTTCATATGTAATAAAAATATTAACAACAATAATCACATAAGAACATTACACACCAATCTCAGGATGGCGGTTACTTATTAGGATGGCCACTTCAGGGTTTGGAATTCTGCTGGAGTTTAATGGTATATTAAGAGGGGGATGGGGGAGTAAATATGACCGAAAGTTAACATTTTATACTAACGAGGTACAAGTTTTATTATGGGAGTCAAATAGTTTGATATATTATTCACTCTATTTTAAAACCACATGATAACTAAATGAAAAGAAGCAAATAGCACAAGATTAGGAATTAAAATGTCTGGATCGGGTTCAGGCTCTGACCTTAACCTGCTGTCTGACCTTGGACATCACTAACCTGTTTTGTATCTCACTGTCCTCTATTGTAGAATTAATGTCCTAGGGTAGATAATCTTTTAGTCACAACTCTGGAGTTTGATGACTCTCCAGTCATCTCTCCATTTTGATTTGCTCCCTGAACCACAGAGCTGAAAGGAAATACAAAACCCCTTATTTTATAGAGGTTTAGATTAGATGATCCCTGTATTTCCTCTGAGCTGAAAACTGAAGCGCAGTTTTCCTTTCAGCAGAAAACTGAAGTCCAGAAAGGAGGCATGTTTTTGGCAACGTCACACGGAGTTCAAGTGAACAAAGAACTGTTATCCTAAGCTACAGTTCAGGCTGTTTCTTCATGCTCTGAGGCTTTATCTGTCTCTCAGTGGTGGTCTGAGGACAAAGGAGACAATGTCCACAGTAGGGAAGGCACCAGAATAGATAAGGACAACCTATTAGCACTGGGTTAAATGAGACCCAATATTATCCTTTATTAAGTCAAGCTGAGAAGTTGAATGCAGGGGGCGTTTTATATGTCAGCACTGTACCAATTATGAATGGACTGATTAATAAATAAACAAACAAATACTAGGAAATCAGGCCTGTTTTAGTGCTTCAAATTCACGGTAACACCCTGTTAACATGAACTTCAAGCATTAACACTAATAACCACGCTAATCACAGCATTGAAAACTCCAAATTAATTCAAATGCTGCTCAATAGACCATCACTGCGTCATCACTGCCTGAGACTTTTCTATCTGTTCAGATCTCTATGCAGTAATTAAATCCATTAACATGTAAAACTGGGTATTATTCTCAAGGGGAAAAATGAAAAAGGGAGCTGAATAACAAAAATCCTGGTGATGGAACTGCAACTTCTCACAACTTCAATTACATCCAAATTCTTGGCCTTTTCTTTCTAAAATAGCAGCTCTCCTGCTCCCGGCTTTGCATCCAGACCCAAAGCATTTCACACACACAGAAATATGACATAACTTAATGAAGGGGATGAGCATAGATCTTAGAAACAGGAAACTTATACTGAGATCATGACTCTGCCTCATGTATATATGTAAGACCTCAGTTTTATACAGCACATTCTTTCTCTGGCCTTCATCGTCCCCATTTGTGAAATGGGAATGTCAAGTGCTCTCCCAGGCTGATTGTAGGAATCAAATGAGATGATCGAAGTGAAGGTGCTTGGCGAATACTAAATGACTTTACAAAATGAGCTGTTATTCTTCATGATGTTCAGAAGCTCACAGGAGATTACATTTATTCTGGGTGAGGTGTGGGAACAGTGTAGAATGAGAAAATAAGATGTAAGTATTGTGCACCCTAAGACCTACTGAAGAATACCTTTTAAAAGAAGATATACTCATGACTCTCCTATAGATACAAAATAAATACATGCCAAAGGCTTTATTTAACTCATTAATTAATGAGGGAATTGGTAGATATTACAATGAATTCAAAAGCAAATTGGGAGTGTCACACATTTTTAGTCAAATATGGAATGCTGAAATGAATTTACAAAAGGATACAAAGGTGGTCACTATCTGCTGGAAAAAAAATCAGTTTCATTCCATTAGATCCAATTTGCATTTCCATGGATAATAATTATTTGTATTCCTATCAGTTTTCTATAACTTCATTTCTATCGTATGGGGTTGTAAAATAACCTAGTCAAAGATACGGAGAGAGCTGGGCACAGTGATGTCCTCCTGTAGCCCCAGCTACTCAGGAGGCTAAAGCAGGAAAACTGCTTGAGCCCAGGAGTTCAAGACCAGCCCAGGCAAAAGAGCAAGACTGCCATCTTAAAAGACAAAACACAAGTCAAAGAGAGGCAGAGATAACCTAGGTAGCTGAATGAATCAGGACAGCCGTCAAGTGTCAACATTTTTCACAAATATCCCTTACAGACCCTTTATTGTAAAAATCCAAGATCTAGCCAAAACAGCTTTCTGAATTCTGGCTTCATTACTTGGCTGGGCTCCAGGATATTTACTCAACTATCCTGGTTTTCCAACTAATTTGCTGTGTGGGATAACTTTAGGCAAGTCCTCTTCTCCCAGCCAGGTCTCAGATTCCTTGTCTGAAAAATGAATGCATCAGATCAGTTGATCATTGGCCTTACATGACAAAGCAATGAGAGAGTAGACTGAAAATGCTTTATACAATTGAGTTAGTTAATCTCTCCATGAGGAAATATTTATGTTAGTATTATTTGACCAACTTGAACAGAGAAAGAAACATCATATGGCTCCCCAGTTGTTTTACCTCTTAAATACATTTGTTTAGAAAGACAAACAAAATAAGAATTGTCAGGGAGAGACCATGGAGAGTACTTCTGCATGCTAACGCATAATGTTAATTAATTTTATGTGTCACCTTAGAGGGTGTTGTTGGATGAGACTAACACTTAAATTGATCAACTTTGAGTAAAGCAGATTACCTTTCAGAATGCTGGTGGGCCTCATCCAATCAGTAGATGGCCTGAATGGAAGAAAAACATCAGCCTCACAAGCTAGATAGAATTCTCCAGCAGACTGCCCTCCCAGTGAAAGTCTGGGAACCCTGATTTGTGGGAGGGAGAAAGGCCTGGTTAGTGGCCCCAGTGGCCACAAAGGGCATTCCATGCAGCCTATCAAGGGACCTCAGCTCTAGTTCAGAACCACCACTTCCTACCTGGGCAGGAGTCACATCAACAGACATTCTTGGCTTTCCTGACAAGTGAGCTATGAGGAAGTGTCAGAGAACTTGAGCACTGAATGGAAAGGATGGAGAAAGGATCATGCCCAATCATAAAGCTCCTGAAAGAAGAAACGACCTCCTAAGATAAGGCTTAGTGCCCACTCTTGCTGAGACTCAGAATAAAGATACAGTAGTATCATAGAAAATTCTGTAATATCACTTACTGAGTCCTGCTGATGTGCCAGGAGCTGTGCTAGGTACACTTTACATAAACTGACACACATGATCATCTCTGTGTGATCTGTGTGCTGTGTTTCAACTGTGCTGAAAGCTAGAAGCATCATTCTCATTCAACAGATGAGGAAACTAAGCTCAGTGTAAGAAAATAATTTCCCCTAAATCACCAAGTTCTAGGAAAAGATGTCCCAAGGAAAGAGTATGCCTGAAGACCAAGGGCCATCAAGGCAGAGACTAAGGACACCAGTGAACACCCACAACATGAGCTCGGGCAAAGAGGGAGGGTGGCAAGAGATTAGGAGATGTTCAGGCAGGCAGGCTTGGATGGGGGCCAGCATGTCTACCTGTCCCTCCAAAAAACTCGCTGCCGTTCATTATAAATCAGTGGTCACCAGCAACATGTCACCTCCTCCTAATTAAACCTTATCGTCAGCCAAGGAAGAAGTTATGGTTGGTTAGATAAAGCACTTGTGGGCCCAGCCAGCTAAGAGCAGAGCAGTTTACCAGTTACTGATGGGCTTTAATTTGATAACAATTACATCACTTTTCAGAGAGACTAGGGAGCCACTGATGCAACCTCACATTTCTTGAGGGAGCTCATTGGAGATGCTAAGTGAGGCATGTGATAGGAAATGGATTACAAGAAAGAAGAGTTACCTGAAATATTGACTGTCTTGAAAAACAGTGCAGGTCTGAGTATGAGGTGAGTGAGTTAGAAACTTCCAGCTCTGCCACCTTGAAGCCGTCCATTCTTGAGCAAGCAGCTTACTTTTCTGAGCTTCTGAAAACGGAGATGTTACCATAGGCCTGTGGTGACCACCAAATGAATGTGCAAATGTGAATGGGTTTTTATATATTAAAGTACAGGTCAGCAAACTTTTCCTGCAAAGGTCCAGATGTAAGCAATGTAGGCTTTGTGGGTTAAACAGTCCCTACTGCAACTACTCAACACTGCTGTTGTAGTGTCAAAGCAGCCATAAACAATATACGACACATGGTGCAGGACAGTTCTCCAGGTGGCCTTGAACCAACCCAGCTCTCTCCCCTTCTCACTGTTGTTCCCTGGAATAACTGTAAAATATGCTGAGAATGCAACATCCTGAGACAAGGAGAGACTGGCTGGAACAGGCTGGCTCAGTTCCAGTTTCCACCTGGAAACGGGATGTTCTTCAACACATTTGCCTAGTGTGTCCTTTCATACCCTGGGGAGGGTGTAACACCCAGGGTTGTCTGCTTTTCAGGGTCCCTCAGTAGCAATGCAAGTGGGGCACATGCAGATGAGACCTCATTTACCTGGCAGTTTTTCTGAGTTTGCGGGGAGAAGCTCACAATCAATCCTACACTTCTGTTATCCCTTGCTGTTTATCTGTAAATAATAAATTTGTTTCATGTAATTTGTTATGTTTAAGGATCTTCTGCCTTACCAGACTCAGACAAGTTGGTAACCAGTGCACAGTGAACCTGCTTCACAAATGAGTGTGGCTACGTTCCAATAAAACTTTATTTGTAGATGCCAAAATTTAAATTTTAGGTAATTTTTACACTTCATGAAACATTTTTCTTCTTTTGATCTTTTTTTGACTATTTAAAATACAAAAACATTCTTAGCTTTAGACCATACAAAAAGAAAGTGGGCCAGATTTGGCCACTGGGCCAATTTCTGCCCCAAAGTGGTATGTAAATGTGGAAAACACAATAGAGAAGGGAGTTGTGCAAAGAGATAAATAAGACTACATCTTTCTTATTGAAAAAGCCACTAGTTGCTAAGCATTGTGGTGCTAACATGAAGGAATGAGAAGTCTGGGAAAAGACAGGCCAGTGTAGTCTGCAGCTACTGAGGAAGGGATTCCCAGAAGGTGGGGAATTTGGTTTGAACTGGAAGGTGGAGTGAGATTTCAGTAGGTGAGGCCAAGGTAGAAGGATGGGGATTTAAGAAGGGAAGGGAGAGTGAGGGCACAGAGGAGATAATAGAAGACCTAATGAAAGACAGCCAGACAGAGGAATGAGGTAATCACAGGTGGTGCTGGGACTCCAGCTTGAGGCTCCTGGCTGCCATGCAAGTGTTCATTCCATGTTCCAGCTGCCTGATAAATTGTGTGGACGCATCAGAAAACTTAGAAGTGCCCTGCTCTAGGAGAACTTATCGTCATATTGGGAGATAGAAAGATATTCTGGAGAAAGATATTTTAAAATACCCTAATAATTGACATGAGAGAAACAGTAATGAAATAGTAGTGCTCTTACTGAGCACCTCCTTAATTGAATATTCAGTATTCTGCAGGTATTATCTCACTTGGGACTCAAAATAACCTCTTGAAGAAGGTCTGAGTATTCTCATTATTCCCATTTTATAAATGAGAAAATTGAGAAAAGAGGGGAGAATTTTCCATGAGGCTCAGTGACCAGACTTAACAATGATAAACATTCGCATGTTGTTTCCCAAAGACTCTCAGAGGGGATTGAGAGATCAAGTAATGATCTAAGTACTGTGGTCAGCTGGCCTCCAAGGTAGATGGAAGCCTGTCAGAGGTGGAGCAGCTGGAGTGGTCAGAAGGAGTGGCACAGTGGTGGTCCACATAAGTGACTCAACACCAGCCTGATTGTTTACAGTGGTTGCAGACTTCTTTCATCCATTGGCAAGCCTGGAGTGGCTCATGAGAATGAATACAGATGCCTTGCTGGGAATGGATATTCCAGAAGGAGTCCTAGTAGCAGCAGTATGGGGGTTAGAAATAATTAAATAACATTTTCAGCTCTCCTGAGAGCCATTGGCCTAGAACAAAGAGGCAACTGAGAAGAGGAAGCTGGGAGTTATTTGTGTGTTGTTAATGGGACTTTCATCAACAGACCCCCACCCTTTCACCAGCAGCAGCCGGTCCCTGCAATCTGCAGAGACTGTACTCTCACAAAGCACCCATTCAAGTAACATGAATGCTGGCACAATGCAGCAATCAGACAGGCCCTGGCTTCTCCATGGCGCTACACCTGCACCTGTTATCATGGCAGGAGCTTATTTATCAGCCCTTAGAAACTTACATAATGGAGAAGTTTATCTATCATCAGTTCTCTTTCAGGCCATGGGGATAGAGATATTTATAAGCCAATACTAAAGGCAAACCAGTCTCTTTCTAGAGAACCAGTAAGCCCATGTGAATCCGGGCAGCTACAGGTCTACCATCGATGTTAACATGACGGAGTTCCTTGGACTGTGAACCACCTCTAGCTCTGGGTGTGGGGATAAGGGTGGTATTAGTGGCTGTAGCTGGAATCAGGGGGATGGGAGCTGCAATAGCATCCACCCCACCACTGTTGGTGAGAATGCATGAGCTGGCTTGTCAGGTGCGGAAGGAGACTGAATGCTTTTTTGATTGCTATAATTGCAGCAAATTGGATGCTTGAGAGTGCCTCTTCAATGAGAAGAATCTCATGAATGAGACTTAGGGAAGAGGGCCCTCTTTGGATCCCTCTCCTTTGTCCCATATGTATGAAATAATTCCCCAGCCATTATGGACCGTGAATAAACTGCTAATTTTAGTTGTTCAAGCCGAACAAAGACCCTGGTTGGAAGATCCGGAAGGTGATTCATCCTATATGATGTTTGCATGGTGGAAGCTAAAGGTCTTGATAGGAGTCCCTGATTATTCCAAACTTTCCATACAAAGAGTTAGACAATTTTTTTTTTTTTTTTTGAGAAGGAGTTTTGCTCTTGTTGCCTAGGCTGGAGTGCAATGGCATGATCTTGGCTCACTGCAACCTCTGACTCCTGGGTTCAAGTGGATTCTCCTGCCTCAGCCTCCCAAGTAGTTGGGATTATAGGCGTGTGCTACCACACCTGGCTAATTTTTGTATTTTTAGTAGAGACAGGGTTTCATCATGTTGGCCAGGCTGGTCTCAGAGAGTTAGATAACTTTTTAATTGGTCATCTCAACACCAGCAACCAAATGGACTCCAGTACCTTCTCTTCTGTTTAAGGTTCTCTCTTGGCAATCCTGGGTGCTTTGAGTGTGGGCATTCTCCTCTAAGTTTTCTTAATTGGGAAGACTCAGAAAGGCAGCAGTGAAGCCAGAGTCAATGAAAGACCAAAAGTCAAAAGCCATAGAGACACAACATAAAACCAAGCCCTGTGGTCTTTGGCACCTCTGGGAAAAACAGACAAGAGTTGAAAGAACATCAGAACCTAAGTGGGAATAGAGGCTCTGGAAATAGATCAGCAAAGGCTTTGGGATGGATGAGACAATGAACAAGTTCTTGAGAGAAAAGTAGAAGACTTTAGGTAAAGTAAGAAGAACTGTTATTTTAGCAGAGGAAAAATATCCTCAGCATATTCAAAGGCACGTGTATTAATGCAGACGTTTTCTATAAGAGGTAATGGAAAAGTCCAACTTGAACTATTTCAAACACAGGATAACACAATGACTCAGTTAACTGGAAAGCCTAGAGTTCAAGCAGGCTTCCGAGATGGTTGATTCAATGGCGCAATGATGTTTCTTTCATTCTGCCATCCATAATGTTGACTCTAGGCTACAACTGGTTCCTTCTGTGTTTGTCAGCTGCGGATAGCACAATCAGCGTGATAATTCCTTTTCAGTATCTAGTGGAAGAGGAAATGCACTTCCTCCAACCATTGAGTAAATATCTGGCAACCTCCGACTCCTAGGTTCAAGCAATTCTCCTGCCTCAGCCTCCCGAGTAGATGGAATTACAGGTGTGCACCACCACACCCAGCTAATTTTTGTATTTTTAGTAGAGACAGGGTTTCACCATGTTGGCCAGGCTGGTCTCAAAGAGTTAGACAATTTTTTAAGTGATCATCTCAACACCAGCAACCAAATGGACTCTAGTACCTGGCTTAGGTCTGGGTAACTTGAAGCAACCACTGTGGCAAGGAGGTAATGCTTAGCCTGATTTACTGAGATGGATGTTGGAGAAAACAACAGTATCCATGTTATCACAGTAGCAAGAGGCTTCAAAGTAAATTGTCCCATATATCGTACTTCATTTCGGCGGAGTAGCAAGGGATAAGAGGGTAGAGAAATAGGATCTAGATTGATGACCTTTGAGTATTAGGCAAAAGCCACTTGACATGGTCTGATAACCTATCTTTTAACAAGCTCCACCCTAAAACACTACCATTGTCTCTCCCTTGAAGCATGTATCTCTTTGGCCTTTTATTGTACTTACCAATGCAGTTTTCTTCTCTGTAAGCAAAGAAGGGAGTCCTACCTGCCTGACGACAGACTAACTGGCACCTAGCAGTCCCTCAGTGAATGTATTATTGAAACAGACCCATCATCTCCTTGGGCTTTCCCTCTGTAGGTTTAAGAAACATTCAGAGGGACACCTTCTTAAGTTCTTTGTGGCAACCAGGAGGCTTGACTATCAGAAGCTGAGTAGCCTAAGCCTAGGTCTTTCTCTCTCTCTTCTCCCAAAAATTTGCTGTGTGACCTTGCCTAAGGTACTCACCAGCTCTGTTCAGTTTCCTGATGTGTATTAAGAGAAATTGACAATATGATGGTTTTTGTACTTTGTCAACTTAGCTAAGCTGGAACTGCAAATCTTAGAGTCCCCTTGGCTATACAATTTCAGGTTAAGGTTGGCCACAAGTTAATGTTCCAAGTCATGTGAGATTTGAAAGGAGAAAGTGAAGAAGGGCTATTTTATTTTCTTTATCCTCTAAAGGTTAATGAGGGCAGCTACAAGCTCTTGCACGTGGTCACTGATATGCTGGCTTACTTGGTTGGTTTAGAGCACAGTTGATGCTGCAGCTCCTTCAGCTCCTGCCAGATCCCCTCTTTCAACTTCTCTGAGTACTGGGACAAGAGCAGGTGTGACCCTATGGTGCAGGCTGCCAGCTTATCTTGTAGGCCAACAGCATCACCGAGATTGAAGAAGCAGCACATATTGTTCCAGCTAATTCTTGCAGATTCTAGTCTGTCCTCGTTATTCCTACTTGATGTCTATCTTTTCTTCTATGTTTCTAGCCCTGCTGACATTTGGGCCAGCATCAAAAGCAGAAACTGCCCCCTAAAGTAGCAACATAATGAGTTCCCACAATTATGTCTGGTCTAAGCCTTGTAATATATCCCATATTCTATACTACTCGAAGTGGTCCTGTTTTTCTGATTGAACCTGAAAGATACAAATAATTTATTGAATGTTCACTATGTGCCAGGCACTTTTCCAAAACTTTGACTATATGAATGCATTTAAACCTCATAAAATCTCTCATGAGATAGGTAACATTTTATATTGTTTCTGTTGTATAGATGAGAAAACTGATGCACGGGGTATTTAAGTAACTTACCCCAAATCATCCAGCTTGTAAGAGGCTGAGCCAGGGTTTGAACTCTGGCAGGCAGCTACAGCCTAGGCCTCTATCCACTTTCTCATTTGTAGAATGAAAGGCTATTCTACATACCTTTGAATTGTCTTCCAGTTTTTAAAACTCTATAAAATAGGTTCTGTAATTATTTTTTAACTCCTGAATAGTATACCTCAAAGTGTGATCTCATGATCATTTATACCAGAATTACCTGGAAAACTGGTTAAAACATAGATTCCCTAGGCCCTGTAGGTCTGGGGTGTGGCCCTGTATATTTATAAATTTTCCAGGTTATTTTGATGCACACTGAAATTTGAGAACCTCTCACTGCCCTAAAAAAAATAGGAAAAAGGTGTGTGTGTGTGTGTGTGTGTGTGTGTGCGTGTGTGTAGGGGTGTGTGTGTGCACGTGTGCGTGCCTGTGTATTCGAAGAAAGTAAAGCTGGAATGAGTTCCTCCAGAGGTGTGTCCTCCTCTAGGCCTACATTTCAAGTGGAGGACTGTGCTGAAGCCTTAGGTATGGAGTCAAGAGGACAAATGCCATAGGGTTGGTATCAGAAAGCTCTAGCAGGATTTGCCTCTGCTTCTCCCAAAAGCACCCCTAGAAACAGTTTCAGAGTTCTTCAGTGAGACAAGTTGTCATCCACCTGCCGTGATGTGCCAGGAGGCAATGAGAGTGGCAGCAGCCACAGGGGCATCAGGGCCATTTGCATCCTACTCCCTGACCGGCCCTCTGTTAATGAGAAGTGTCGCTCTCTCCTCTCTTGGGGGGGGGCCTATCAGTCTTTTATCTTCTCTTGGGAAGTCACAGCCATGCTGGCTAGGATGAGCGGAGGTTCACACTGGTGACCTTGGCTATTAACAGCCCCTGGGGTCTGGCTCCTGGAAGTGAAGCAACCCATAGGCTGTACAAATTGGAGTTGGAAGAAGACAAGGTGTGGTGATGAAAAGCCTCTTCAAGGCCGCTTGTGGTCATCATTAGCAGGCACGCAGGGCTGATCATAAGCCCTCTTCCATGCACTGATGCTGGCTTTGGGGCACCAGCAGTCTTGCTGAAAGCAAGGAAGCAGGCCCCCTCAGGTCTAAGATGGTCCCTTTTAGGCAGAGAACACTTAATAGCTTGCAACAGGTTTTCCTAGACCCTGTCTCATTTGAGCTTCTTCCCACAAATCTTGGGATAAATAATCTGAGGAACTTAGAAACTGACTGGGGAAAATATTAATAACTAATAATTTCTTCCTTACATATTTGGCCTAATTTTTCTCACAAAGTGTGTCATTTAAAAAAGGTATTTTAACTTTCCTAGATGTGATGGTATGAGGCAAGTATTAGGTGACAGCCAAGTACTAGGTACTATATTTGGATAATTACTTCTGTGATACAACTTAGTGCTGCTAAAATATCATCAGCCCCATTGGACAGGGGAGGAAACTGACGCTCAGAGAAGTTACATAGTAACACATTAAGTTTTCTCAAAAATAATCTTATGGGAATTTGAGGAGGTATTGATGCAATTGCATGATGCAGGTGGAGGTGTAAGCTAAAGAAAAGAGCTGATTACTGCAAATGCACCTTTGTACCAACCTCCTGATAGGGAATTTCTCAAGGCCAGAAATTGGTCCTAACATTTCTCTCCTGAGTCAGTTACATTTTCAAGCCCAGCGCAAAAATAAGCCAATCTCATGCTACCTTGACTTTGAAATCAGGATAACCCTAGGAAGCAATTCTCCTTTTCTTGTGAAAGAACTTTCATGGTGCTTGCATTCCTGGCCAGCTTTCCTAAGAGGGTTTGGCCTGTGGCTTCTCTATCCCACATTGTTTTTGCTCGAGAATAAAGAAGAAAAAAATCTTCTCACTTCATTTCTTGACTCCTTTTAAGAAGAATCCCAGTAGAGGTCTCATCACAGGCTCAGATGCATATCCTATAAACATGAATTCTAGATGCTTATCTTCCTGTGTTGGGAGATATTTAGTAGAAATTTCAGTCAGGCTCTTACTTAGTGCAACAACTACCTCTAAGGTCAGGGAGATCACTACATAACCAACTACCCTCTCCCTTTGCTGAAACGTCTTAAATCCTGTAAAATCCCACCACCCTAAAACACTGAAAGATTGCATCGAAATGTTAGAATAATAAGTTTAGAAGAGAGACTGTAAATAATTTGAGGGAAGGAATTATGTCCGGTTTGTTCACCTCTGATTTCCAGAGCTTTGACCTACAGCCCGGCACATGGTAGGTTCTTCCCACATAATTGTTGAGTAAATAAATACATGAATAAATGAATGAGTGAATGAATGAATAAATAAATAAATACATGGACAAATTTATTAGATTTCCTGACAACCCTTCCACCACTGGCTTGTCTCTTACCTGGTCCTCCTGCTTCCTGGATCTCCACTCTAAGCCATGCTAGGACATCTGCCCCAGATTGGTGGTCCCATCACACTACTTTTCATCAAGTGACAACTCTGCTAGAAGTATTCATGGGCTCCCTCTTGATGGAGTTGGGATGAAGAAAAGTTTAAGACTTAAATGGCTGGATCCGGACCCTTTGAATTCTGTTGCTAAATATTTCTAGGAACTCCCCCCAAAAATATATGCCAGATACCATGTAAATAATTCTTATGTTTCTCCCCATTCTACTGGTAAGTACACAGGTCAAGCAAGGTACCTTACTTCCTATTGTCAAACTCAAATCTAAATCCTACAGTTGTTTACCTTTCCAATGGTGAGAAAAGGCCAGCCCAGAACATGCTCAACATCAACAGCAACAAAAAAGGAATTTTCCTTGATGCAGGCTTATCTAGACCTCTGGAAATGCGGCCAATCAATACACTGGGCCTAACCAACCATGGAAAAAGGCTTCTTAATTTGTTGTTCAAGGCTCTGCACAGTCACACTCTGTCAGGGACTATAGCCAAACTAACACAGAGTTTCAAAGCAGCCTCCTTTCACTACCAATATGGGTCTTTCCCCATCCAGCCAGACCACTCTACTCAATATTTGCTAAGCATCCCAGCAAACTTCTCTCTATATATCTTGGCTCTTAAATCTCCCTGTATTGTCGTCCCCTCCTATGCCTCCACTGCCCACTGTTTTTCCAGGACCAGCTCAATATTCCCCTCCTCTCTGAATTCTCCTTCTCCCATGTAGAGGGTAAAATATAAAGGCAAAAACCTCTTGTGCTGTGTCTAACCCCACCACCCGATGCACAGAACAGGCATGCACCGAGTAGAGTAAAAAGAAGTACTGAGTTTGGAGACAAAAGTTCTGGGGTAGCTTTATACTTACTAAATGTAGAAATTTGGCCTACTCACCTAACCTACCCAAATTCCAATTTCTTTATCTTGAAAATTGGGATAATTTCTACCTCACAGAGTTGTATGACTTAAGTGATATCTAGTATTCACCCAACTGGGTTTTCTGGGTGCCAGGTGCACAGTGACTGATGTATAGTTGGTGTTTAATAAATATTACTGAATGTTATTAAATACCAACCTTATTTGTAGGACTTGTCCAGTTATGGAAGAGAATTATTAGATTGAACATGAAATCTGTCTTGTAGTTTGAATGTACCCTCCAAAATTCATGCTGAAATTTAACCACCAGTGTAACACTATTGGGAAATGGAATCTTTAAGAGGTGATTAGGTTATGAGCGTTCCACTCTCATAAATAGATTACTGCTGCCTTCTAAATGTTGGGTTAGATATTGAAGGAATGGCTTTGTTATAAAAGTGTGCTTTCTTTGTCTCTCATGCTTGCTTCTATTTTCCATCCTTCTGCCATGGGATGACCCTCACCAGATGCTGGTGCCATGCTTTTGGACTTCCCAACCTCCAGATCTGTGAGAAATACATTTATTTTCTTTATAAATTACCCACTTTGTGGTATTCTATCATAACAGCATAAAATGGATTCAGACAACCTACTTTCACAGTCTTCTCCTTCTTATCTTTTTTGACTGTGCTGGACACATAAACAAAAGGAAATAGAGCAGAATTGATGACTTAATATTCCATGTTCCATATTCCACCCATTATCTATATCCTAAATCTAACAATTTGAATTTCTGCTGGATGCACTACTGAAATATCTAGCATAAAAAGAATAGGTATGAGCATGAATATGTTTTCTCATCTTTTTTGCATCAATCGCATGGCATTTGTCAGGTAATATTGTATTCAGCCAGCCTCAATGTTTAGCTAGGACAGTAGAAAACTTGGGAAGTACATGGTAATTATATTTTTCTTTTTAATTTTTAGAGGTGAGGTCTCACTCTGTTGCTTAAGCTAGATTGCAGTTGTGGCAGCACAATCATAGTTCACTACAGCCTTGAACTCCTGGGTTCAAGGAGCGATCCTCCTGCCTCAGCCTCCCAAGTAGCTAGGACTACAGGTATGCATTACCACACCCCGCTAACTTTTATTTTTGTTTTTGTTTGTTTGGGTTTTTTTAGAGATAGGTCTCACTATGTCACCCAGGCTGGTCTCAATCTCCTGACCTCAAGTGATTCTCCTGCCTCAGCCTTCTGAATTGCTGGAATTACCAGTATAAACCACGGTGCCTGGTGGTAATTATCTTGAAATACACAAAAGCCTCTCATAAAAAGATGAATTAGACCTTATCTGTGTGTCCGCAGCAGAAAATTATTACAGGTGGGTGGAGATTATAAGAAGGTAGATTTCCTCTAAGACATAGTAAAAAGAGTCAGCACATCCCTTCAGATATGTGTGTGTCTGTGTATGCATATGTGTGGTTGGGGTTGGAAACCACTGAATCCAGTCTGCAGCATGAGACTTTTATGATTCCATCAGAGATCAAAGCTGAGTAGAAAAGAAGCCAGACACTTCTTACTCAATATTGGGAGCTTCACTAACTCCATTTTCAATTGACAAATTGACTGCATTCTTAATTGATAAAAACCCACTCTACCTGAACCGTCCTCAACACCCACTCCTAAACCTATTCACACATGTGCACACATGTACATGCACACACATACACACAAACTACACACACACACACACACACACAACTGTTGTTTGTTCTTGGGAGCTGATCTTATTTTAATAGGTTCCTGGAAAGAGTAACTGACAGCCTCAGCTTTCACAAGATGCCATCAAATAAAAAACTCTAGAATGGGACACTGCTCACTTTGCCCCAGGAATTCTGTGCCTGCCTGTCTGAACTTTGGCCGATGACCAACATCAGTGAAGGCTTGGGGTGCTAAGATCACATGCTTCAATCTTAAACCCTTCTTATATCTGGAAAAGATAAAGAATCTGAGTAAGGGGAATCTCATCCTTTGTAAAGAGGTAAGGCTTCCTAGAAGGAAGTGGAGGGGGTGGAAATTTGGATAGAGGCCCTTGAACAATGAGGCCCTCGGTATGAAAGAGGCAGAAATTACTGAACCTGAGGACAGAAGAACCAGACTGAGATTTGGTAAAATGGCCACAGAGGACCCCCTCACAGGTCTTTAAGTGCCTTCATTTTTGAGATTCAAAGCAATGTTTACATTTGCTACAACCATGCTCTCTTCCTTTTTATGTAATAATTCTCTTTCAAGATAATTGAAACTCCTTAGAAAAGAAATTTGCACGACACCATATACCCAGAAAGAATGGTGTTAAGAAAATGAAGAAACAGAGTGAAAAAAGAGAAGGAGGAAGCCCTTGTGCTCCACCCGTACTTTCAATCTTCCATGTTTTCTAGCAGACAGGGCATTGGTAGAACGAAAAACACGACACACTCCATTAAGACATGGAGTCGATTTCCCCACCCTAAAGCTCGGCTGGCTTTGTGATTGGCTTTAACCAATAGAATGTGTCAGAAATAATGTGCTATTTTCAAGGTTAGGCCTTAAGAGGCCTTGTAAGCTCCATGTTTGCCACCTTGGAAAGCCACCCAGAGACCATGTCAGAATGCCAGTTGAGCCTAGGGAAGAACGAGCAGCCACTTGTGGGAGAACCAAGGAGTCCTAGTCACTGTCAGCACCAACTGCAATACCTGACACTCAGGCCATGTTGCCTCTTCTAGCCTAGCCAAGCTTTCCAACTGAATGCAGCCCTAGCAGGGATCCCAGGTGAAACCAGCAGAGCAGACTCCCCAGCCAACACTTCAGATCATAACAAATAATGGATCATTGTTTTAAGCCACTACATTTTGGGGAGGCTTATTAAGCAACAGCCCCTTTACTGGAGCATGAGCTCCAGATGATGCCCAGAGGATTTGCAGGGCAGCCATAGAAAAACCAGAGCAATAGGAGAACTCCCCAGTGCTAGGGAGAACTCCAGTGAGGGTAGAGCCATGGGCAAAGATAGGAGAAAGCTGTTTTCCTGTACAGATTGGAGAATGCCGGTCTCTGAAAAGAGAAGGGAGGTGACAGCAGATACTTAAGAACTAATAAAAAGAAGAGCTGTCTAAGAATGGAATCGACTGTTTCAGGAGGTGCTGTGTTCTCCAACATTAGGGGCAATCAAGCATAAGCAGGATGGCGACTGAAGGGCAGAATTTGAGCGCTATGTAGTTGGATCTCTGAGGTCGCTTTCAACCCCAGGCGTTTTATTAGGTTCTCCAAGACCTATTTGAGAAGATGGAAGTATATGCATGATTATGTCAATAAATCTGTCATGTTATCTTCAGAATAGGCCCTGGTTCATCAAAAGTAAAGCATACATAAGAGAGAAAATTCCTCTGTGCGCACAGTTTATTGACATTTATCTGACCAGGCTAGTCAGAGCACACAGACAGATACCCAAAACAGATGGCAACAGAGGACTGTGACAATGGATTACCAGAAACATATCTGACTTAAAAATGAGGCCTCTGGGAAGAGATTACATCTTTTTTTGAGACTTCTTTTGGGGCCAGGCCCTGTTGTTACCATTAAGTGAATGTGTAATATGATCATAATAATGACAACAGCAATAATAATGACGGTAATAGGTAGCAGTCTGACTCCCTGTTGCCCTCTTACTGCCTGCAACAGATCTGTCACTAAGATGAGCTGTCTCTCCACTCCCTTCAGAGGGGTTTGTAAAATGCCAAGGGATGTGTTTGCCTCTGTAGCAAAGTGCTGCTTCCTTCGAGAAGGTGGACCCTCTTGAAATTTCTTAATAAGAAAGGCTGCAGGATTGATGCATACTTATTACATTGCCTTTCAACAACATTCTTTTTGTGACATGCCCAGAATCAGATAAATAACCCAAGGAGGCAGCTGAGCTGTGATTAAGAAACCATCATCTAACGAATTTTTTACCTGGGAAGGACTATATGGGATCATTCAGGCTCAACCAGAGTTTAATGCTGTAATCTGCAATTGGAAAGACAAGAAGCTCGGAGCTGGAGTTTGGCAAGGAAAGGGGTTTGGTATTGTGCCAGGGCTGTTCTAATTAAGAGGTAAGCCTGAGGAGTCAGTCCATAAGGAGAGGCATATCAGAAATCAACCTAAGTGAGACATACCAGCCAGTGTGATGGCAATGATGATGAACTGGGTGCCTCAAAGACTCAGGATTTAGTTCTAGTTCTTTGGAAAACATACATTTCTGAGCTTCATTTTTACATTTGTAAGATTAGAAAAATAATCCTAATACTGTTTAATCTCATGGGGTAATGTTGTAAAGTCCACATAAAAACATTGGTAGAAAAGTACTTTGTCAACTAAAAAATATCGTAAGAGTTATAAGGCATAACTGTAAAGTCTTTTTATTACTGAAGTATAAAAATTGCTTACCTATAACTATATATAATAGAAGTCAGATATATATGTGTGTGTGTATATATATGTGTGTGTGTGTATATATGTGTGTGTGTGTATATATATATGTGTGTGTGTGTGTGTGTGTGTGTGCATTTTCTCCCAGTTTAGTTTGACTATTCATTTTTCTTAATGGCTTTTTCTAAGAAAGTTGTGCTTACACTAGGATCACAAATATATTCTACTAAAAGTTTCATAGTTTTAGCTTTTATGTTTATAACCTATCTCAAGTTAGTACTATAGTATGATGTAAGCTATGGATTAAAGCTTATTTTATTATCTATAGGGAGCCAGTTTTTGCAGCACCACATGTTTAAAAGAATGTCTTTCTTCATTAGATTTCTTTGGCACTTTGGTAAAATATCAACTCACCATATACATGTGGGTCTATTTCTGTACTCTCTGTTCTATTCCATGAAACTATTTGTCTGTCTTTCCCTAATACCACACTGTTTTGATTATCATAGCTTTTAATAAGTTTTAAAATAAGGTAGTATCTGCCTTCCAAAGTTTATCTTCTCTTATAAAACTGTTTTGGTTATTTAAGGTTCTTTGCATTTCTGTATACATTTTAAATTCAGCTTATTAATTTATGCAAAAAAGCATTCTGGGATTTTGATTGGGATTAAATTGATTCTATAGATTAATTTGAGGAGAATTAATATTTTAACAACATTTAGCCTTTCAAATAATGAGCATGGTATACCATGCCATTCACTTAAGTCTTTTAAAATTTCTCTCAGGAATATTTTATAGTTTTCAGTATAGAGGTGTGCACATATTGCATTACATTTATCCCTAAGGATTTTATGCTTTGAAAATATTGTTGTAAATAAATTTTCTCTAATTTAAAATGCTTTAATTTTAAAATTTTATTTTAAATTGTTTTGTATGGAAACACAATTGGTTTTTCTATTGATCATGTATCCTGCAACCTTGCTAACTTTATTCATTAGCTTTTGTACTTTCAAAGGATTACTTAGGATTCTCTCCATTTGCCAATAAAGATAGTTTAACTCTTGTTTTTCTCTTTCTTTCTTTCCTTTCTTTCTTTCTTTTCTCTTTCTTTCTTTCTTCTTTTTTTTTTTTTTGAGACAGGATCTCATTCTGTCACTCAGGCTAGAGTGCAATGGCATGATCTTGGCTCACTGTAGCTGGGATCACAGGTATGTGCCACCACACCCAGCTAATTTTTTTAATTTTATTTTTGTAGAGATAAGGTTTTGCCATGGTGCCCAGACTGGTCTTGAACTCCTGGACTCAAGCTATCCACCTGCCTTGGCCTCCCAAAGCTCTAGGATTACAGGCATGAGCCACTGCACCCTGCCAAGTCTTCTTTTTCAATCTGTATGCTTGGCATCTCTTTCTTTCTTTTTTTCTTTCTCTTTCTTCTCCCCTCTCCCGCTTCCTCCCTTTCCTATCCTCTTTCTCCTCCTTCTTGTTGTTTTAAGACACTGCTTAGGAACTCCAGTTCAACTCTGAATACAAGCAAAGTGGACATTTTGATTTTGTCCCCCAAAGCATGTGTTGGAAACTAAATCCCTAATGTAACAGGGTTAAGAGGTGGGACCTTTAAGAGGTGATTAGGCCATGAGGGTGGAGCCTTCATGAATGGACTAAGGCTGTTATCTTGGGAGTAGGTTTATTATAAAAGGTTGAATTTGGCCCTGTCTTTTTCTCCCTCTCTTGCCCTTCACCTTCTACCATGGGAAGATGCAGCACAAAGGCCCTTGCAAGATGTAGCTGCCCACCCCCCCAACCCCACCCCACTCCAGTCTTGGACTTCCCAGCCTTAAGAATTATGAAAAATAAATCTCTCTTCATCATGGACAAAGTACTGACTAAGATGATGAAGATAAGCCCCACTTGGTTTTGATATATTATTCTTTTTAAGATTTGTTAGATTTTATTTAATGATGTACTTTTAAGGAAATTCATGTCTACATTTATAAGAGATATTGGTTTGTGGTTTTCTTATAATGCGTCTGATTTTGGAAACAAGATTATCATAATATGTGTTGAGAAGTCCTGTCTCTTCTTTTTTCTGGAGAATCTGTTATAAAACAATCTCATTTCTTCTCTAAACATTTGATGAAATTGATGAGTAAAGTCACATAGACTTGAAATTTTCTTTTTGGAAATCTTTCTAGTAACTTTTGATTTCATTAACAGATATTGGGCTATTTAGATTTTTTCTTGTTTCTAATTAGTTTTGGTAATTTGTATCTCAAAAAATTTGCCAGTTTTGTCTAAATTACTTAATTTACTGTCATTAAAGTATTAAGATTTTTTAAATGTCTGTAGATAATAAAATAGTGTTCCAATGTTAGTAATTTGTGTTTTTTCTTTTCTTCTCTTTGTAATCAAGCAAGGCTATGTGCTTGAGGTATATTAATCTTATTAATCTTTTCATAGTAGTAGCTTTGCTTTTTATTAATTTTCTATATTATTTGTTCTTTTTCTATTTAGTTGATTTCTGTTTTTATCTTTTCTACGTCCTTCCTTCTGTTTATTATGGCTTCAATCTGCTCTTCTTTCTTCTAAGTTCTTAAGAAGTAAACATACATTGCTTTTAAACCTTCTCCCATAAGAACCATAAATTTCCCCATAAGAACTATTTTAACTACATCCCTGCAATTTTGATCTGTTGTATTTTCATTATTATTAAGTTCAAAATATTTGCTGACTTCCTTTATGTTTTCTTATTTGACATATTTTGTATTTAAACATATGTTGTTTAATTTCAAATTATTGAAGATTTTCCATACATATTTCTGTTGTGGTTTCCAATTTAATTCCATTATGGACAAAAATATACTCCACTCTAATTCCGGCAAGCACAGGAAACTGGTGGGTTCCTGGGAAGCTGTGAGACCCATGCAGACCTAACCCTGGGTATGGGCCACCCATAAGGGCGGGGGAGTACAGCCCGCTAAAACCTCCTCAGAATAAAGAAAAGGAAGGCACAGCACCAACTACTAAACGTGGCAACACCCAGCGCCCGGGAACAGGCATGGAGAGGGGGTCATCTCCCAACCCCCGGTACACTGTTATGGACACAGTAGTGGATCTTCCTTCTAGGGAGCAGTGTGTATACTCACAGAGTGTTCTTCGTTCTTTTCTTGGTTGCTCCACTCTGCTGAAGGTGATCTCAAGATGCTTGGGTTTACAGAGAGGGCAAGGGCCAACTTCCGCTGCCTACACACAGTGGCAGGCTTCTCACAATGGAAGACAGACAAATTGTGGAGTTGCCTGCCCTGGACCGGACTGGGGGAAGAGGCCCTGCCCCGAGCCCATTTTTGTGGTTGCCCTCAGAGGGGGTCTCATTACTTCTAGCTCAGGAAAAGGAGCTGGTGCACACATCCCCCACTCCCACTGCTTTCCCCAAGACCTCCGCACATCCCAACACTCTCTTCCCACCTCTGCCCCCTGCTTCCTCCATCAAGATAGTCGTTTCCACCAGACAGCAGCCTACCTGAGGGCCAGCGGGCTCTTACTCTTAAGCGCCTCCTACTGGTCTTCAGCCTGAACTGAACCACCAAAATTAAAAACCTGCTACCAGAAAGGCTTAGTACTAGTCAATGAGATAAACTTCCTGACGCCTCTGCAACCTCAGCCCCATAAGATGTAGTGTGTTGTTGACTCATACATTCAATACATCACTACAAAAAGCAGCATATGAGAAAAACACCACACAGAAGCTATCCACAACCAAGGAACCCATACAATGCCTCGGTCCCCTGAAAGCACCCAGAAACAACACCGAATGATTATACATCACATTCATACACTAAAGGGAAACAAATTAAAAATTAAAAAGTGTCATCCAAACTCAAAATTAAGAAGTTACAGATCCCTCAGAAGAGAAAGAATAAGTGCAAGAACTCCAGCTGTACCAAAAGCCAGTGTCTTGACACCTCCAAAGGATCACATCAGCTCTCTAACAATAGATCTTAACCAAACTGAAAAGTTTGAAATGACAGATAAAGAATTCAAAATATGGATTGCAAGGAAACCCAACGAAATCCAAGTTGAAACCCAATACAAAGAAACAAACAAACAAAAAAACTACTCAGGGTATGAAAGATGAGATAATTATATTAAGAAAAAAACCACGTAGAACTCCTGCAACTGAAAAATTCACTAAAGGGGCCAGGTGTGGTGGCTAATGCCTATAATCTCAACACTTTGGGAGGCCAAGGTGGGATGGTCGTTTGAGTACAAGAGCTTGAGACCAGCCTGGGCAATATAGTGAGACCTCATCTCTGCACTAAAAAGAAAATAAAAAAATTAAAAACGAAAAATATTAATATATAAAAAAAGAAAAATTCACAAAGGAATTTCAAAATATAGTTAGAAGCTTTAACAATAGAATAGAACAAGCAAAACAAAGAATTTCAGAGCTTCAGGGCAAATCTTCTCAATTAACCCAGCCAGACAAAAATAAAGAAAAAATAATTTTTTAAAAATCAACAAAGCCTTCAAGAAATATGTGATTATGTAAAGTGACCAAACCTATGACTTATTGGCATTCCTGAGAGAGGAGAAGAAAAAACAAGCAACTTGGAAAACATATTTTAGGTGATAATTCAGGAAAATGTCTCCATCTTACTAGAGAGGCTGGCATCCAGATACAAGAAATTCAGAGAAAACCTGAACGATACTATACAAGATGGCCATGCCCAAGGCATATCATCATTGAACTCTCCAAGGTGAATGCAAAAGAAAAAAGTCTTAAGGGCAGCTGAAGAAAAGAAGCAAATTAGGAATAAAGGAAATCCCTATCAGACTAACAGCAGACTTCTCAGCAGAAATCTTACAAGCCAGAAGAGATAAGGAGCCTGTTTTTAGCCTCCTTAAATAAAAAAATGCCAGCCAAGAATTTCATATTCTGCCAAACTAAGCTTCAAAACAAAGAAGAAATAAAGTATTTCCCAGTCAAGCAAACCCTAAGAAAATTCATCTACAAACCATTGCTCAAGGAAATAAGAGAGGATAAAAACAAATGGAAAAACATTCCATCCTCAGGGATAGGAAGAATCAATATTGCAAAAATGGCCACACTGACCAAAGTAATTTATAGATTCAATGCTATTCACATCAAAATACCAAAGGCATTCTTCACAGAATTAGAAAAAACTACTTCAAAATTCATACGGAACCAAAAAAGAGCCTAGATAGCCAAGTGAATCCTAAGCAAAAAGAACAAAGCTGGAGGCAACACGCTACCTGACTTCAAACTATACCACAAGGCTATGGTAACCAAAACAGCATGGTACCAAAACAGACATACAGACCAATGGAAAAGAATAGAGACATCAGAAATAAGACCACACATCTACAACCATCTGATCTTTGACAAACCTGACACAAACAAGCAATGGGGAAAGGATTCCCTATTTAACAAATGGTGCTGGGAAAACTGGCTAACAATATGCAGAAAACTGAAACTGGACCCTTTCCTTACACCTTATGTTAATATTAACCCAAGATGGTTACCCTCAAAGGGAAGCCCATCAGACTAACAGCGGATCTCTCGGCAGAAACCCTACAAGCCAGAAGAGAGTGGGGGCCAATATTCAACATTCTTAAAGAAAAGAATTTTCAACCCAGAATTTCATATCCTGCCAAACTAAGCTTCATAAGTGAAGGAGAAAAAAAATCCTTTACAGACAAGCAAATGCTGAGAGATTTTGTCACCACCAGGCCTGCCCTAAAAGAGCTCCTGAAGGAAGCGCTAAACATGGAAAGGAACAACCGGTACCAGCCACTGCAAAATCATGCCAAAATGTAAAGACCATCGAGACTAGGAAGAAACTGCATCAACTAACAAGCAAAATAACCAGCTAACATCATAATGACAGGAACAAATTCACACATAACACTATTAACTTTCAATGTAAATGGACTAAATGCTCCAATTAAAAGACACAGACTGGCAAATTGGATAAAGAGTCAAGACCCATCAGTGTGCTATATTCAGGAAACCCATCTCACGTGCAGAGACACACATAGGCTCAAAATAAAAGGATGGAGGAAGATCTACCAAGCAAATGGAAAACAAAAAAAGGCAGGGGTTGCAATCCTAGTCTCTGATAAAACAGACTTTAAACCAACAAAGATCAAAAGAGACAAAGAAGGCCATTACATAATGGTAAAGGGATCAATTCAACAAGAAGAGCTAACTATCCTAAATATATATGCACCCAATACAGGAGCACCCAGATTCATAAAGCAAGTCCTGAGTGACCTACAAAGAGACTTAGACTCCCACACATTAATAATGGGAGACTTTAACACCCCACTGTCAACATTAGACAGATCAACGAGACAGAAAGTCAACAAGGATACCCAGGAATTGAACTCAGCTCTGCACCAAGCGGACCTAATAGACATCTACAGAACTCTCCACCCCAAATCAACAGAATATATATTTTTTTCAGCACCACACCACACCTATTCCAAAATTGACCACATACTTGGAAGTAAAGCTCTCCTCAGCAAATGTAAAAGAACAGAAATTATAGCAAACTATCTCTCAGACCTCAGTGCAATCAAACTAGAACTCAGGATTAAGAATCTCACTGAAAGCCGCTCAACTACATGGAAACTGAACAACCTGCTCCTGAATGACTACTGGGTACATAACGAAATGAAGGCAGAAATAAAGATGTTCTTTGAAACCAACGAGAACAAAGACACAACATACCAGAATCTCTGGGACGCATTCAAAGCAGTGTGTAGAGGGAAATTTATAGCACTAAATGCCCACAAGAGAAAGCAGGAAAGATCCAAAATTGACACCCTAACATCACAATTAAAAGAACTAGAAAAGCAAGAGCAAACACATTCAAAAGCTAGCAGAAGGCAAGAAATAACTAAAATCAGAGCAGAACTGAAGGAAATAGAGACACAAAAAACCCTTCAAAAAATCAATGAATCCAGGAGCTGGTTTTTTGAAAGGATCAACAAAATTGATAGACCGCTAGCAAGACTAATAAAGAAAAAAAGAGAGGAGAATCAAATAGACACAATAAAAAATGATAAAGGGGATATCACCACCGATCCCACAGAAATACAAACTACCATCAGAGAATACTACAAACACCTCTATGCAAATAAACTAGAAAATCTAGAAGAAATGGATACATTCCTGGACACATACACTCTCCCAAGACTAAACCAGGAAGAAGTTGAATCTCTGAATAGACCAATAACAGGAGCTGAAATTGTGGCAATAATCAATAGTTTCCCAACCAAAAAGAGTCCAGGACCAGATGGATTCACAGCCGAATTCTATCAGAGGTACAAGGAGGAACTGGTACCATTCCTTCTGAAACTATTCCAATCAATAGAAAAAGAGGGAATCCTCCCTAACTCATTTTATGAGGCCAGCATCATTCTGATACCAAAGCCGGGTAGAGACACAACCAAAAAAGAGAATTTTAGGCCAATATCCTTGATGAACATTGATGCAAAAATCCTCAATAAAATACTGGCAAACCGAATCCAGCAGCACATCAAAAAGCTTATCCACCATGATCAAGTGGGCTTCATCCCTGGGATGCAAGGCTGGTTCAATATATGCAAATCAATAAATGTAATCCAGCATATAAACAGAGCCAAAGACAAAAACCACATGATTATCTCAATAGATGCAGAAAAAGCCTTTGACAAAATTCAACAACCCTTCATGCTAAAAACTCTCAATAAATTAGGTATTGATGGGACGTATTTCAAAATAATAAGAGCTATCTATGACAAACCCACAGCCAATATCATACTGAATGGGCAAAAACTGGAAGCATTCCCTTTGAAAACTGGCACAAAACAGGGATGCCCTCTCTCACCGCTCCTATTCAACATAGTGTTGGAAGTTCTGGCCAGGGCAATCAGGCAGGAGAGGGAAATAAAGGGTATTCAATTAGGAAAAGAGGAAGTCAAATTGTCCCTGTTTGCAGACGACATGATTGTTTATCTAGAAAACCCCATCGTCTCAGCCCAAAATCTCCTTAAGCTGATAAGCAACTTCAGCAAAGTCTCAGGATACAAAATCAATGTACAAAAATCACAAGCATTCTTATACACCAACAACAGACAAACAGAGAGCCAAATCATGAGTGAACTCCCATTCACAATTGCTTCAAAGAGAATAAAATACCTAGGAATCCAACTTACAAGGGATGTGAAGGACCTCTTCAAGGAGAACTACAAACCACTGCTCAAGGAAATAAAAGAGGATACAAACAAATGGAAGAACATTCCATGCTCATGGGTAGGAAGAATCAATATCGTGAAAATGGCCATACTGCCCAAGGTAATTTACAGATTCAATGCCATCCCCATCAAGCTACCAATGACTTTCTTCACAGAATTGGAAAAAACTACTTTAAAGTTCATATGGAAGCAAAAAAGAGCCCGCATCGCCAAGTCAATCCTAAGCCAAAAGAACAAAGCTGGAGGCATCACACTACCTGACTTCAAACTATACTACAAGGCTACAGTAACCAAAACAGCATGGTACTGGTACCAAAACAGAGATATAGATCAATGGAACAGAACAGAGCCCTCAGAAATAACGCCGCATATCTACAACTATCTGATCTTTGACAAACCTGAGAAAAACAAGCAATGGGGAAAGGATTCCCTATTTAATAAATGGTGCTGGGAAAACTGGCTAGCCATATGTAGAAAGCTGAAACTGGATCCCTTCCTTACACCTTATACAAAAATCAATTCAAGATGGATTAAAGATTTAAACGTTAGACCTAAAACCATAAAAACCCTAGAAGAAAACCTAGGCATTACCATTCAGGACATAGGCGTGGGCAAGGACTTCATGTCCAAAACACCAAAAGCAATGGCAACAGAAGACAAAATTGACAAATGGGATCTAATTAAACTAAAGAGCTTCTGCACAGCAAAAGAAACTACCATCAGAGTGAACAGGCAACCTACAAAATGGGAGAAAATTTTCGCAAGCTACTCATCTGACAAAGGGCTAATATCCAGAATCTACAATGAACTCAAACAAATTTACAAGAAAAAAACAAACAACCCCATCAAAAAGTGGGCGAAGGATATGAACAGACACTTCTCAAAAGAAGACATTTATGCAGCCAAAAAATACATGAAAAAATGCTCATCATCACTGGCCATCAGAGAAATGCAAATCAAAACCACTATGAGATACCATCTCACACCAGTTAGAATGGCAATCATTAAAAAGTCAGGAAACAACAGGTGCTGGAGAGGATGTGGAGAAATAGGAACACTTTTACACTGTTGGTGGGACTGTAAACTAGTTCAACCACTGTGGAAGTCAGTGTGGCGATTCCTCAGGGATATAGAACTAGAAATACCATTTGACCCAGCCATCCCATTACTGGGTATATACCCAAATGACTATAAATCATGCTGCTATAAAGACACATGCACACGTATGTTTATTGCGGCATTATTCACAATAGCAAAGACTTGGAACCAACCCAAATGTCCAACAATGATAGACTGGATTAAGAAAATGTGGCACATATACACCATGGAATACTATGCAGCCATAAAAAATGATGAGTTCATGTCCTTTGTAGGGACATGGATGAAATTGGAAACCATCATTCTCAGTAAACTATCGCAAGAACAAAAAACCAAACACCGCATATTCTTACTCATAGGTGGGAATTGAACAATGAGATCACATGGTCACAGGAAGGGGAATATCACACTCTGGGGACTGTGGTGGGGTGGGGGGGAGGGGGAGGGGTAGCATTGGGAGATATACCTAATGCTAGATGACGAGTTAGTGGGTGCAGCGCACCAGCATGGCACATGTATACATATGTAACTAACCTGCACAATGTGCACATGCACCCTAAAACTTAAAGTATAATAAAAAAAAAAAAGAAACTTAAAAAAAAAAAAAGTATTAACCCAAGATGGATTAAAAACTTAAATGTAAAACCTAAAACCATAAAAACCATAGAAGAAAACCTAGGCAATATCATTCAGGACATAGGCATGGGCAAAAATTTTATAATGAAATCGCCAAAAACAATTGCAACAAAAGCTAAAATTGACAAATGGGATATAATTAAACTAAAGAGCTTCTGCACAGCAAAAGAAACTATCATCAGAGAGAACAGGCAACCTAAAGAATGGGAAAAAAATTTTGCAATCTCTCTGACAACAGTGTAATATCCAGAATTTACAAGAAACTTTAAAAATTTACGAGAAAAAAACAAACAACCCCATCAAAAAGTGGGCAAAGGATATGAACAGTCACTTCTCCAAAGAAGACATTTATGTGGTCAAAAAACATATGAAAAGAAGCACATCACTGATCATTAAAGAAAAGCAAATCAAAACCACAATGAGATACCATCTCATGCCAGTCAGAAGGGCGATTATTAAAAAGTCAAGAAACAACAGATGCTGGTGAGGCTGTGGAGAAATAGGAAACTTTTTGCACTGTTCTTGGGAATGTAAATTAGTTCAACCATTGTGGAAGACAATGTGGTAATTCCTCAAGGATCTTTAACCAGAAATACCATTTGACCCAGCAATCCCATTACTGGGTATATACCCAAAGGAATATAAGTCATTTTATTATAAAGATACATGCATACATATGTTTACCACAGCACTATTCACAAGAGCAAAGACATGGAATCAACCCAAATGCCCATTAATCATAGACTGGATTAAAAAAATGTGGTATATATACACCGTGGAATACTATGCAGCCATAAAAAGGAATGAGATCATGTTCTTTGCAGGGACATGGATGAAACTGGAAGCCATCATCTTCAACAAACTAACACAGGAACAGAAAACCAAACGGTGCATGTTCTCACTCATAAGTGGGAGCTGAACAATGAGAACACATGGCCACAGGGAGGAAAACAACATGCACCAGGGCCAGTTGGCTGGGCGAGGGGAGGGAGAGCATCAGGGCAAATAGGTAATGGATGCAAGGCTTAATAGGCTTAATACCGAGGTTGATAGGTGCAGCAAACCACCATGGCACACATTTACCTATGTAACAAACCTGTACGTACGTTCTGCACATGTATCCCGGAACATTTAAAAAAAAAAAAAAGGATACTAGACCTACGAAAAAAAAAGATACACAGCTATACAATAATAGTAGGGGATTTCAGCACTCCACTAACAGCACTAGACAGATCATCAAAGCAGAAAATTAACAAAGAAACCCTGGACTTTAATTAGACTCTTGATCAAATAGACCTAATAAACATACACAGAATATTTCACCTAACAACCACAGAATATGCATTTTTCTCATCTGCATATGGAACAGTTTCTGAAATTGACCACATTCTTGGTCATAAGGCAAGTCTCAATAAATTCAAACATATGAAAATCATATCAAGCATTTTCTTGGACCATAGTGAAATAAAATTAGAAATCAGTGCCAATAGAAACTCTCAAAATGACACAAGTACATGGAAACTAAACAACTTGCTCCTGAATGACTTTTGAATAAACAATGAAATTAAGGCAGAAATTTAAAAAATTGAAACAAACAAGAAGACAGGCACAACATACCAAAACCTCTGGGATACAGCAAAAGCAGTGTAAGAGGAAAGTTTATAACACTAAATTCCTACATTAAAAAGATAGAATAATCCCAAATTAACAACCTAATGTTGCACCTAAAGGAAATAGAAAAGCAAGAATAAACCTAATTCAAAGCTAGCAGAAGAAAAGACACAAGAAAGATTAGAGCCGAACTAAATGAATTTGAGACCAAAAACAAAAAAAAAACATACAAATTATCAATGAAAAAACCATACAAATGATCAAAGAACCTTTCAAAATTGGTTCTTTGAAAGGATAAACAAAATTAGTAGACTTCCAGCTAGATTAACTAAGAAGGAAAAAGAGAAGATTCAAATAAGCACAATCAGAAATGACAAAGGTGACATTACAACTGATAACACAGAAATACAAAAACCCTCAAAGACTACTATCAACATGTCTATGCACATAAAATAGAAAACCTAGAGGAAATAGAAATAAATTCCCGAAAACACAACCTCCCAAGATTGAACCACCAATAAATTGAAATCCTGAACAGACCAATAACAAGTTATGAAAGTAAATCAGCAATAAAAAATCTACCATCAAAAAAAAACCCTGGACCAAATAGATACACCACCAAATTCTACCAGACATTCAAAGAACAGCTGGTACCAATCTTATTGAAACTACTCCAAAAAATTGAAGGGGAGGGATTCTTCCCTAACTCATTTTATTAAACCAATATTATCCTGATATCAAAATCTGGCAAAGACACAACCAAAAAAGAAAACTACAGGCCCATATCCCTGATGAACATAGGCATAAAAATGCTCAAAACAATACTAGCAAACTGAATCCAATAGCACATCAAAAAGATAAATTATCACACTCAAGTGTTTTTTATTCATGGGACTCAAGAATGGTTCAACATATGCAAATCAATAAATGTGACTCACCACATAAACAGAATTAAAATAAAAAACTATATGATCTCAACGGGCCCAGAAAAAAGAAAAGCATCCAATAAAATCCAACATCCCTTCATGATAAAAATCCTCAGCAAACTAGGCATTGAAGGAACATAACTCAAAATAATAAGAGCCATATATGACAGACCCACAGCCAACATCATACTGAACAGGTGAAAGTTAAAAGCATTCCCCCTAAGAATTGCAACAAGATAAGGTTACCTACTCTCACAACTCGTATTCAACATAGTACTAGAAGTCCTAGCCAGACCAATTAGACAAAAGAAAAAAATAAAAGGCAACAAAATATGAAAAGAGGAAGACAAATCTTCTCTGTTTGCTGATGACAAGATCCTATACCTAGAAAGCCCTAATTTTCTCCAAAAGAATCCTAGACCTGATAAATGAATTCAGTGGTTTTAAGATACAAAATCAACCTACAAAACAAGTAGCATTTCTATACACCAATAGCATTTAAACTAAGAAACAAATTAAGATATCAATCCCATTTACAATACATACACACACACACACACACACGCACACACACAAAATACCTAGGAATACATTTAACCAAGGAGGTAAAAGATCTCTACAAGGAGAACTACAAAACACTGCTGAAAGAAATCAGAAACAACATAAACAAATGGAAAAACATTCCATGCTTATGGAGTGGAAGAATCAATGTCATTAAAATGCCATACTTGCCAAAGTAAATTACAGATTTAAAGCAATTTCTATCAAATTGCCAATGTTGTTTTTCACAGAACTAGAAAAAAACTGGTCTAAAATTTGTATGGAACCAAAAAGAACCCAAATAGCCAAAGCAATCCTAAGCAAAAAGAATAAAGCCAGAAGCATAACATTACCAGACTTCAAACTATATTAGAAGGCTAGAGTAATCCAAACAGCATGGTACTGGTACAAAAATAGATACATAGACCAATAGAACGGAATAGATAACTCAGAAATAAAGCCATACACCTACAATCAACTGATCTGCAATAAAGTTGGCAAAAATAAACAATGGAGAAAGAACATCTGTCTTAGGCTGTTCTTGCATTGTCATAAACAAATACCTGAGTCAGGGTAATTTATAAGGAAACAAGGTTTAATTGGCTCATAGCTCTGCAAGCTGTACAGGAAGCATGGTGTCAGCATCTGCTCAGCTTCTGGAGTGGCCTCAGGAAGCTTACAATCATGGTGGAAGGTGAAGGGGGAGCAGGCATCTCATATGGTAGGAGTAGGAGCAAGAGAGAAGGGAAGAGGTACCACACACTTTAAACAACCAGATCATTTGAGAACTCACTATAGTAAGGACAGCAGCAAGCCATGAGGGATCCGCCCCCGTGACCCAAACACCTCTCACCAGGCCCCAATTCCAATCCTGGGGATTATGTTTCTTTCTTTTGTTTGTTTTGAGATGGAGCCTCGCTCTTTCGCCCATGCTGGAGTGCAATGGCAGGATCTTGACTCACTGCAACCCCTGCCTCCCAGGTTCAAGCAATTCTCCTGCCTCAGCCTCCTGAGTAGCTGGGACTACAGGCACACACCACTCCACCTGGATAATTTTTTTTTGTATTTTTAGTAGAGGCAGAGTTTCAATATGTTTGCCAAGCCTAGAACTCCTGACCTCAGATGATCCACCTGCCTTGGCCTCCCAAAGTGCTGAGATTACAGGCATGAGCCACCATGCCTGGCTAGGATTACATTTCAACATGAGATTTTGGCAAAGACAAATATCAAGCTATATCAACACCCTATTCAGTAAATGGTTCTTGGAAAATTGCCTAGCCATATTTAGAAGAATAAAACTGTACCCCTACTTCTCACCATATGCAAAAATTAACTCAAGATGGATTAAAGACTTAAATGTAAGACCTCAACCTATAAAAATGCTAGAATAAAATCTAGGAAATACTCTTCTGGACATTGGCCTAGCCAAAGAATTTATGGCTAAGACATTAAAAGCAAATGCAACAAAAACAAAAATAGACAAATGGGATTTAATTAAACTAAAGAGCTTCTGCCCAGCAAAAGAAACAACCAACAGAGTAAACAGGCAACCTACAACATGGGAGAAAATATTTGCAAACTATGCATCCAAAGAAGGTCTAATATCCACAATCTATAAGAAATTTTAGTAAGTCAGCAAGAAATAAACATTAAAATTGGGCAAAGGACATGAACAGACACTTCTTAAAAAAACATACAAACAGCCAACAAATATATGGAAAAAATGTTAACATCACTGATCATCAGAGAAATGCAAATTAAAACCACAAGGAGATACCATCTCACACCAGTTAGAAGGGCTATTATTAAAAAGTCAAAAAATAACAGATGTTAGTAAGGATGCAGAGAAAAAGGAACACTTATACACTGTTGGTGGGAATGTAAATTAGTTCCACCCCTATGGAAAACAATATGAAGATTTCTCAAAGAACTAAAAATAGATCAATCTACTATACGACCCAGCAATTCCCATTATTGGGTATCTACCTAAAGGAAAAGAAATGATTCTTTCAAAAAGATACCTGCAGATCCTTTTGCAGTTCATGAACATGATGATTGGGTGTTCATGCTCATGTGTGAGATGTGCCACCCTCTGAATCTTGTTATGACATCAGCACATTATCCATCTGACCTGAAAAGGAAAAAAAAAGGCACTTGCACTCATATATTTATCACAGCACTATTCACAATAACAAAGGCATGGAATCAACTTATGTGTCCATCAATGGTGTATTGGATAAAGAAAATGTGATACATGTACACCATAGAATACTACATAGCCATAAAAATGAATAAAATCACATCCTTTGCAGCAACATGAGTGGAGCTGGAGACAATAATCCTAAGTGAATTAATGCAGAAACAGAAAATCAAATACTGCATATTCTTACTTACAAGTGAGAACTAAAGAATAGGTTCTCATGAAAATAAAGATAGAAGCAATAGAAACTGGAGACTCCAAAAGGGGAGAGGGAGTGAGGGAGCAAGAGTTGGAAAAACTACTTACTGGATACTATGTTCACTATTTCAGTGATAGGTTCACTAGAAGCCCAAACCCAGCATTATGCAATATGCCCATGTAACGAATCTGCACATTACCCCCGGAATCTATGATATAGATAATCTATTATATATATAAAATAGATACATATATAATCTATTATATGTCTATATTCTATATATATATTATAGTTATATACCTATTATATATTTGTATATATAATAGATGTTTATATTCTGTATATATTTAAAAATTTATGAACACTCAGATTTTGGCTTACCATATGGCTTCTCTTGACAAATGTTTCATGTGTACTTGAAGAAAACCTGTATACTGCAGTTGTTGGGTAAAGTCTTCTATAAATGTCCATTGGGCAAGTTGATTGATAGTGTTGCTCAAGACTATCTCCTTATTAGATGTTGCCTTCTTGTTCTATTTATTCCTGAGAGAGGAGTTTTGAAATTTCCAACTGTAATTGTGGATTTTTTTCCTTCTTTCAATTCTCTCGGTTTTTGTTTAGTGTATTTAGAAGTCGTGTATTTAGGTGCATACACACTTAGGATCATGTTTTATGTTTTCTTGATGAATTGGTACTTTTTTTTTAGGTAATTTTTTATTTATTTATTTATTTATTATTATACTTTAAGTTTTAGGGTACATGTGCACATTGTGCAGGTTAGTTACATACATATACATGTGCCATGCTGGTGTGCTGCACCCACTAACTTGTCATCTAGCATTACGTATATCTCCCACTGCTATCCCTCCCCCCCTGCCACCCCACAACAGTCCCCAGAGTGTGATGTTCCCCTTCCTGTGTCCATGTGATCTCATTGTTCAATTCCCACCTATGAGTGAGAATATGCGGTGTTTGGTTTTTTGTTCTTGCGATAGTTTACTGAGAATGATGGTTTCCAATTTCATCCATGTCCCTACAAAGGACATGAACTCATCATTTTTTATGGCTGCATAGTATTCCATGGTGTATATGTGCCACATTTTCTTAATCCAGTCTATCATTGTTGGACATTTGGGTTGGTTCCAAGTCTTTGCTATTGTGAATAATGCCGCAATAAACATACGTGTGCATGTGTCTTTATAGCAGCATGATTTATAGTCATTTGGGTATACACCCAGTAATGGGATGGCTGGGTCAAATGGTATTTCTAGTTCTAGATCCCTGAGGAATCGCCACACTGACTTCCACAGTGGTTGAACTAGTTTACAGTCCCACCAACAGTGTAAAAGTATTCCTATTTCTCCACATCCTCTCCAGCACCTGTTGTTTCCTGATTTTTAATGATTGCCATTCTAACTGGTGTGAGATGGTATCTCATTGTGGTTTTGATTTGCATTTCTCTGATGGCCAGTGATGGTGAGCATTTTTTCCTGTGTTTTTTGGCTGCATAAATGTCTTCTTTTGAGAAGTGTCTGTTCATGTCCTTCTCCCACTTTTTGATGGGGTTGTTTGTTTTTTTCTTGTAAATTTGTTTGAGTTCATTGTAGATTCTGGATATTAGCCCTTTGTCAGATGAGTAGCTTGCGAAAATTTTCTCCCATTTTGTAGGTTGCCTGTTCACTCTGATGGTAGTTTCTTTTGCTGTGCAGAAGCTCTTTAGTTTAATTAGATCCCATTTGTCAATTTTGTCTTTTGTTGCCATTGCTTTTCGTGTTTTAGACATGAAGTCCTTGCCCATGCCTATGTCCTGAATGGTAATGCCTAGGTTTTCTTCTAGGGTTTTTATGGTTTTAGGTCTAACGTTTAAATCTTTAATCCATCTTGAATTGATTTTTGTATAAGGCGTAAGGAAGGGATCCAGTTTCAGCTTTCTACATATGGCTAGCCAGTTTTCCCAGCACCATTTATTAAATAGGGAATCCTTTCCCCATTGCTTGTTTTTCTCAGGTTTGTCAAAGATCAGATAGTTGTAGATATGCGGCGTTATTTCTGAGGGCTCTGTTCTGTTCCATTGATCTATATCTCTGTTTTGGTACCAGTACCATGCTGTTTTGGTTACTGTAGCCTTGTAGTATAGTTTGAAGTCAGGTAGTGTGATGCCTCCAGCTTTGTTCTTTTGGCTTAGGATTGACTTGGCGATGCGGGCTCTTTTTTGCTTCCATATGAACTTTAAAGTAGTTTTTTCCAATTCTGTGAAGAAAGTCATTGGTAGCTTGATGGGGATGGCATTGAATCTGTAAATTACCTTGGGCAGTATGGCCATTTTCACGATATTGATTCTTCCTACCCATGAGCATGGAATGTTCTTCCATTTGTTTGTATCCTCTTTTATTTCCTTGAGCAGTGGTTTGTAGTTCTCCTTGAAGAGGTCCTTCACATCCCTTGTAAGTTGGATTCCTAGGTATTTTATTCTCTTTGAAGCAATTGTGAATGGGAGTTCACTCATGATTTGGCTCTCTGTTTGTCTGTTGTTGGTGTATAAGAATGCTTGTGATTTTTGTACATTGATTTTGTATCCTGAGACTTTGCTGAAGTTGCTTATCAGCTTAAGGAGATTTTGGGCTGAGACGATGGGGTTTTCTAGATAAACAATCATGTCGTCTGCAAACAGGGACAATTTGACTTCCTCTTTTCCTAATTGAATACCCTTTATTTCCCTCTCCTGCCTGATTGCCCTGGCCAGAACTTCCAACACTATGTTGAATAGGAGCGGTGAGAGAGGGCATCCCTGTTTTGTGCCAGTTTTCAAAGGGAATGCTTCCAGTTTTTGCCCATTCAGTATGATATTGGCTGTGGGTTTGTCATAGATAGCTCTTATTATTTTGAAATACGTCCCATCAATACCTAATTTATTGAGAGTTTTTAGCATGAAGGGTTGTTGAATTTTGTCAAAGGCTTTTTCTGCATCTATTGAGATAATCATGTGGTTTTTGTCTTTGGCTCTGTTTATATGCTGGATTACATTTATTGATTTGCATATATTGAACCAGCCTTGCATCCCAGGGATGAAGCCCACTTGATCATGGTGGATAAGCTTTTTGATGTGCTGCTGGATTCGGTTTGCCAGTATTTTATTGAGGATTTTTGCATCAATGTTCATCAAGGATATTGGCCTAAAATTCTCTTTTTTGGTTGTGTCTCTACCCGGCTTTGGTATCAGAATGATGCTGGCCTCATAAAATGAGTTAGGGAGGATTCCCTCTTTTTCTATTGATTGGAATAGTTTCAGAAGGAATGGTACCAGTTCCTCCTTGTACCTCTGATAGAATTCGGCTGTGAATCCATCTGGTCCTGGACTCTTTTTGGTTGGGAAACTATTGATTATTGCCACAATTTCAGCTCCTGTTATTGGTCTATTCAGAGATTCAACTTCTTCCTGGTTTAGTCTTGGGAGAGTGTATGTGTCCAGGAATGTATCCATTTCTTCTAGATTTTCTAGTTTATTTGCATAGAGGTGTTTGTAGTATTCTCTGATGGTAGTTTGTATTTCTGTGGGATCGGTGGTGATATCCCCTTTATCATTTTTTATTGTGTCTATTTGATTCTCCTCTCTTTTTTTCTTTATTAGTCTTGCTAGCGGTCTATCAATTTTGTTGATCCTTTCAAAAAACCAGCTCCTGGATTCATTGATTTTTTTGAAGGGTTTTTTGTGTCTCTATTTCCTTCAGTTCTGCTCTGATTTTAGTTATTTCTTGCCTTCTGCTAGCTTTTGAATGTGTTTGCTCTTGCTTTTCTAGTTCTTTTAATTGTGATGTTAGGGTGTCAATTTTGGATCTTTCCTGCTTTCTCTTGTGGGCATTTAGTGCTATAAATTTCCCTCTACACACTGCTTTGAATGCGTCCCAGAGATTCTGGTATGTGGTGTCTTTGTTCTCGTTGGTTTCAAAGAACATCTTTATTTCTGCCTTCATTTCGTTATGTACCCAGTAGTCATTCAGGAGCAGGTTGTTCAGTTTCCATGTAGTTGAGCGGCTTTCAGTGAGATTCTTAATCCTGAGTTCTAGTTTGATTGCACTGAGGTCTGAGAGATAGTTTGTTATAATTTCTGTTCTTTTACATTTGCTGAGGAGAGCTTTACTTCCAAGTATGTGGTCAATTTTGGAATAGGTGTGGTGTGGTGCTGAAAAAAATGTATATTCTGTTGATTTGGGGTGGAGAGTTCTGTAGATGTCTATTAGGTCCGCTTGGTGCAGAGCTGAGTTCAATTCCTGGGTATCCTTGTTGACTTTCTGTCTCGTTGATCTGTCTAATGTTGACAGTGGGGTGTTAAAGTCTCCCATTATTAATGTGTGGGAGTCTAAGTCTCTTTGTAGGTCACTCAGGACTTGCTTTATGAATCTGGGTGCTCCTGTATTGGGTGCATATATATTTAGGATAGTTAGCTCTTCTTGTTGAATTGATCCCTTTACCATTATGTAATGGCCTTCTTTGTCTCTTTTGATCTTTGTTGGTTTAAAGTCTGTTTTACCAGAGACTAGGATTGCAACCCCTGCCTTTTTTTGTTTTCCATTTGCTTGGTAGATCTTCCTCCATCCTTTTATTTTGAGCCTATGTGTGTCTCTGCACGTGAGATGGGTTTCCTGAATACAGCACACTGATGGGTCTTGACTCTTTATCCAATTTGCCAGTCTGTGTCTTTTAATTGGAGCATTTAGTCCATTTACATTGAAAGTTAATATTGTTATGTGTGAATTTGATCCTGTCATTATGATGTTAGCTGGTTATTTTGCTCGTTAGTTGATGCAGTTTCTTCCTAGTCTCGATGGTCTTTACATTTTGGCATGATTTTGCAGTGGCTGGTACCGGTTGTTCCTTTCCATGTTTAGCGCTTCCTTCAGGAGCTCTTTTAGGGCAGGCCTGGTGGTGACAAAATCTCTCAGCATTTGCTTGTCTGTAAAGGATTTTATTTCTCCTTCACTCATGAAGCTTAGTTTGGCAGGATATGAAATTCTGGGTTGAAAATTCTTTTCTTTAAGAATGTTGAATATTGGCCCCCACTCTCTTCTGGCTTGTAGGGTTTCTGCCGAGAGATCCGCTGTTAGTCTGATGGGCTTTCCTTTGAGGGTAACCCGACCTTTCTCTCTGGCTGCCCTTAACATTTTTTCCTTCATTTCAACTTTGGTGAATCTGACAATTATGTGTCTTGGAGTTGCTCTTCTCGAGGAGTATCTTTGTGGCATTCTCTGTATTTCCTGAATCTGAATGTTGGCCTTCCTTGCTAGATTGGGGAAATTCTCCTGGATAATATCCTGCAGAGTGTTTTCCAACTTGGTTCCATTCTCCCCATCACTTTCAGGTACACCAATCAGACGTAGATTTGGTCTTTTCACATAGTCCCATATTTCTTGGAGGCTTTGCTCGTTTCTTTTTATTCTTTTTTCTCTAAACTTTCCTTCTCGCTTCATTTCATTCATTTCATCTTCCATTGCTGATACCCTTTCTTCCAGTTGATCGCATTGGCTCCTGAGGCTTCTGCATTCTTCACGTAGTTCTCGAGCCTTGGTTTTCAGCTCCATCAGCTCCTTTAAGCACTTCTCTGTTTTGATTATTCTAGTTATACATTCTTCTAAATTTTTTTCAAAGTTTTCAACTTCTTTGCCTTTGGTTTGAATGTCTTCCCATAGCTCAGAGTAATTTGATCGTCTGAAGCCTTCTTCTCTCAGCTCGTCAAAGTCATTCTCCGTCCAGCTTTGTTCCGTTGCTGGTGAGGAGCTGCGTTCCTTTGGAGGAGGAGAGGCACTCTGCTTTTTAGAGTTTCCAGTTTTTCTGTTCTGTTTTTTCCCCATCTTTGTGGTTTTATCTACTTTTGGTCTTTGATGATGGTGATGTACAGATGGGTTTTTGGTGTGGATGTCCTTTCTGTTTGTTAGTTTTCCTTCTAACAGACAGGACCCTCAGCTGCAGGTCTGTTGGAGTACCCTGCAGTGTGAGGTGTCAGTGTGCCCCTGCTGGAGGGTGCCTCCCAGTTAGGCTGCTCGGGGGTCAGGGGTCAGGGACCCACTTGAGGAGGCAGTCTGTCCGTTCTCAGATCTCCAGCTGCGAACTGGGAGAACCACTGCTCTCTTCAAAGCTGTCAGACAGGGACATTTAAGTCTGCAGAGGTTACTGCTGTCTTTTTGTTTGTCTGTGCCCTGCCCCCAGAGGTGGAGCCTACAGAGGCAGGCAGGCCTCCTTGAGCTGTGGTGGGCTCCACACAGTTCGAGCTTCCCGCTGCTTTGTTTACCTAAGCAAGCCTGGGCAATGGCGGGCGCCCCTCCCCCAGCCTCGCTGCCGCCTTGCAGTTTGATCTCAGACTGCTGTGCTAGCAACCAGCGAGACTCCGTGGGGTAGGACCCTCCGAGCCAGGTGCGGGTTATAATCTCGTGCTGTGCCGTTTTTTAAGCCCGTCGGAAAAGCGCAGTATTCGGGTGGGAGTGACCCGATTTTCCAGGTGCCGTCCGTCACCCCTTTCTTTGATTAGGAAAGGGAACTCCCAAAAAAAAAAAAAAAAAAAAAAAAGGAAAGGGAACTCCCTGACCCCTTGTGCTTCCCGTGTGAGGCAATGCCTCGCCCTGCTTCGGCTCGCGCACGGTGCGCGCACCCACTGACCTGCGCCCACTGTCTGGCACTCCCTAGTGAGATGAACCCGGTACCTCAGATGGAAATGCAGAAATCACCCGTCTTCTGCGTCGCTCAGGCTGGGAGCTGCAGACGGGAGCTGTTCCTATTCGGCCATCTTGGCTCCTCCCCAAATTGGTACTTATTAATCATTGTGAAATTTCCCTCCTTATCTCTGGTGATACTGAAATGTTCTGTATGTACTTTGTTTTATATTAACAGAACCTCTCCAGTTTTCTTATGATTAATATTTCCTTGTTTGTCTTTTTCTATCTTTTAACTTTAACTTATATATTTTATATATTTATATATTATATAATTTATATATTTTATATATTTATATTTAACATATGTCTTTTATATTTAATATGTGTCTTTTGTAAACAGCATATAGTTAGCTATTTCCTTTTTTTTGTAGAGTCAGGGTCTTGCTTTCTTTCTCAGGCTGGTCTCAAAATCCTGGCCTCATGTGATCCTTCTGCCTCAGTCTCCCAAAGTACTGCAATGGCAGATATGAGTCACCCTGCATGGCTGGTGTTTCCTTTTTAATCAAATCTTAAAATCTTTTTTTGACTGGATTTTTTGGTCTATTTATATTTAATGTAATTATTATGTGGAGTATTACTGTGCCAATTTGATATTCACTTTCTAATTTTTGGCTCTGTTCTTCATGATTTTCTCCCTACTTTTCTGCCTGTTTTTGAACCAACTAAATACTTTCTATTATTTTATTTTATCTTTCCTTTTGGTTTATTAGCCATCCCTCTGCTTTATTTCTCAGAGGTAATTTTAGGGTTCATAATACACATCTTTAGCTTATCACTGTCAACCTTCAAATAATATATATTACTTCATATATAAATACTCTTTAACACTCTATCTCCATTTCAGCCCTATCTTTTGTGCTGTTGTTATGTGTTTTACTTGTTCATGTGCTGTGAACCCTATAATACATTATTTTTTCTTTTTAAATAGTTGTCTTTTAAAAACTTTAAGAGTTGAGAAAAAATTTAAATACATACATGTATTTACCATTTCTGGCTCTCTCAGTTTTGTTTTTTGTTTTTTGTGTTTTTTTTTTTGAGACAGAGTCTTGCTCTGTCGCCCAGGCTGGAGTGCAGTGGCTCAACTCACTACAGCCTCCACTTTGTGGGCTCTAGCAATTCTCCTGCCTCAGCTCCCCAGGTAGCTGGGATTACAGGCACATGCCACCACGCCCAGCTATTTTTTGTATTTTTAGTAGCGATGGGGTTTCACCATGTTGGCCAGGCTGGTCTCGAACTCCTGACTTCAAATGATCTGCCCGTCTCAGCCTCCCAAAGTGCTAGGATTACAGGCATGAGCCACTGCGCCTGGCTCCATTTCTGGCTCTTTTTATTCTTTTATGTAGCTCTCAGCCCAAAGGAAGATGTGCTAGCCGCAAAGTCTCTCAGCTTTTCGTCTATCTGAAAATACTGTATTTTGCCTTCATTTTTACAACATTTTCTTTGGATGTGATTTCTAAGTTGACAGGTTTTCTTGCCACCACATCAGATGTTCCAATTTTCTCTGATTTGAGTAGTTTCTGATAAGAAATCAGTGATAATCGATAATTGAGAACAACTCATAATCAGTTGTTCTCATGTTTGTTTTTGATATGTCTTTTCTTATTCCCTCTGGCTGCTTTTAACATTTTTTTATTATTAATTTTACATATTACTGGTTTACATCAATTGGATTATAACATACTATGGACTAGTTTTCTTTGTGTCTATCTTGCTTGAAGTACACTGAATTTCTTGTAGCCATGGATTTATATTGTTCATGTTATTTAAAAGGTTTCAACCATTATTTCTGTAAATATTTTTCCCCACTTCAACTTCTCTTTTGTCTCCTCCTGGTATTCCAATTACACACTTACTAGACTCCTTTATATTGTCCCAGAGCTCACAGAGATGCTATTCACTTCCCTCAGCATTTTATTTTTTGTGACATCCTCCCATTTATATAATTTATATTCTTCTATCTTAACCTCTCTTATGGACTGTCTAATCTACTATTAACCTCTCTTATCGACTGTCTAATCTGCTATTAAACTCATCTCATAATTTTTTCCTTTTAAATATTACATCTTTCAATTCTAGAATTTCCATTTTATTATGCTACATTTCCCTTTATTCAGATTCCCTATTTGTTCTCTCACTATGCTTATGCTATCCTTTAAATTCTTGAATATAATTATAACAGTTGTTTTCAAATTCTTATTTACTAATTTTATCACCTTTCCCATTTCTTTATTTCTATTTTTCTGACTTTTCTATAGTTATGGATCACATATTTATGTTCATTTACATATGTAGTAAATTTGATTGTACAGTTGATATTGTAAAAATTACATTTTTGGAGAATTTTCTCTTCTTTCATAATAGAATTTTGTGTTTTGTTCCATTCGGCATTGAATTTGCTCAAGGATTAACATGTTCCTTTTGAGATTTATTCATAAACTTTTAAAGACTAGAATTATGTCTACCTTAGGGTTCTACTAATTCTATTCCTAAAGTATTGCTTTTCTATAAGTTTTATTGCATATCTGGGATGTTTAGCAAAATGTCTCCACTCTGGCAGATCAGAATGCAATCATCTTCTAGCCCTGTGCAAACTCTGGGGTTTGTTTAGCTCACAGTTCCCCAGTATTTTTTCCCTCTGGTAAATGCTTCTAGCATAGCTTTATGAAATTTTTCTGTGTATATACACAGGCTAATACTCAGCCAAAGACTCAAGGGGCTCCCTATGCAGATTTCTGGAGTTCCTTCTCTACTCAGCTTCCTTTTCCCTCTTATCCTGTTTCCAGAAACTCCAACTGTTTCAGTAGTCTTAAATTCTGGCCTTTATCTTTTTTAGCTCAGTGAGGCAACTGTGCTGTTTTGGCTTTTTTTTCACTGCCCTACAGTCCAAAAGTGCCTTCAGGCAGAAAGCCACGGTTATTGTGGGGATTATCTTGTTTGTTTCCCAGCTCTCAGAGAGCACAGTCTTCCACTACCTTTGGTTCAACATCAGAAAACAGTTATATTATTTATCCAGGCTTATGATTGTTTACTACAAGAAGGCTAGTGCACTTCATCATGGCAAGAAACTAAAGTTCTAACAAATATTTAATGTATGACTACTTGGTACAAGTGCTGTGTTCATCTTTGAGCTTTGCAGACAAATGGTACCTCTCAGGCCTCACGTAGTACAGTACCTTGTGGGAAAGACACCCAGATAATTAAATTCAATGATTTCAGAGAAGTTTTAATAGAGGAATGTATTCAGTGACATAGAGATTGAGAGGAGAGACATTTAACTGTCTGAAGAAGTCAGCACAGGATTCCTAGAGGAAATGGAATTTTGCAGGGAATTTTTATTTTGCCAGTTGGAAAATAGAAAGATACCTTAAGCACGTGCACAAAAGAATGAAAGTGACTATGTGTCTCTGGAGGAAGGGGATATAGTAAGATGCACTAGGTCACTATTGTATAGATTACATAAGGGTGGAGAAAAACTGTTAAACCTGAAAAATAAGGTCCAGACCATGCAAGTCCATTAATGTCACGTTATATAGACAATTTTAGCCTGTATGGAAACATAACAACATAATGATTAAAAGCAAGGTTTCTGTGAGTTCCAGTCCATGACGTTATAGCTGGGACTTTGGGTACATTTATAATAAACTTCATGGACCCTTTTGATTTGTTTTTTTTTTAATAGGATAATATTAGGACCTGTCTTCTTATCCTATTGATGGTTACTTTAGCTAACGTCTGTTAAGCACTTAGCCCAGTGTCTGGCATTTAAGTACTCAAAATTGGTAGCTGCATATGTCATTGTTATTATTTGTGCCAAAAAATGTAGCCAGAGTTGGTTTGTGAGATGCTTTGTTTTGTGACTAGGTATGTATTTTCATTCAACCTTGTTGTCTGAATGAGGGATAAATCGCATGTAGGAGAATGATTTAAAGAAGGCTAGAAAAGGCAGAATATGGAATGTGCTGGAAGGTATGCTCAGTAGAGATCAAGAAGGTCGATCTTCTGTGTGTGGAAATGGCATGGTAAGGGTGGAAAGCAGTGCCTATTTGCCTTGACCCTTTTGAGGTGTGTTTTACCTGCATTTGCTCTACAGCAGAGATGCCCAATGATGGGAGGTGATACTGAGACACTGAAATCTCATTGCCAGGTGTGATAAGCTCATATATTCATTTAAGAATGTTACAAAAATGGTGATAGCATTTTTTCTATTTGTGGAAGATTGTACTTTTTTAAATGGCCATAATACTATCTCTAATCCCAGATATTTGTCTTATAATGTAATGTTGACCTGAAGCAAGTAAGTCTGGGTGGGTTTGCTATGGGAGCAGGAGTGAGTTCTGTGACTTGAGCTGAGGACACCTGAGTCCAAGTGACCTTAGTCTGAATCATAAAAGATGATACAGGTGACATCAGGTTTTCTTGAGATACTTGCTCTTGAAACCCAACTACCTTGACATGAGAAAGCAAAGAGACTATAGAGAGAGGCTATGTATAGGTTTTGTGAGTGACAGTCACAGCTGTGGTCCCACAATCAGTATCAACAATAACTAGAACACCATTTTATATTTTTTCTCTTTAATAATTACTAAGCATACCACCACCAGTACTTAAAATCCTCAGTTATTAAAAAGGGACCCTAAACTCACAAAAATGTAAAGACTGACCGAGCTAGAAATTTTAACTGAAAAAGTGTAGCAGAGGTCGTTGTACCAAGGATATTGTTTAGTTTATTCTCATTAAACACTATTTGCTGCCTATAAGAAACTGAAAAGAGTTTGCTGAAACTGGATTCTATCTCCCATAGCAATTATTTTGACAATGTATTTGCCTTTTACCCATGATAATGCATTTATTTTCTACTGAGGCATCATTTGTTTTTAAAAACAAGAAAATTATGCCTCTCTTGATGTAGACAAAGCCAGGTGAGTTTAAGTAATTGGGGGAAAAGGCGTCACTTAAAATTATTTCTGCCAATTTGTCTCTTTTTCTTTCGCCTCCACACTTCCTCCACATGGCTCCTGGCACACACTCTCAAATGTGGTCATAGCAGTTGTCAATAACAACCAAACATTAGGCTTTGTGTGGAGAAAAAGACTGAAAAAAAAATTGGAGCTGGAAACACCTCTAGTGGTTTGTTCCATTCTCCTTGAGGTTGATTCATGCGAAGACAGCTCTGCTGTTCATGGTTTGGGATAACATCAGATCTCCAAACAGCCTGAAAAATGTTATTAAGGCCTTACACATAGGAAAGGACTGTGCAAGCTATTGAGGCACCAAAGACAGATGTAGCGAACATTAAAAAAATAATAATAATAAACACCAGGACACACTGATCCAATGGATGGACTGAGAGTGGGGCAAATCATTTTAATCTAAGACTTGTGGTCTGTTGCTCTAACAGAAAAGAGTGGAGAAAGTGTTCTAACAGCAGCTTGATTATCCTGATCCATTTAGAGTCTATCCCACCCCCATTCCAACAAACAGCATATCTCCATCAAACTGGCCAGATTCAACTTTTTTTTTCATTTCTACCTACATGCCGATACCGCTTCCTGTGACATACAGCGTTTTTTTTAATCCATTAGTTCTTTTTCTTATATCAACTGAATTCTTATATTTAAATATCACTTTATTCAATTTGTATTCATATCTCAGAAATTCTTATGTAGCTCTTCATCTACATCCTTCTATAATTGACCACTACACAAAGACCTAGAAATTGTTCCTCCAAAAGGGAGATAAGATGTTTAATAAGTGCTTATTGATGATTAATCACTGAAATGGAAGTAGTGGTCTGCTGTTATGTTTTAAAACAACTGATAAGAATAAATGGCTTAATACAGAGCTAATTTTGTAGGGAGCCTAAAAATATAATTAAACTGAGAAATTTGCCCCAGAAAAGGGCACAGGAGCACAGGGTATATAATTCTAATTATAATTTCAGGAAGTTCATGGACTTCAGGTCAAGAACCCCTGTCTATGGCAATTCTGTGTGGAGCATGAGCTAACTTGTTAGTATTCAGAATCAATCACCATTTATTACAAGATTACTATACGTCAGGCACTGAGCTAGGCACTCCTACTTTTACTTCAGCATAATCCTGATATAGACCAGAAGTGTTCTTCCTTCTCTTCTGTTTTCCCCATGACAACTATTAACATTTCAAAAACAGAGTGTTCTTCCAATGAGTGTATTTTGGGAAAGGCTAATGTAGCCAAATTCTTATTTTAAAGGTAAGAAAGCTAAAGCCCAGAGAGAAGTAACACGCCTAAACTCAAATGGTGAGTTGTTACAGATGGGAGCTAGGGTCCAGGTCTGTCTCCTAGGCCTGAGCTCTTCAACTACATACCTCTACCATGAGAGGACTCGAGCCCAATGAATGACAAATTACCATAGTTCAGGTTACACCAGAAACTCACCTTGAAACAAAGATACAATAGCAAAGCAGTTTATTTGGGTGGTGAAAGAAACACTGGTGAAAGAAGGGGAAAATGAGACAGGGAAGGCAGTCGACATGGGGTTTATTATCAAATCATCTATTACTGTGGATGACTGGAGCTGAATCCTGTAGAGGAAACCCTGGAGAACAGTGTTGGGCACACACCTTAGAGTTATCCCATATAAAGGATGAGGGAGCTCCAGTATTTATACACCTACTGCAGGAAGTTACAGGTTGAGTGTTATTTGGGGGATGCAGGTGGGTTGCACTTCCAGCCTCCTTCATGATGGGCTTCAGTGGCCAAAGAAGACTCTTAATTAAAGAAATGTAGATGCTGGCAGCTGCAAGTCACTGGACATATACAGGAGATGGGAGAATATAGACAGGCCACTGATAATGGCTGCTACATGTGCATATCCACGTTACATTGTCAGATCTGTGAGCCAGTGCATGGTGTATTACGTGGGAATTGGGAGACCCGATTTCTCGCTTAATATGTTTAAGCTCTGTTTGGAAATCCATAACTGAACACAACTTAGAGACCCAGGGAAGTGCTTCTGAAGCCAGCAGCCGAGATAACAAAAGATTTATAAAGCAGGCCAAGTTGGTTGATGGCTCTGGGTTTATTTAGCCTACAGAAGGGAAAGTTGAAACAGAGCTTAATTAAAATCCACTGAATCTAATCTCTTTGTAAATTCTGTTAATTCTATATCCACAGTGACTTTCTTTTTCACCCCTCAAGCCCTTGTCTAAGCTGTCAATATTTATCACCCATATCGTCATTTTCTTGACTTTTAGATTGAATGCTCTTTTTTCTAAAAAAAAAAAAAAAAAAGCACACAAACACATGCACATAACAAAAGCAACAACAACAAATATTTTGTGATATCCCATTTAGTATCTGGATATAAAAATCATAGATAATGTAATCTATAAACATATCATTTCACAGACTGCAATATAATGCCCCGAACTTAATACATGAAGAAATAAAGGGAAGTAATTTGTAAAAAATAATGACATTTTAGCAATGCAATTGCTGGAGCACATCACACTCGAGTACCTGAGCAAGTAGTGAAATGCTTGCACTTCTTCACAGAATCAGATTGCATGCCATAGCTACAAATGCACAAACGTAACAGCACAGGTGTGTTACAATGGAATTCAAATGCCATTAGCAGTGTGAGTATACATATAAAATAGAGTTAAATGCTAGGGTCAGACTAGCATATGTATATATATATGTGTGTGTGTGTATATATATGTATATATATGTGTGTGCGTGTATATATATGTATATGTATATATATAGAGAGAGAGAGAGAGAGTTAAATACTAGAATTAAAAAAATTACCATAGTTCGGGTTACACCAGAAACTCACCTTGAAACAAAGATACAATAGCAAAGCAGTTTATTTGAGAGGTAAAAGAAGCACTGGTGAAGGAAGACTAGTATAAAAAGGTCAGACTAGTATATATGCCAGGTCAGACTAGTATAAAAAAGATTATTTAACTTTCACATGGAATGCAGGACACTTCTTAGTTGTTTGGAGCTGTCCTTTGCAATGCAAAAGGTCTGTCATTCCTGGCTCTTGTCCACTAATAACAGTAGCAAATCAAATGATCCCATTAAATTTTAAAACATGCCCCGTGACCAGTATTAGTTCCAGTGAGAAGCACTGACTCATTACAATAAAATCTTCTGATGGAAACAACATGTGATGTTAAAAACAAAGAAGTCTATAGATCCTAAAGTCCGTAAGTAAAGCAAAGCCAATGTTCCAGTAACTGCTCTGAGAAGCTGTGATATGCTCTGGGTTGCACAGAAACGTGGGAGACTATCAAGGCCCCTCCCATAGTTCATTCTCTCCCAGTGATTCAGGTAGTGAGTCAGCTAGTAGCGGTGTTCACAAAAACTTGGAAGTTCCTAGTCCACATGTTTGTGTGACCTCTCTGTAGCCTCTGTGTCTAGGTTCTTGAGTATACAATGCACTGTGGACTGTTTGTGGCTTGGTGCAATCAGAAGTCATGGAAGATGGATAGAATAAATAGAAAGGGTGGTAATGGAATTGTCAAACCACAAGATTGACAACTTCTTCTTCTGGGAAGGGTCCCAAGCAACAGTCCTCCAGGTTCCTCAGGTTAGGTGATGCTGAGGAAAGCCAAAGAGCACCTGACACCATCTCCTAGTTCTTGGTACCTGTTAGCATATGCCTTTCATCAGTCTTTGTCAAACATATCCATCCAAGTCCCTGGATGGCCAAGGAGAATGAATAGAGATACCTCTCACAGGGGTGGGAAGAAGATGTGAAGTGGAGGGCAGGAGGTGAAGGAAGCCTAGAAATGTAGGTTAAATTAGCCTGCTGAAAACATAAAATGTCTTTAGAATCTCATGCTTTATCTTTCGTTATTTATTTATTTATTTGAGTCAGTAGTTCATTGCTGCCCAGGCTAGAGTGCAGTGGTGCAATCATAGCTCACTGCAGCCCACAACTTCTGGGCTCAAGTGATCCTCCCACCTCAGCCTCCGGAATACCTAGGACTACAGGCACACTCCACCATGCATAGCTAATTTTTTTAAACAAATTTGTAGAAACAGTGCTCACTATGTTGCCCAGGCTAGTCACAAACTCCTGGGCTTAAGCAATCATCTCTTTGTGGCCTCCCAAAGCACTGGGTCTACAGGTGTGAGCCACCACAACCCAGCCTCATGCTTTATCTTTAAAAATTTATTATTTTTATATTCCATAGTACATCAGTGTTTGTTTTTTATACATATTTTGGCTTTGTGTGTAGGTCTCTGGGTTTGTGTATATATACATAATCTAACTAACTAAAGCAGGTTTGATCAAAACTAACACTTCAGAAATAAATGTTATCTTTCTCCTATGGCTTCAAGTTACCACCAGTGGGTGCAAACATTTTCACTTAAAAGGTGTCGAGCTTATTGTTATTTGAACATAGGGTATTTTAGGTCCTTTCTAGATCCCTGTAGCTCTTCAAGGTACTGGAGTAATGATGGTGCATAGGGAGGATGGATTTAGCAGGAGAAAAATCTACACTTTCTGATATATATATATATATGTGTGTGTATATATATATATACGTGTATATATATGTGTGTATATATACACGTATATATATGTGTGTACACGTATATATATATGCATATATATATACGTATATATGCATATATATGTATATATATGCGTATATATATGTATATATATATGCGTATATATATGTATATATATATGCGTATATATATGTATATATATGCGTATATATATGTATATATATGCACACATACATATTTTTATATATAGAGAGAGTATATATATATATATATATACACACACACACACAGTCTTTTGTGTCTGGCTACTTTTACTCAGTGTAATGCTTTTTAGATTAATCTATGCTTTTTTTATATATCTGCAGTGCATTCTTTTTTATTTCTGAGTAGTATTTTACCATATATATGTATTAAAATTGTTTATTTATACCTTCTCCTGCTAATACATATTTAGATTGTTACCAGTTTTTAATCTAGCATAAATAATAATTCTGTGAAGATTTGTATACAAGCATTTTTATGGACACATGTTTTAATTGCTCTTGGATAACTGCCCAGAAGTGGAATTGCAGACGCCACAAGGCTCCGTTAGGAAAGCAGGATCATGGTGGTGCTGCTGGCGTTTTGTTTGAACACCTATCTAGTGACGGCTCATGTACCATCACCTTCCCTATTTCATGAAAGAGATTGTGTATAATCATTATTATTTCTTCCTTAGATGTTTGAAATTATTCACCAGAGATGTCATCTGGGCTGGGATTTTTCCTTCTGAAGCATTTTTAGTTACAAATAAAATTATTTTTAGATAGACTATTTGGAATTTCTATTTTCTCTTGTCAGTTTTAGTCATGTGTGTTTTTCAAAGGATTCTTCCATTTCCTATCAGAAGTTAAATTTATTGGCATAAAGCTATTTATAATAGACCTTATTATTCTTTTAGTGACTGTAAAATTTGTAATCATGTTCCCTTTTTTGTTCTTGATATAAATAATTTGTGTCTTCTCCCTTGTTTTCTTGGTGTGTTTAAATAGAAGTTATTAGTTTTATTGTTCTTTTTTAAAAAATCAGCTTTTGGTTTCATTTATTTTCTCTGCTATTTGTACATTTTCTATTTGGCTGATTTCTGCTATTATCTCTACTATTTTATTATTTCCACTCACTTGAAATTTTATTGTCTCACCTTTTTGTGGCAGATTAACATGTAAGTTTAAATCATCGATTTGACTTTTCATTACTTTCTGACATAATCATTTGAAGTTATACGTCTTCTAGGTACTGTTTTAATTATGTCCCACACATTTGTTTTTATTTTCATTCAGTTCAAAATATTTTTAAATTCCCCTTGTGATTTCTTTTTTAACCTGAGTTACTTACAGCTATGTTGTTTATTTTTAGATCCCTTTTTGTTTTTAATTTCTAATTTAATTCTGTAAAAGCAGAGAACATATTCTTTATTATTTCAATCTTTCACAATGTGTTGACTTTAATAAATTAAAGGATTCACTTTGTTTGTGTTCCTATTCCCAGTAATTACGATCTTGTGATGTCTATTATCCAATGTCTGAAAATGGTTTTTTCCTCATATATTTTGCCCAGTTTTTTACTTGTTTACAGTGGCAGTGCAAGTGCTGCACCAGCTACTTCATGATGATGCAAAGCATCCCTGACTTACTAAATCTGGCTCCTAGTGATTAATTTCCTTTACTGTCATCCATTCAGGTCTTAACACAGACGTCATTTTCTCTTAGAGGTCTCTCCTGACTGCTCACCTCGCTGAAATCTTGGTTAGAACTCTCTTTCATGTCTTTTTTTCTTCAGCATGCACAGTATTTACTCCTTACATAGCACATATCCTACACTGTTGTATTTGCCTGCTACTTTTTCACTTCCCTCCAATAAAGAATACACATTTTATATACATATTAGTTTGAGCCATATAAAATTTTTGCTATTTGACCATTTTTGAGATGCAAAATGGAAGGTTTCCCCTGATTCAAACTAACATGTATACAAAAAATTATTATTTATACATACACAGAGAAGTGGTGGGATCTCAAATAGCACTGGTCTCTTATAACATGTTATTAATGGGATAGTTCTCCTTTATAGTAATCCTTTCCCGGAACTTTTGAAAGTGGCCCTACCACATTCTCTAATTCTTATTAGAATTACAGAGACTGTTATGAGGATCAAATGAGATCATGTATACAGAGTGCTTTAAAAAGTGCTGGGCCCATGATATGTGCCCAATAAGTTTAGTTGCGACGGCTATTTCATTGGTGTTTTTATGCGGTGGTTGCTTCAGCTAGGCCTTGTCTTTGTTGGATGCCAGTCAAGTTCCTCAGACTGTGGCTCTCCATGATGTCCCTGCCTCGAGGCAGCCCTTCTGGACCTCTTTTCAGCCTTTCCTGCAGCTCCCTACTTTTGGTTAACCCTGAGGAAAGGGAGTCCCTTCTTTTATGACAATGATCAGTTACCCTGGGCTTCAGGTTCATTGGGAAAATCCTTGCACTTGATCCCTTAATCTCTCCTAGAAGTGTCTCAGGTCTCTAGAATCAGCATTTTTACCAGCTTCTCTCAGCCCTGAGGTGGAGAGGGGGCTTTATCTCAGGCACATGTACTAGCACTTTTATGCTTTTCATTTTAAATCTCTTCAGCAATGTTTGGCTTTCTTGACCAGAGTTTCTAGACTGAGCTCTGGGTGTCCTAGAAATAATGTTCTTCCGATGGCAGGAGCCACTGTCCCAGAGACCTGGTGTTTCTGTTACTGCTCCTGAAAGAAGCTCCCAGGGATGGAAGGTAGAAGTGGCATCACTGTCCCGCCTCAACCTTCAGTTGAACAATGGTGAAGAGGGCCCATGTCGGGAGGTCTTAAAATCTCATTCTTGGCTACCCACTTGGCCAAGCCCTGCTCCCTGCATAGACTCCAGTTTCCTCATATGTTCAAAGTCCTTTTAGTTCTCAGGTTCTCAGGTTCCATGACCTGCTTGAGTTTATTTTGAAATGTATTTTAGGGATTTCTATACCTAAGAAATTGGGGAAATCCTTTATTTCTCAACCACTTTTTTCTTGTACAACACAAACTCTAGTAGCTTTTTAGCTGAAGTTTCCCTCCCCTCCCCCTTAAGTGGATGCTTAATTAATTACTTAGGAAAGAGCCTTGTGCCCTCAACTTAACAGCAGGGAATGGACCTTAATTCTAGAAGAACTTTGCATCCTCCCTCAATCGTGTGAGCGAACATGTCAGCTCCCACCTTAAGGGTACCACTTTTCAATAATAACTTGGAGGATAATGGTTCTTAGCCACCTACCCACATCAGAGTGTTGCCAATACACAATATTTAAAAGGCACTCTAGAGTAGTGCTTCTTAATGATAACTGAGTGGAAAATGGCAGTAATCACAGGTGCATATACATTTGTAGGCTGTATTAGCCATGGTCCTTTGGAGGCAGTAGGAGCTGCTGAGTTGATGGGGAAATTGTAGGCATGTGGGCTCAGGTTCCATAAGGAGCAATTACAGCGCTGACTGCAGAGCCATTGTGGGAGGAAACTGACATATGTAATTGAAGAGCATAATATGATAAGTCAATGGTGTAAAAAGGAGAGAAAAGCATGAAATCCACAACAGCAAGATGGCAAAGAAATGCCTTGTTTTAGATTATTTTGTGTCCTGTTTCCCTGTCTATAAGGAAGGACCCTATAGAAATCAGGACAGGACTGAATCCTAACTTTGCCTTTTACTAGTGGTACTATCTTGGGCAAATCACTTACCCTCCCTTAGGGTTAGTTCCTTCCTCTGTGAAAACTAGAGTAGTAACGCTTTGCAAAATCATCCCAAGGAGTAAAGGAACTGGCATATGTAAAAAGCAGCTTGTGATGACACTTTAAGTCAGCAAAAATATTTTCTGAGTGCTTATTGTATGCCAGGCACTGTACTAGCCATAAAGGAAATTCAAACAAAAGTGAGACAATTCCTGCCTTTCAGGAGAATAGAAGCTACTGGATGAGACAGACATAATTACTCAAGATCAGAAGGTAAACTTTTGGTTTATCCTGAGAAAATCCAGCTCATTTTAAAACATTTTTTTCAGATACTTTAAAGATTTGTCTGCTCCCATTTTATTGTTAAAAAGGATCAATTCCATAATCAAGTAACAGTGGATTTATCTGCATATTTCATTCAAGGACATCACTGTGTTACCATTTTAGCAACAACTATCATAATCATGAACTAATCTATTTGTAGTGCCATCCATGATTCTGAGGGTTTGAGAATACCCCTTTTTAAAAATTCAATAATTAAACTGAATTGTCAAGTAAAGCCAATGTTCTACATTGTATTATTCATAAGCAGTAGCCATCTAAAATGAGAGGTGGATCCAAGAAAACTCAAGATTAGATTTGAGAGTGTAGAGAACAAGCCATTGAAGGATGGAGATTCCCTGGGCCCAAAATAATCAATTTGGATTCCCCTAACTCTTCACAAATCTTGGTCAACCTTCTTGACTGTGGAGAATGTGATAGGAAGTGCCTGAGGTTCTTAATTGAATAACATTGCTATGTTCTTGTCTCCTTTATAAGCATTGTCACTTTGGGTCCTGTCAGTCTTTCTAAGCAATCAAACACTGTTTAAATGCTGCCACTGATGCAGTCCCAGAATGGAACCAATCCATATGTCCACCAACTGGTGAATGTAAAAACAAGCATATCATATGCATACAACAGAATAATCTTCAGCAATTGAAAGAAACAAATTACTGATAAATGATAAGTGAAAGAAACCAGACACAGCAAACCACACATTGTATACTTCCATTGATACAGCCTTTTCAGAAAAGGCAAACCTATAGAGACAGAAAGCAGATCAGTGGTGGCTGGGGGTTAGCTGTGGGAATGGGAATTGATCACAAGTTGTTATGAGGGACCTTTTGGATGATAGAAATGTTCTAAAGTGGATTGTGGTGATGACTGTACAACTGTGTAAATTTACTAGAAATAACTCAACTGTGCACTTAGGATGGGTGGATTCTATGTTACATGTTTTATATCTCAATAAAGCTGATTTTAAAAGAAAGCATTTTAAAAAACAATTGTGCCTTGGAGGCAAATAAAAACATATTGTGGATGGAAAAGAAACACAGTTATGATAATTGCCAAGGAACCAATGTTTGGCATATTATTAACTGCTCTACTCTGCAGAAGTTGAATGCTCAGAATTCAACTTGAGCCCAATTCCCAATATGTCTGGGAATATGACCTTCTCAGGGGCCTCCTGCTTGACCAATCGTCTCTTAGCTTTGTCAGCTTTCAGCACACAGAATGTCAATACAGGAAGGCGCATAAAGTACCAGGGCTTCAGAGCCTGATAAACTTTGGTTTGAACTCTGGCTTTGTCATTTACCAACTGTGTGATGTGGGGCATATAATTTGAGTTCTCCAACTTTTGGCTCTTTCACTCATAAATTGAGACTAATAATTCATCTGTACTGGGCCAGTTATGAGGATTATATAAGATCATTCCAATTAGCTATTGCTGTTTGACAAACGAACCCCAACTCAATGGATAAAAACAAACATTTTATTACATCTAATGATTCTGTGGGTCATGAACTTAGGACGGGCTTGTTTGGACAATCTGTGTGTGATCCACAGGGTGTCAGCTGGGGCAGTGTGTGCTTGGATCTACTTCCAAGATATTTTCCTTACTCCTGTGGGGCTCCTTCATGACCCTTGTGCTCTTTCTCCACATGGCATCTCATGCTAGGGCCTTTCTGTGGGATTTGGGCTTTTCACAGCATGGTGGTCTCAGATACTTGTATTTCTTAACTGGCAGCTGGCTTCCTATGGGCAGGAAGCAGAAGTTGCTGTGAGCTAAACAATGGTCCAACTTCACTTCTATGTTATTGGTCAAAGCAGTCACAGGGCCCACCCAGACAGAAGCTGACTTCACCTCTTGATGATGTGAAACAAGTTCACATTTTTACAAGAGCATATGGGTTGGGAGACACTATATGGACATATTTGGAAAATGCAATCTGCCCCAGAAATAATGACCACAGAGTCCAGGGGCCAGAAAACATTTTCTATAAGAGCCAAATAGTAAATATTTTAGACTATACAAGTCACATGGTCTCTGTCACAGTTACTTAACTCTGCCATCATAGCACAAAGGTGGTCATAGATAATACCTAAATGAATAGTTACAGATGTGTTCCAGTAAAACTTGATTTACAAAAACAGAAGAGGATAGACTTGGTCCGTGGGCTATAGTTTGCTGACCTCTGACACAATGCATGACATGTAATAAGTGCTCAGTAGTGGTAAAAATTATTATCGTCATTGTTACTAAGAACCTTTGGAAACCATCCAGTCCACTGCTCAACCTCCTGTCTCTTTACAGAGGTAACCCAGCTGAGCCAGAATTTAGTTTAGTGCTACTGGCCACCTATCTGCATGCTCTTTTACTTCACCCCATAACTTGTGCCTATACTTCGGGTCCCAGTTAATATCATCCTCTCTTCCAGCAACTCCACACCAGGCTCTTTCTCTCTTCGTCACAGGTTTGGTGGGGTCTGAAACCTATAAAATATGATTGGGCCCTTTAAGAGTACAAAAATACAAAGTTGGGGTGAAAATGAATGTTTATTAGAATGAGAAAAGAAATCACAATAAATTGCAAATTTAAGAATGCGGCCAGATACAACAACTATAACAAAATTCAAAAATGTCACATAGCCTGACATACTGTAATACTGTATACACTATAATTTGATCGATTTTTAAAAAAATTTTGTGATGTTATTTTCTGTAAAGAACAAAGATATAGGTCAGGCGTGGTGGCTCATGCCTGTAATCCTAGCACTTTGGGAGGCCAAGGTGGGAGGATTGCCTGAGCTCAGGAGTTTGAGACCAGCCTGGGCAACACAGTGAAATCCCATCTCTACTAAAGATACAAAAAAAAAAAAAAAAAAAATAGGCGGGCGTGGCAGCGTGTGCCTGTAGTCCCAGCTAATCACGGGGCTGAGGCAGGAGAATTGCTTGAACCTGGGAGGCAGAGGTTACAGTGAGCCAAGATCATGCCACTGTACTCCAGCCTGGGTGACAGAGTGAGACTCTGTCTCAAAAAAAAAAAAAAAAAAGAACAAAGACATACTTTTCTTCTATCACGGTTAGTCAATTTTTTTAAAAAAAGTATTAATAGTTTAGATTGCGGCTTCCTAATTAGTGAAAAGGAGTCAAGCTGGTGGGACCAGGGGAAAGCAAAGAGATAAAGCAGGTAAGTTGTAGGTCTGCCTTTCTTTATGGCCCAGAACATACAGCCCTCCTGTGCAAATAACATACATAATTCACACATCTCCTGCCTATCGTCAAATGCCTCAATTTATCAAACACCTAGACTAACAGAAGAATGCAAGTTAAGCTCCCTGCTACCTTGGTATTATCAATCAGCCCAAGAACTATCCTTACATAAAATCTCAAGCAATCAGCTTTTCCTTGCAATCAACTCCTCTCTTGCTGGCTGTCCTTTGCCTCCTTGCAACGTATTTTCCTACTTTCTCTAATGAATCTGCCTTTCTCTACCTACTACTGTCTTGGTAAATTCTCTTACCCCTGCATTATCAGCCCAGGTAGTCATCACTCATCTGCAACATAGATAAATTCCTTTCAGCTTTATAACTCTTTATTAATTATGCCATGCAAAATGTTAGGATTATTGTCCAATTAGGGAAAAGCTTTATTGAGTTGCTTTCATATGGAAACAGTATGTCTTCAGGTTTCTTTGTATCGTGACTTATCTTGAATACTCTTTGAATTAAGGAGTAACAAGTTTCTTAGCATTTTTTTAAAAAATAAGTTTGTCAAAAACACCCTTTTTCCAGTGGCAAATGATTGGTTTTATATTATCTTCATTGCTATTAGCATTCTAAGTCAAATCTACAGAATATCTTCAAATTTTTCAATGTACTATATGATTCACTTGACTCATTAATTGGAGTATCAAGCCACCCAAGAGCCTAGTCTTTATTGCCGTGTGAAAGTTATCTTTTCCTTTTAATGAATTACTTCGTTTGGTAATTTTTGTTTTTGTTACAATTTGCTTCTCAATATCAGAAAACTTCTGTCAATTTCTTTGCTCATCTTGATCATTATTGTTTCATGTTTCATTCATTGTAAACAGTTTCTAACTTTTATTACAAAAATGTTCAAATGTATAAAAAATTGAAAAAAAAATTATGCTGTGAAAGGAGAATTAAAACTTGGGACCCCATTCATGATGCCAAAAGAAAAACAAAAAAAAAAATAATAAGCTGAAAGCTGAGTCACGCAAGAAGCTATCTGTCCTTTTGTCCCTAAGCAGATAGCTCCAGATAAAAGGCCAAATACTGCCACAGGTAGCTACTCTATGTTCACCTTATCTTATATGTAGTGCCAATTACTGAGGAGACAAATACATAATTGACTACTCACATACCTGCTCCTGTTTCCTTGCAATATGTAGATTCAGTAATGTGACCATATGCTCCCTCTTTCCCCTCCAGCCTGCTTTTCCCCTTTAAATTTGAAGCCCTCAAAATCATCTTTGAAGGAAGGCACATGTTAGAGTAGGCAGATAATTAGACATGAGCAGGAGAGGAAGCCCCAGGGGGAGGAAGCTCTGCAAAATCTCATGCCCCAGAGACCACCCAAAACCTACATGCTAAATATGAGCAGAGAGGAGGGGAGATTCTGTGCGGAAAGGAACTCCCCAGGACCCGCCTTAAGATGCCCAGTAATCACTCTTTCTGTGGTTAAGCTGTGAGAACATAGCTAGCTACATGCTGGTAAGAAGGGAAGAAGGACAAAGGCAAAAGTCCTAAGAGGTACACAGGTACAATAAGTACAGATTTAACCGCTATACAACCTTCTTGGGGTGGCACGAATGAGCAACACCACAATTAGATGGGAGTTGTATTGATCCCATGCCTGCACATGAACGTCAATGGACAGCAAGGGAGAATCCCACAAGCCTGGGAGGGAACTATATGGGGACAAAGGTGGAGACTTAAGACAAAAGCTGGAACTTAAAGAAATAGTCCAGCATAGTAAAAACCGCAAGGCAGAACTCTCAGAGCTGCTCCCAGCCAGCTTAGCCCAACTTCTCTCTTGGAGTGTATTATTTCTCTCCCATTAATAAATCTTTTGCCTACTTTACTAATTGGTCTCTTGGCCAAATTCTTTCCTCCGAGAAAACTAAGAACTGAGGACCGCACACTTCCTTGTAACACACAGACCACAGACTGTTTCTGAGTCTGTGTTTTTTCTCCCAGGGATTGTCCTTAACCTTAGCAAAATAAACTTCTAAATTGATTGAGCCCTGTCTCAGATACTTTTCGATTTAGAGGGCAATAAATATCCACTAATTTTTATCTGATTTTTCCTTCTTTGATAATTTTGAAGGGACAAAACAAGGCATCCTTTGTGTATGTCCAAATCTAGAGTCAGTAAATCCTCACTTGATTTAATGAGATGTCCAATATGTCTTTCCAGTTAAAATGGTGTATTGAGGCCGGACGAGGTGGCTCACGCCTGTAATCCCATTGGGAGGCCAAGGTGGGTGGATCACCTGAGGTTGGGAATTTGAGACCAGCCTGACCAACAAGGATTGGGAGGCCGAGATGGGTGGATCACCTGAGGTCGGGAGTTTGAGACCAGCGTGACCAACATGGAGAAACCCCATCTCTACTAAAAATACAAAATTAGCCGGGCATGGTGGCACATGCCTGTAATCCCAGGTACTCAGGAGGCTGAGGCAGGAGAATTGCTTGAACCCAGGAGGCAGAGGTTGCAGTGAGCTGAGATGGCGCCACTGCACTCCAGCCTGGGCAACAAGAGCGAAACTCCATCTCAAATAATAACAACATAAAATAAAATAAAATGATGTATTGAAATGTTCCCAACTTTCTGCATAAAATTTTGAATCTTACTCATGTTCAGATATGTGAAATACATAACATCTATTCTACTAAATCCAGACCTAAGTGTATTCCCATTCCAGCTTCCTCATGGCTGGACCCCAAAAATGCCTTCAGCCTATCTTATGCCACGTGACACTACTGAATGTTACATGACGGTAGGGTCAGAGTAAAAAAAAGATCTAAGTCTTAACTAAAAATAATAAAAATATCTTAATTTTGAAAATATAAGAACAAATGAATACATTGCTAAATTTTACCCCCATGTAAGTTTTGTTTTCTAAGAGTAAGTGGAAAAGGTAGGTAATGTAGTACAACAAGAATTATGGGTTACAAACCAACAACCTCTTCCACTAACTGGATTGTGACACCCACTATAAATCTGTCTTTTTCTTCAAGTCTGGTTCTGTGTACCTAGCTCATTGAGAATCAACTTTAGCCTAGCTTCAATTGCAAAAATACAAGGACTGAAGAAAATGTCAGATACTCAAGACAAAGTCATGAGAAACATTTGATTGATGTAATTTCCTTGGGTTTTCATTCTTGGTATTATATCTCGCCAAACTTTATCCTTCTATAAACAAAGGACTGAAGGATTTTCACCAAGTCTCCATTTTGTGCATCACAAATATAATCAAATCATACCCTTTAGTTAAAAATGTATTGCCCCAGAGGCAAAAAAAAAAAAGTCCACATAATTCCCCATAATTTCCTACACAATGATTCCAGAAAGCAGAAGGCAATTGATTTTCACCAGCACACGCATTAATTTTTATGACACCCTCTCTGAGTTTTGGAAACAAATGAAGTTATTAATATTTGAAGATGTCGGGTAGTATTTTCTGGCCCATCTAATTAAAGAGACTCCATTGCAACCAGACAAGGAGGGGGATCTAAATCCAAAGTCTAGAATTAGAGCTGGGCCAGCGAAAAGCTCTGCCATTGTGAAGGGAAGTCGGGGTTTGGAAACATTGCAGGCATTGAACGCATTCTTCAAAATTGATGTTTCTCAATCTCATGTGAACAAAATGGGAAGCATGAGGGAATAGGCAAAAAGAGATAAGAATTCCCAATTTGAGTCTTCAGTGCCACCCTGAAAAAGGGCTGAGATTGGTTTTTATCTTTCTACAGTAGAAACAACGATCTCTACCTCCAGAATACAATTGAAAAGAAGACCAGGCTATAAAAATGAGGGTTTCTTTTAACTACAGAGCTATGTAAAAATGTTAGTACTGCTTTCAAAATGGCCACTTATTTAGAAACATTTTTTAGTTACCATCAAATTGTCCTACTTTTTAGTGATAAACGGACCTAAAAATAAATAAGGAGTTGTGTTTAAGGAAATGATAGGCCAAGTTTTCCACACTTTCCCATCCATTCAGTGATAATTATTAAAGGTCACCTTAATATTCTCAAAGAGTAGAGATTTGAACAGTTTCCTTCCTCTGTCTGTTTAGTTTCCCCAGATGAAAAAGAAAGTGGGTTTCTGTGACTTCTCAGCTTCCTTTCAGTCACTCCTTTCAGATATTTCCCAACTCCAAATATCTAACAATGTCAAAAGGTTACTGTTGCCCTTCACCTCTCCCACAACTTTTGGGAACTTCTCTATAGGTGACAACTGTGGTGTTTCTCCTGCACAGCCTAAGAATGGAAGAGGGGCCCTCCCCCTGAACCCCACCATCAAGCAGTCCTGTATGACCAGGCACATAGGGAGGGACGACACTGAGGAGCCATGCTTACAGAGGACTTTTTAAATGAGCACTGAGATTCTTTCACTAATGAACTTTATTTTTTAAAAAATTCAATACTTTTTGGGGAACAGGTGGTTTTTGCTTACATGGGTAAGTTGCATAGTGGTGACTTCTGAGATTTTGGTGCACCCATTACCCAAGCATTGTACACTGTACCCAGTGTGCAGTCTTTTATCCCTCACCCCTCTCCCACCTTTCCCCACAAGACTTCAAAGTCCATTACATCATTCTCATGCTTTTGCCTCCTCATAGTTTAGCTGCAACTTGTAAATGAGAATATACGATGTATGGTTTTCCACTTCTGAGTTACTTCACTTAGAATAATGGTCTCCAACTCCATCCAGGTTGCTGTGATTGCCGTTATTTCACTCCTTTTTATGGCTGAGTAGTATTCCATGGTATATATATCCACATTTTCTTTGTCCACTAGTTGGTTGATGGGCATTTAGACTTGTTCCATACTTTTTCCATTGCAAATTGTGCTGCTATAAACATGTGTGTGCAAGTGTGTTTTTTATATAATGACTTATTTTCCTCTGGGTAGATAACCACTAGTGGGATTGCTGAATCAAATGGTAGATGTACTTTTAGTTCTTTAAGAAATCTCCATACTGTTTTCCATAGTGGTTGTACTAGTTTACATTCCCACCAGCAGTGTAAAAGTATTTCCTTTTCACCACATGCATACCAACATCTATTATTTTTTGATTTTTTAAATTATGGCCATTCTTGCAGGAGTAAGCTGGTATCACATTGTCGTTTTGATTTGCATTTCCTTGATAATTGATGATGTGGAGCATTGTTTCATATGTTTGTTAGCCATTTGTATAACTTCTATTGAAAATTGTCTATTCATGTCCTTTGCCCACTTTTTGATGGGATTATTTGTTTTTTTCTTGATTTGTATGAGTTCCTTGTAGATTCTGGATACTAGTCCTTTGTCAGATGCATAGTTTGTGAATATTTTCTCCTACTCTGGGTTGTCTGTTTACTCAGCTGATTATTTCTTTAACTGTGCAGAAGCTTTCTAGTTTAATTAGGTCCCATGTATTTATCTTTGTTTCTGTTGCATTTGCTTTTGGGTTATTGGTCATGAACTCTTTGCCTAAGCCAATGTCTAGAAGAGTTTTTCTGATGTTATCTTCTAGAAGTTTTATGGTTTCAGGTATTAGATTTAAGTCATTGATCCATCTTGGTTAATTTTTGTATACAATGAGAGTTGAGGATCCAGTTTCATTCTTCTACATGTGGCTTGCCAATTATCCCAGCACTATTTGTTAAATAGGGTGTCTTTTCCCCACATTATGTTTTTGTTTGCTTTGTTGAGGATCAGTTGGCTGTATGTATTTGGCTTTATTTCTGTGTTCTCTATTCTGTTCCATTGATCTATATGCCTATTTTTATACCAGTACCATGCTGTTTTGGTGACTATAGAGTTACAGCATGGTTTGAAGTCAGGTAATGTGATGCCTCCAGATTTGTTCTTTTTGCTTAGTCTTGCTTTGGCTATGCAGGGTCTTTTTTGGTTCAATATGAATTTTAGGATTGTTTTTTCTATTTTTCTATTTGAAGAATGATGATGGTATTTTGATGGGAATTGCACTGAATTCATAGATTGCTTTTGGCAGTATGGTTATTTTCACAATATTAGTTCTACCCATCCATGAGCATAGGATGTGTTTCCATTTGTGTCATCTATGATTTCTTTCAGCAGCATTTTGTAATCTTCGTTGTAGAGGTCTTTTATCTCCTTGGTCAGGTATATTGCCAAGTTTGTTTGTTTGTTTTTGCAGCTATTGTAAAGGGGGTTAAGTTCTTGATTTTATTCTCAGCTTGGTCACTGTTGGTTTACAGCAGTGCTACTGATTTGTGTACATTGACTTTTTATCCTGAAATATTACTGAATTCATTTATCAGACCTAGAAGCGTTTTAGAGTAGTCTTCAGGGTTTTCTAGGTATACAATCATATCATTGGTGAACAGTGACAGTTTGACTTCCTCTTTTATCGACTTGGATGCCCTTTCTTTCCTTCTCTTGTCTGATTGCTCTGGCCAGGACTTCCACTACTATGTTGAATTGAAGTGGTGAAAGTGGTCATCCTTGTCTTGTTCTACTTCTCAGGAAGAATGCTTTCAATTTTTTCCTGTTCAGTATAATGTTAGCTGTGAGTTTGTCATAGATGGCTTGTATTACCTTAAGGTATGTCTCTTCTATGCCGATTTTGCTGAGGGTCTTAATCATACAGCGATGCTGGATTTTGTCAAATGCTTTTTCTGCATCTATTGAGATGATCATGTGATTTTTGTTTTTAATTTTGTTATGTGGTGTATCACATACATTGACTTGCTTATGTTAAACCATCCCTGCATCCCTGATATGAAACCCATTTGATCATGGTAGATTATCTTTTTGATATACTGTTGGATTCAGTTAGCTAGTATTTTGCTGAGGATTTTTGCATCTATGTTCATCAGCAATATTGGTGGTTAGTTTTCTTTTTTTGTTATATCCTTTCCTGGTTTTGGTATTAGGGTGATACTGGCTTCATTGAATGATTTAGGGAGGATTCCCTCTTTCTCTGTCTTTTGGAATGGTGTCAATATGGTTGGTACCAATTCTTCTTTGAATGTCTGCTAGAATTCAGCTGTGAATCCATTTGGTCCTAGACTTTTTTTTATTGGCAATTTTTTTTTATTACCCTTTCAATGTTGCTGTTTGTTAGTGGTCTGTTCAGAGCTTCTATTTATTCCTGGTTTAATCTAGGAGAGTTGTCTATTTCCAGGAATTTATACATCTTCTCTAGGTTTTCTAGTTTGTGCACATAAAGGTGTTCCTAGTAGCCTTAAGTGATCTTTTATATTTCTATGGTATTGGTTGTATTAGGTTGGTGCAAAAGTAATTGCGGTTTTTGCCGTAACTTTTGTGCCAACCTACTACTATCTCTCATTTTGTTTCCAGTTGAGCTTATTTGGATCTCCTCTCTTCTTTTCATGGTTAATCTCACTAATAGTGTATCCATTTTCTTTATTTTTTTCTAAGAATCAGCTTTTTGTTTCATTTATCTTTTGTATTTTTTCTTTCAATTTCATTTAGTTCTGCTCTGATCTTTGTTATTTCTTTTCTTCTTCTGGGTTACAGTTCAGTTTGTTCTTGTTTCTCTAGTTCCTTGAGGTGTGACATTAGGTTGTCTATTTGTGCTTTTTCATATTTTTTGATGTAGGCATTTAATGCTATGAACTTTCCTCTTAGCACTGCTTTTGCTGTATCCCAGAGGATTTCACAGGTTGTGTCACTATAGGTTTGATAGATGATGTTCAGTTCAAAGAATTTTTTAATTTCCATCTTGATTTTATTGTTGACCCAAAGATCATTCTGGAGCAGATTATTTAATTTCCATGTATTTGTATAGTTTTGAGGGATCCTTTTGGAGTTAATTTCTAATTTTATTCCACTGTGGTCAGAGAGGTACTTGATATGATTTTGATTTTCTTAAATTTATTGAAACGTGTTTTGTGGCCTATTATATGGTCTATCTTGGAGAATGTTCCATGTGCTGATGATAAGAATGTATATTCTGCAGTTGTTGGGTAGAATGTTCTGTAAATATCTGTTAAGTTCATTGGTTATAGGGTATAGTTTAAGTCCATTGCTTCTTTGTTGATTTTTTGTCTTCATGACCTGTCTAGTGCTATTGACAGAGTATTGAATTCCCCCACTATTATTGTGTTGTTGTCTATCTCATTTCTTAGGTCTAGTAGTAATTGTTTAATAAATTTGGGAACTTCAGTGTTAGGTGCATATATATTCAGGACTGTGATATTTTCCTGTTGGGCTAATCCTTTTATCACTATATAATGTCCCTCTTTGTCTTTTTTAACTGTTGTTACTTGAAAGTCTGTTTTGTCTGATATGAGAATAGCCAGTCCTGCTCACTTTTGGTTGCCATTTGCATGGAATATCTTTTTCCACTCCTTTACCTTACGCTTATATGAGTCCTATGTGTTAGATGAGTCTCTTGAAGACAGCAGATACATGGTTGGTCGATTTTTATCTGCCATTTTATATCTGTTAAATGGATCATTTAGGCCATTTACATTCAACGTTAGTATTGAGACATGAGGTAATATTCTGTTCATCCTGCTAGTTGTTGCCTGAATACCTTGTTTCATTTTTTTTTTCATTGTGTTATTGTCTTATAGGTCCTGTGAGATTTATGCTTTAAGGAGGTTCAATTTTGGTGTAGTTCAATGTCTTGTTTCAAGATTTAGAACTTCTTTTAGTATTTCTTGTAGAGCTGGCTTGGTAGTGCTAAATTCTCTCAGCATCTGTTTGTCTGAAAAAGACTTTATCTCTCCTTCACAGTACCTAAGAGCAGGTTTGGGAGTGAGGTTTCTGGCTGTATGGTCACCAGCTTTGGGGTCTTAGGCAAGATACTCAATCTCACTGAGCCTCAACATCCCCATTTATCAAATGAAATTAACTGCATTGGCCTTAGTATTGCTATGAAGGTTAATTGAGTTACTAGAAGTGGAGTGCAAAGAGCTTGACATTTAATGAATGGTTGATAATCATTACTATTTTATTATTATTTCTGGGAGAAATGAGGAGACAGCATATGGAGAAACTGTTGGGGAGTGGCATTAGCAGGAGATGACAGTGAGTCCTGGAGGCCTTGAGAGCAGAAACTTGGGACTGATGAGGAAAAGGCTTAATTTGAGGACAGGGAAAATGAGCTGAAGTTACTCCTTCCTGTCTGTTATCTTTGCTTTATAGCTCAAGCCTCAGAGAAATATCCCTCACTCACTCCTTGGGCAGTTTAGTAAATAGAGTACTAGCTTCCCCATCTTAGAGTTCTGTTCCTTCTGCCTCATCCCCTCTAAACCACACAAAAAAATGTGCCTCAACACAGGCTGTGGGAGCTTGGGCAACTTACACTCCGTCTTTGGGGCTTCATCTCTCAATCTGTAAAATGCTGATGTCTCATATTCCTTTGGCCTTACCATACTGTGAGTAAAATAACAAAATTGAAATCTTGGCCCAGCATTTTTGAAAGATTCCTATTTCTATCCCAGAGTTGTGCTCTCAACCTTATATTATGATGGTTCTCAACTTTACTAGCCATAAGGAACTCTTTCTCCTTTGAAATTTTCTCTTATTATTTAGAGGATAAAAAAGAAAGCAAAAACAAACCTGGGAATCAGGGTGTGGGGGTAGATGATTCATTCCTGTCATGTTATCTTTTGAAAGGTTAATAGCTACCCCTGCACTACCCCATTCCTTATCTACCTGAATTCCATTTCAGGCAAACAAACAAAATGATCATGAAAAAGGCAATCTTAGAGAGACACTGTCAAGGCTGATAGACTCTGGTAATGAAATTATTCCAACCTCTGCCACCCACATAGAGCTGGCAAGAACAAAAGGATGGGTGTTTGTGCAGATGCCTTGTCATGGTGGTAAGCAGCTCAGTGTCACTTGCCTCAGGCCTTCACGTCTCATCCTCAGAACCCTCCCAGAAGGAAGGACATTAGTATTCACTCTGATGAGGAACCAGGAAATTAGACTTTTCCTAAAACCAAAAAAAAAAAAACAATGCCAGCTTTGCAAACCCACCTGAGTCTTTCTAAGTTGCATGTGCCGTTTATCATTCCCATTTAGGGGAATAAATTCCTACAGAATCTTTGAATTTAAGCACTGACAGGACTTTAAATGGCATCTATGCCAACCAAGCACATTCAGTATTTAAGTCCTCTTGCTTAGTACTCAGCCAAAGTGTCACCTAGCCTCACTTGAACACTTCCAATGAGAGTTCCAACTGAGAACCTGTAGGAAGAACTCAGAGAGGCAAAAAGGAAGTCACAGGGCGCCACAGAGCTCAGAGACAGCTGAATATGAGAACTGAGTGAGTGCATGGTGGTGGTACTGTTAGCAGTGGACGAGATCTGAGTTACCCCCAGTTACCCCAAGTTACCAGCAGTGTATCTGTCACAGTCCATAGCAACTTCAGTCCTCGCCTCCTCAAAAGAAATAATTTGACTAAGGGGCATAAAGCAGAAAAAGATACCCAGGCAAGTTCCAGATCAGGAATGGAAGTTTATTAAAAAGACTTTAGAAGGGTAAAGGAAGGAAAGAACCCTTGGAAGAGATCCAAGTGGGTGCCTAAAGGTTAAAGAGAGAAAAAAAGGAAGCCGCCTTTAACCAAGGTTCTAGGATTTGATAAGCTCGCCTCTTCCCCATGATTCTTCTCTTAGGGTGTGCTTTCTGCATGCATGGTGCCCTCGTTACCCTTGGGAATTGAGCATGCACAGTGCGTTTAGAGAGTTTATGAGTTTATGAGGCTTTTTTCCCTTTTTCCAGTGGCATGTGCCCCCAGAATGTCATACTTCACCATTTCATCTCTTAACATGCGTGCCCAAGGGGCTTCTCCCTGGGGCCTGCATTCAATTAACATTTTGATGTTAACAGGCGCGGATCATCAGGAGATGGCCTCTCCCTGGCACTGGCTGTCAATTTATCACTTTTAGAGAGGCAATGCGATAATTGCCAAACTGTCACCCGACATTTCTAGTGGGTGGGGGAAGAGCCCTCTCATGCCCCTCTCATGCCTAACTATCTGTAACAGTAGGGTGGCCAAGGGATCCTGTGGGATGCTGGAAGGAAGAAGGAAAGTATGGAGACCTTGTCTTGGGTTGGGAGAATGTGGGAAGTTTGGGCTTCCTCATGGGGTCAGTGTTTCCATAAGCAGCACTTTAGGAAGGGTAGGTGAGCTGGGCTAACAGGGAGTAGGAGATCCACCTCTTCCCTAAATTTAACTCTTGGACATCTTGGTCTTTCTGGATTGTGTTGCAAGGACAAAAATATTGGGTTGAGCATAATGAGACTTTATCATTATATATCTGCTATCGGTTATCAGTGAAACCATGAACAATTTTTAAAAAATCATCTGAAATTTACATACAGGCCAAAGAGATTATTGGGTAATCTTTCAGTGCTGAACCTAACTTTCTATTTACTGGATTATTTTACTTCACTGTAAAGGAAAGCCTCACTTATAAATTTAGTTCAGTAGACATATAAATAATCTCTGCCCAGTGGAACTAATAGCCCCAAAGTGTACAGTTTATGATCCTATTAAATGTAAACCAGTCTTTATATAGCTTATTACACACCAAGCTATTAAATTGCTTGTATAGACCTAGCTTCTCAAATGTCTTTATATAGCTTATTACACACCAAGCTATTAAATTGCTTGTATAGACCTAGCTTCTCAAATGTTCTTCGGGGTGGTTCTCAATCTTATTGTTTCCCCGCTAACTAATGAGTTCAATAAAATCTTTGAAACATGTTCACTATTTGTATGAGGCATACTTTTACCTTTTTGAAGATTATACTCTAACCGGAAACTCACTTCTGACTCCAAGGATTTGGTTTTCTTATCTTTTAAAAGATGCATTAGGATTAGAGGGTCTCTAAGAGCCCACTCTGAGATGTCTGAGCCACTAAGCCACCTGGGCCCCGTCTTCTCCACCATCCCAGGGTCTCCAGGGAAAGGCCCTCTTAACTCTCTGGAGCTGAGAATTAGCGACTGCCGATACTGCTTCCTGCCATGGCCCCCCAGAAAAGGTGGTCAAGTCACATTTGGACACTGCAGGCCTTCAGCAACTCTGAGATTCTTTAGAAGTTCTCAGGAGACAGAATACATTGTTTTTCCCCACTTATTCCCATTCCCCAGCCTCTCCCTCCTCCTAACCACTCTCTACTTCCCATTACAAACCTGAAACATTCCTGGTTCTACATACCCAGCTTTTAGTTCAACCCAGAGCCTAAGGCATCACCCCTGAGTGCTCACCTCTTTGACATCCTTAAGTGGAAATCAGCCGTGCCTTTTGGCCTCAGCTGAGGCAGCGGGGGTCAAACAGCTACTCCTCTCACTCCTGCAGAAGGGGTGTAAAATCGCTTCCGGCTCTGCCGTCTGATGAATCTGTCCTTCCGAACCTCCAGAGGCTTCTCTGTCTCTGCCCTTTTGGCCTGAGGTTGTTCAGAGGGCATTATCCTCTAAACTGAAAGTGTCTGAATTCACTGAGGGCGAAAATGTGGTGTGTAGATGGGGCAGAGAACATGAAAGGAGGTTCAGGAAAGGCCAGAGATTACATTTAGCATTCCTGAAAGCCCCTTTTGGCCTTTGGCAACAATTAATGATCAACACATGGAAAAAGCCTTTTCCATTTCAAGGGATGACTGATTTTGTTATCAGCAGCTTTTGCTGAGCCTTCCTAGGTCAGATGTCTGTGTGCGTGAGAATAAGCTCAGTGTGTACAGTGTTTATGAAATAAACATTTTTCTGTTTCTGATGCCAAGCTGGCTATCAGGCCTGACTGCTAATACTCATGGCTTGGTCAGGTGCTGATAAATTTCTCTTGGTACCTTTCTTCCTTCTAGTGATGACCCCATCCATTATTTTAGGAGCCAAATTAATTCCCCAGTATGGGGAGGGAGTGATGCTTCCCAGGCTGCCAACCACAGCCTGGGCCCTCACCCCTCCTGTACTATGCAGTTGGATGGGGGGCTCAGAGGAGGGGGTGCTGAAGATTAAGCCCAAATGTCTGATAAATCACATAATATTTATTGGGCTTTGAGTGGTTACACAGGGTGCCACAGAGACAAAATCCCCAAAAGTTTGGATGTGAATATCCTGAAAATATGAAATGAAGTCAGCCAATCCATGATGTATCTATGTGACACACTGAGAGGGTGTTTTTAAACACCTCCCTCCCGTACACAACAGAGACCTTAGGGACCGTCTGCTTCAGTTTAAAGAAAAGTTTCCCCAAAACGTTGTGGGCATTTGTGTCTCTGAGAAGGAAGAAAGCTGAAGCCAGCTCCAAACAGATTCCACACTTGTTTATAAGTCTTGAGCCTCTGGGACATAATTCTCTCAAAGATCACATCCCCAGCAAGAAAAAAGAGTCAAGAGAGATGGATACCCGGCTAGGGCTAGGGAAGGAGTTGTCCTCTCACTCTTGGCCACTCTTGGAATTTCTTGAAGTAATCAAATCTTGAGCCTGGGGATTTATCCACGGGTTGGAGCGATACTTATATATGTATTATTAAAACTTAACAGTGATCACAGCAATTATTTATAATTTAGATCAACAAAATGTTATTTGGGGGAAGTAATTCATCACTGACATTGTTCAGAATTGGTGGGATATAATGGTAATTTAAAAATTGTTCAGAATTGGTGGGATATAATTGTAATTTAAAAATAAACAACTTTTATGCGTTTTATTATGAATTTAAAATTCTATACAGTGAATGTCCCCTTCATTGCCTAGACCACAGCCCTCCCACTGCCCTTGCCTGGGTATCTACCTCCAGCTAATGAACTTGGGTCTTTAATAAATAATGTTAGTCTAGGGCTGCCTTAACCTTTGCAAAGTAAAAACATCTGTACCGTCTGCATTTCTATAATTGTGATTATATTTATTTATTTATTTATTTATTTATTGAGACAGGGTTTCGCCCAGTCTGGAGTGCAATGGCACAATCTCAGCTTATTACAACCTCTGCCTCTGGGCTCAAATCATTCTACTGCCTCAGCCTCCTGACTAGCTGGGATTATAGGCACATGCCACCACGCTCAGCTAATTTTTGTATGTTTAGTAGAGACAGGGTTTCACTCTGTTGCCCAGATTGATCTCAAACTCCTGAACTCAAGCCATCTGCCCTCCTCAGCCTCCCAAAGTACTGGAATTACTGGTGTTTCTCACTGTGCCTGGCCGTGATTATATTTAAATTGTGGTTGGAAGAGGAGTCAGAGTAAAGAAGAAAAGAGGAGACTAGGTAATATAAAAAGAAAAAGGAGTTTGAGACCAGCCTGACCAACATGGTGAAACCCCATCTCTACTAAAAATACAAAAAAATTAGCCAGGTATGGTGGCTCATGCCAGTAGTCCCAGCTACTTGGGAGGCTGAGGCAGGAGAAAAGCTTGAACCAGCGAGGCGGAGGTTGCAGTGAGCCAAGATTGTGCCACTGCACTCCAGCCTGGACGACAGAGTGAGACTCCGTCTCAAAAAAATAAAAAGAAAAGAAAAAGGGGAGAGAGGCATATCAGAATAAAGAAAATAAACAGGGAGAATGTAGCCAGGAGTGGGGGCTGCACCTGTACTCCCAGATGTTCCAGGAGCTGAGGTGGGAAGATTGCTTGAGCCCAGGAGTTTGAGGCCAGCCTGGACAACATCACAAGACCCTATCTTTGTTTTTTGTTGTTTTGTTTTTTTATTAAGAACAACAACAACAGAAAGGGAGAATGTGACAGGAAGAGATCTTGGAAATCTATTAAGCCATTAGTTTCTTAAAGTGATGTTTTATTTTAATTTTTATCAAAGTCATATGTGGGCATAGCTTAAGAAAAGTAGAGTCATTCTATAATGCTTATGGCAAAAATCAGCCCTTTCTGGCCCCTCCCAGCTTCCATTTCCTCTCCCCAGAAGCAATCATCTTCCTTTCTTTTAGCTTTTTCTTCTAGTATTCAGCTCCTTGTTTCTGTTTCTTGATTTTTCACTTTTTGATATTAATCACTGATTTCCTCCACCAAGATAAGCATTTAATTGTCTTTCACCCTCAGGCTCTAATCAGGCACGCTTCTCTTACCTTCAAATTCTTTTAAATCACATTTTTTGTTAAACCAATATTCAGTCATAATACTTAATGACTATTTGAATATTATTTATAGCTAAGCAGTGTAGAGTACTCTAATTGCATTTATTTTCTAGTACAAGCTCTTGTTTTATCCCTGACGTTAATAGTTGCCTTGGTTTTCATTTTTTTTTTCTCTGCTTACTTTTCCATGTTTCCATTTAACTCACTCTCAAACTCTGTTAGAAATGTAAACTCCTCTTTAAACATTCAAATGCACCAGGTAACCTCTTGTTTCCTTTTGCTTTTTCCCTTGGGGACATCCCCCCCCCCCCCCCCCGCCCATAGCCTTCCATCACATGGCCCCAATCTAGATGGGTTTCTCTCTACGCTGGCTGCACAGTGAGTGTTCTGGGAGCTTTTTAGTGTCTCACACTTGGTCTTGGACAGAGAGCCAAGGATACTTTGATATCTGAAGAAATCCTCTACCATGAAAGGCAGAGGCCAAAACAAGCAGACAGGGGGAAAGTGAGACCGAAGAGGTACTCAGTGAAAGCACCAGAAAATGGTACACCCAAACAAAGGCATTAATGCCTCAGATACTGAGATGTTAAGTACAACCCCATTATAATTCCAGGTCCTGTATATGTGACCTGTTTCTGTTTGTTTGTTTTTATGTTTATCTGTTTCTTATTTTGTTTTTATCTCCAAAGGCTTTTAGGGTATCTTTATATCTTAACGTCAGAAACTTCATAATGGTGTGACTCGGTACGAATTTTTGTCCATTCACTGTGTAGGTGGCCCCTTGGTGAACCCTTTAAAGTAGGCAATCATGTCCTTCAGTTCTAGGAAAGTTTTTTAAAATATTCCTTTCATAATTTCCTTCCCTTCATTATCTCTGTTTCCTATCTCTCTGGCGCTCCTGTTGTTGGATATTGGGCCTTGTGGACAAATCCACTCGTTTTATCTATTTCCTATTTTCTATGTATGGGCAAGTAGGTGGGCAATAAGTAAGGATATTTCTTTTTTTTTTTTTTTTTTTTGAGACAGAGTCTCGCTCTGTCGCCCAGGCTGGAGTGCAGTGGTGTGATCTCGGCTCACTGCAATCTCCACCTCCCGGGTTCACGCCATTCTCCTGCCTCAGCCTCCCAAGTAGCTGGGACTACAGGCACCCACCACCACACCTGGCTAATTTTTTGTGTTTTTAGTATAGACGGGGTTTCACTGTGTTAGCCAGGATAGTAAGGATATTTCTTAATTTATACAATTAAAAGAAAGAAATGAATGCTTAGGAGACTGAAAGCTGCGCGCGCGCGCGCACACACACACACACACACACACACACACACACACACACACACACACACACACAAATCAGGACTCCTTTTCTTGACAGAACTGAGCTGATTTTCAGACTCGTAACTCACTGACTGAAAAGGCCAGGTCCCCAGGAGAAAGAATGCTACAGGAACTCCCAGTCCTTGCCCAAAGAGATGTATAACCATGCATTTGGCTAACTAGATGCTGGGGAAGGGAGAATACACAGACATTCTGAGAACTTTCGGATTCATGGTCTGAATTGGTCCCCAGGCCTCTAAAGCAAATAATAGCCCATTGTTAGAGATGAAGCATGTGGGAGTCAGGTAATAAAAGGAGTTCTAGTTCAGGTTAGACTCACCATGGGTATACTGGTTCCACGGACTCACCCAGTGGCCATTTCCCCAGTTCCTGAATTTATCACCGGAAAGGATGCATGTGGTAGATGGCAGAACCCCTTGCTGATTCCTTAGTCTGTGGGTTAGGAGCTGCTATAATGAAAAAATCTGAGGACCCTCCTTAAAAATCCAACACAAAACCTTAAAATATTATATCCCAAGGGAAAGAGTGCCATCCTTAAGACCTAAAAGATACAGAGATGGTAATCTCCAGCATATTTTCATTTAATTCATCAGTCTGGCCCCTACAAAAAGGAATCAGATCCCAGAGCATGACACTGGACTATCTCAAACAACGAAGTGGAAATCTCAATTGCAACTACTGTGCCAGAAGTGATACTTTTGCTAGGGTAAATTCACATAGCTTCAGATATATGGTATATGGACATTGATCTGGCATGTGCATTCTTTTTCATCCCTAAGAAGGAGGATCAGAAGTAGACTGTATTCATTTGGGAGGATAATAGCATACATTTACACTTTTGTCCCAGGGTCATGTTAACCCTCTCACCCTCTGCCATAATACAATCTGCAAGACCTGACACATCTGGACATTCTGAAGAATATCACATTGGTTTATGCTATCAATGACATCATTGATGAGTCAAAAGTGGCAACTGCATCAGAAGCCTTGGAAAGACACATTCACTCCAGAGAGTGTGAGATAATCTCTGTAAAGATTCCCTGCCAAATCAGTAAAACATGTAGGGGCATAGTAATTTGGAGCATGCCAGGAAAAGACTTCCAAAATAAAGGTCGAATTATTGCATCTGGACTCTCCCACCACTAAAAGGAAACACAACACCTGATAATCCACACTGCTCTGACCCATTTACCAAAAGACAGAGATAGCTGACAGCTTTGAATAGGACCCAGAATAGGAAAGGGATCTGCAGCTGGTCCACAATGCAACGTAAGCAGCTTCACCGCATGGGCCATATTATTTGGCAGACCCTCTGGAATTAGTTATCTGTAGTGGGAATTGATACCATGTGTAGTTTATGACAATCCCAATGCAAAACAAAATACAGTTCATAATACTTGTGCTCTGAAGCAAGGCCATGCCTTCTTCATCAGAGGATTGTATGTCATTCAAAAAAAACAACTCCTGCAATCTATGTGGCTGTGGTTGAGTTAGAACTCATGACCATGAGACATGCAGAGATAACGGGGCCAGAGATGCCCATCATGGCCTAGGTTCAAAACGGCCCATTAAGTCCTAAAACCACTAAAAATCCATCAAAATATGGGAGCAGTGCAGCCAGGCTAGAGAAGGATAAGTCCGGGCTAGAGAACACAAGTGAGCTAGAAAACCGGTGGTCCAGCCCTCATGTCAACCACCACTGTTGCATTAGTACCTCTCCCTCAGCTCACATCTGGCCATGTCGTGGCTGTGGTGGTATGCAGGTGGGGGGATTGTCACTTTTAACCAGCCAACAGATGAAGGAAAAGGCCAATCATGGTTAACCAATGGTTTAGTTCAATATGTGGTAAAAGCTGAAAACAGGCTGTGGCTGCATTACACCCTCCATCAGGGGTGGCCTTGAAAGGTAGTAGAGAGAAGAAATCCTCCCAATGGGCAGAGCTTTGATTGGTGCACCTGTTCATCCACTTGATTTGAAAAGCTAAATGGACCAGTAAGCATAAGTATAGACTCATGTGCAGTGACAAATGGCCCAGCTGGTTGATCAGAGGCCTGGAAGGAGAAACCTGGGAAGATTAGAGATAATAAAGTTTGGGGAAAAGGAATGTACACAGGTCTTTAAAAGTGAGCACAAAATGTAAAGATCTCTGTATTTTATTTTGATTCCCACCAGAAAGCACCCATCATGGAAGAGGCACTAGACAATTAAGTAGACAGAATGTCTATGCCGGTTGCTGATAGCAGACTGTGCCATCTGCCACTCCAGTACTGGCACTATGTGTGCATGAAAGGAGTGGCCATGGAGGTAAGAATGGAAGGTATGCATGGGCCCAACAGTATGAGTTTCCACTCACTAAGTTTGATATGAATAATCCCACTGCTGAATGTCCAATCTGCCAACAATACATGAGCCCTCAATGTAGCACCATCCCTTGAGGAATCAAACCAGCTATTTGGTGGCAAATTATATCCCTTCCATCATGGAGAGGGTAGTGATTTATCTTGACTGCGCTCAGCACATACTCCACATATGGCTTGTGTTTCTTGCGTGTAGAGCTTTGGCCAGCACAAATCTCCAAAGACTTGTGGAGTATTTGATCCGCAAGCCCAGGATGCTTCATGTAATGGACTAAATTCTGCCCCCTCCCCCCAAACAAAAGTATGTTGAAGAGCTAAACCTTAGTACCTCAGAATGTGACCTTATTTGAAATTATGGTCATTGAAGATGTAATTAGTTAAAATGAGGTCATACTGGAGTCCGGTGGCCCCCGATCCAATATTACTGCTATTACTGGTGTCCTTATAAAAAAGGGAAATTTGAACACAGATATAAACACAGGGAGACTACCGGGTGAAGATAAAAAGCAAGAATTAGGGTGACGCTTCTACAAGCCAAAGAACTCTAAAGATTGCCAGCAAACCACTAGAAGCTAAGTGATAGGCAGGAAACTGATTCTCTCTTACAGCCCTAGCAAACTAACATAGCACATAATGTCACATTAGACCAAGGGACAAAATTTGTAGCAAAAGAGTTACAGAAGTGGCAATATGACCATGGAATTTCCTGGTTTTACCAAATACTGCATTTCCCAGAAGCTGCCAGCCTGATAGATTAATGGCAGATCAATGATCTTTAAGATGCAGCTGTGGTGCAATTTAGAGATGCTATCTCGTAAAGACGAATCACCATCCACCAGAACGCAGTATACAACCTGAATCAATTACCATCACATGATGCTGTGCTCACAATAAGTAGAATACATGGGTCTGGAAATCAACAGGTGGTTTAGGAGTAACTCTGTTGACAATGCTTCACATTAAATCACTTGCCATTTTCTGTGCTTCCCATTGCCACAACTCAAGGCTCTGCAGGTCTAGAGATCCTAGATGGCGAATGGTTCCACCAAGAAACACAGCGGAAGTCCCTATGTCTTGCTATGGCTGATCATTCCAGAGATCCTTTGCCAAGAGTGCAGCAGACAAGAAAGAGAGTTATGCTCCTGAATGCAAATCAATACCATAATGTGGTATTGCAAATCAATACCACAATGATATACCATCTCACACCAGTCAGAATGGCTATTTAAAAAGTCAAAAAATAACAGATGCTGGCAAGGTCGTAGAGAAAAAAGGAATGCTTTACACTGTTGATGCCAGTATAAATTAGTCCAGCCATTGTAGATGACAGTGTAGTGATTCCTCAAAGACATAAAGACAGAAATACTATTTGGCCCAGTGATCCCATTACAGGGTATATACCCAAAGGAATATAAATCATTCTATTATAAAGACACATACACGCTATATGTTCATCACAGCTCTATTCACAATTGCAAAGATATGGAATCAACCTAAATGCCCATCGATGATACAATGGATAAAGAAAATGTGGTACATATACACCATGGAATTCTATGCAGCCATAAAAAAGAATGAGATTATGTCCTTTGCAAGGACATGGATGAATCTTGAGGCCGTTATCCTTAGCAAACTAATGCATGAACAGAAAACCAAATACCACATGTTCTCACTTGTAAGTGGTAGTTAAATGATGAGAACACATGGACACATAGAAGGGAACAACTCACAGTGGGGCCTCCCAGAGGGCAGAGGGTGGGAGGAGGAAGAGGATCAGGAAAAATAAGTAATGGATACTGGGCTTAATACCTGGGTGAGGAAATAATCTGTATAACAAACCCCCATGACACAAATTTACCTATATGACAAACTTGCACATAGACCCCTGAACCTAAAATAAAAGTTTAAACAAAAAAGAGTTATCTTCCTGATCATCAGAGGGAAATAGGACTACTATTAAACAATGGGTGTGGGAAGAATATGTTTGCACCCAACTGATTCACTGGCGCATCTCTTGGTATTTCCCTAAGTTTGATAATATTTAATAGATGGACAAGGGAAGAAGCCACAGACTGAGAAGGACGTGGTGACCCAGGGCTCACAGTCCTCACGATAAGCATTTGGATAGCCTTATAGGTAAGCCACCTAAACCAGCAGAGGTGTTAGGATAAGGAAAATCAAGAACTGGAGGTAGAAAAAAGAGATTATGGGTGTACATCTGCTGTCCCAAGACCAGATGCAGTGGTAGGGGCTAAATTTATCCACTAACCTTCCTCTTGTATGTTTCTGCCAGAAAAGAATCCCAGAAGACCTTTCTCCAGATGTAGACTTTTTATACAAAGCAAGTAGATTTGAGTTTTGCAAGATGTGGATTGTAGTGGAGGCTGTGGTGCACCACTCACATCACTTCCTTGAGGACTAAGGTGCTCATTGTCCAAGCTTTTGGGAACATTGCCTATTGGATGCTTGTAGCTGAGACTCTACCACAGATCTGATTCCAGCCAAAGGTAGCTGTCTCATCTAGGGTTATCCCAAAGGATGATGTCTAATTCTTGTCTAATGAATATTATACCCTCTCTTACCTCACTGAGGTATAATAGTTTTACTTTTTAAATGTTTTTTTGGCTTTCTTATCCTGTAATCATCTCTATTTCTTCAGAGTCTTTTTTGTTTTAACCTTTTTTCTTCTTTGCCTTTATATTAGGGGACTTTATCAAACATTTGAGAATCCCTTGGCAGTCTGTCCAGTCACATTTAAGGTGCAAATATGAGACCTTAAAAAGCCACCTGCAAGCTCTGGCGGAGGAGATTCCATCCGATGGGTTCACTCTGAGGTTATCGGAATTGGGGCCCCCACCCCCTTTCAATGTACATATTTTCTTTTATCTTGAGCAGATCCATTTTTCTAGAAAAGGAGTCCTCCACTGTTATGTGTCTATGAGGGATGGGCAGGTAGGTTATAAAACAGCTCCAAGGGCTGATAGTGGGGTAAGAGGGTCTCATTAGTCAGTATGTGAACAACCATGGTCTTTTTGATTGCTTGTGGCTCCTCCTCTCTTAAGGATTTCCCTGAGCCATAGTCCCTATGAGAAATGTCTTCAGAGAAGCAGCCTCCATTCTTCTCCCTCAGTTGGGTAAAGTGTGGTTACGAGGCTGCCTCGGCGAGGGGAAAGAAATTTGGTATAGTCTTTCAGCCAACACTCCCACTTTTGCCTTCCCAGTGCCCACTTTCAGAGCTACTTCATCCTAAAGTCTGGAGCCTTTCTGGAATTGTGCAACATGAATCACATCTTGGTTTTTCCACACTAAACTTATATTCTGGCTCACCCTACTCTGCTAAGTCAGTTACCTGCCACTAGTCCATCAGTGTTCTATCTTCTAACCATTCTCCTTGCCCTTCTCTATTGATGCCTTTATTTCCTTTTGCTGTCACTCAGTGTGGTTTCAAGAGAGATCAGAGGTAAATATATGTGATCAACTCTCCATGTTTTACCCCCACCTATTTTATAGATGGAGAAACTAAGGCCCCGGAAGGGATTATGACTTGCTGAGGTCATACAGCATTGCTAGGCTATAAATAATATTTTCATGTAGATCCCCAGGCCAATGTTCTTTGTGAAGAAAACAGGAGGAATTCAGGAATTCAATAGTGTGGTTTGGTTTGGGGAGGGGGTATGTATACAGAGAGAGCACTGGTAGGGGGATCCTGAAATAAAATGAAGAGATGGGCAGAAAGAAGGGAGATATTTTCATCCTTAGGTCTTTTGGTCGCTTGTATTTGTCTTCAAATTCTTTCAAGATATTTATTGTGTACAGGACCCTCTTTCTGTGTTTCCCACTATTCTATTGCAAGACAGACTTCTCACTATTTCTATTCTGTACTCCATTCTTTCCCAAAAAATAGATGGTATTTTAAAAATGTGGTTCTACTCAACTTGCCCATATCCTCAAATGCTTGCAATGACTCCACATTGCCTATGGGATAAAGTCCAAATCCCCTCGTTTTTCAATAATTTTGAACTAGGTGAGGAGAGAGGATGACAAGGAAAAGTAGAAGGAAGAGATGGGAGTAACTTGACAACAGAAGGGAATAAGTGTTGCTGATCAGGAGAGGTTGAAGATGACTCTGAGGTGAAAAGTTTGGGCGTCTTGGGGGATTTAAAACAGGAGAGTCAGAGGCGTTGAGCTTGGCTTTAAACATGACAGCCACACAGAAATGCCTAGCAGACAGATGAAAATAGGAGGTGAAGGATGCCTCAGAGGATCTCAGGATTGGCAAGTTCTTCTGTGATTCCCAATCCAATGCTGAAAGAAGTGAGAATATGATAGCTCCAAGGATCATCAAATCAAAGGGAATCTCTTTGAGATGGAGATATTTGAGTGGGTTTAAGTAGGGGAGAAAGAAGAACAAGAGGAGATGGGGCTGACTGGTATTTCTAATGTATAAAGTGCTCTTTTTTCTATCAAACCTGAAGCATACCTAAAACATAATTCCCTGATTCATACTGTAGTATTGATAACTATATTCATTTCTTATTGCTTCTCTAATAAATTACCACAAACTTAGTGCATTAAAACAAGACAAGTTTATGAGCAAGCAGTTCTGAAGGTCAGATGTCCAAAATCAGTGTCACTGGGCTAAAGCCATGTGCAGGCAGGGCTGGTTCCTTCTGCAGACTCCAGGGGAGAATCTGTTCCTTTGTCCTTTTGGGTTTCTAAAGGCTGCCTGTACTTTTTTGCCTGTGACCTCTTCCTCCAACTTCAAAGCACTTCAACCTCTTGTTCCATTGACAAATCTCTTTTTTCTGATTTTGAGCTTGTTGCCTCCCTGTTACAAAATCCTGGTTCTTATCCACCCGGACAATATGAAATAATCTAACCATTTCAAGGTCCTTAATTACATCCGCAAAGTCCATTCTACCATGTAAAGTAACATGTTTACAGGTTCTGGGGATTAAGTCATGCATATGTTGGGAGACACCATTATTCAGCCTCCCACACTTTCTGAGCTAAGTATATTGATATCACTGAGTGACTTAGTGAATGAATGATTGAAGACTTTTTAGCAATTCGACAATATTTATTACTAAATCCATTATGTACTTGGTCATGTTTCATACTGTTTTCAGAGGATGGCTAGGAAACCAGTGTTTATTCTACAAACTTGATCCTGCTTGGTCTCAAAATGAATTTTCAGTTATATTAAAGTGGCAGCCAGTTCATTGACTACCATGGAATTAAAATAAGAGAAAGTGGCAAGCCTATTTTCATCATTCTGATGTAAAGCATTTGACTACAATAAATACAAGCAGCAAAATAAAGACACAGATGTTCAGTGGATCTGGGTCTCGACTGGGCCCTAATTTCTCATACCCACTCCCCTTAGCCTCTTTTGCCTCAGCTGACTGGTTCTTGGCTTGGTTTGCGAGGTACACAGCACCAATTCCAGGTGAGGAATTCCCAGTCTTTAGGTGGGGGAGTAGGGATTTGGACGGCTTTGTCATGCAGCTTTTTAAGCCCTGTCCACAGATGCCCAAAGTGCATGCCTCACAATTGGCTGTGTCATGGGATCCTTCCAGGGACACTTCCAGGATTACTGGCATTTCTGGAGACTTCCTCGTGCCATTTCCATAGTATTTCTTCAGTATATGCTGCACCAGGTTGCTCAGAATCCTCATGGTGCTATCCGAGGAGAACTCAGGCATCTCATATTGGGACCAGGAGCACTTCTGGCACCTTTGGCCAAAGAGCCTCATACGCACCTGACCCTGGGATGTCCAGTGCTCCCAGTACGTGTGGCACAGAATCTGCACTTGGGCGGAAGCCCAACTTCGCTGGCAGGAGGAACACCGGAACCTGCAGTCAGAAGGAAGACACCCATTATGCCTTCATCTGGTTGTTAACCTGAGGGAAAATGGTCTTGGCCCCTGTCACTAACATCCTTTTCCATTTGAAAAAATGCATGTGATTTAGATTGTCCCAGTCATTGATAAACAGGAACAAGAAGGACTATGTTTCAGATAAGGCTTTTTCCTGTGACCTACTGAGTATCCACCCATATGTTACACCCAAGTCTACCTCTTTGCTAGTAAAACATCTCCAGATGCCTCTGAGGGAAAATCATGTCTGCCATCTTCCAGAGAAACTTATTCCTAATTTTGGTCATAGAAAGCTTTGGTAAAGTATCTATTTTGATGCATACAATATAATTGGTCTTTATAATTTTATCCCATTTCATCTGTGAAGTAAGCACTATTAAACCCAATATCCAGATAAGGAAACTGAATCATGAAAAGGATACGCAACCTGCTTAAGGACACACAGGGTAAATGTTAGAGGCATGCTGCTAATCTCAGGCCATCTGAAATTCAACTCATTTACCTGCTGTAACACGTTGCCTCTGGTGAGTAGTGTAGCTAATCTCTCACACCTGGAGAAACAGACTGCATCCCTCATACCTGGGTTGAAGATCCAGTTTACATCAGGAAGACCTTGGGCAAAGCCCTTCCCTTCTATAACCCTCATTGTTTGAATCCATAAAAAAAAAATTCAAGGGTTATATTGGCAGCATCAAAAGAGACGATGTATGTGAAAACACTTTGTAAACTACAAAATGCTTTTCAAAAGCTGATTGATATTTTCCAAAAGTACACTGGTAGGTTGCTTTTCCGATCTCGAAATGACAATCAAATCAAATCATCCCAACAGGAGAAACACCTTCTTTCTGTTTGGAGGAGTGCCAAAACGTTGTAAGACATCATGAGTCCCTCAAAAAGCTCTGGCTGGTGTGGACAGAAATATTTACACATTTCCCTGGATTAGAAAGCAGAGCAACATGACTGCTATACGGGCTCTGACAAGTGACTTGAGAACTGTTCTGGAGACGTTTAGGAGGCTTTATTTAAACAACAGATTCTGCAGCTAAAAATAAGCATATACTGTATTTGATACAATATATAATAATACATATATTATTTATAAATTTATTATTCTGAAATACATAGTACATATGTATATATAATTATATATCATTTATGTATACATATACATATATATTTTATCTTATCCCATTATCTTATGGGAATGTATACGAAGGAATACTTACTCTGCCTAGGAGAACCAGAGAATGCTTTTAGGAGGAGGAGGCACTAGAGTGGGCCTTGAAGGATGAGCAGGGAGGGGTGAGGGGAGGGTCTGCTGAACAAGCAGAACTCCATGAACAAGAGTGTGGAAGTCTGAAGATGCATGGCATAGCTAATAGTCCATAAGGAATGGAGTAGGCCATACCTGAGGCAGGATGGGGCAGGCAGGCAAGCTGAGTAATAGGTCAGATGAAAACTATACCGAAGGTCCTGTGTGTCATTTAAAAATAAATTTGATTATCCAGGTCAGCAATTCTCACCCTCCTAACATGGTCAAGGAAACTGGTTCCTGCAACCTGGAGGCTTGCTGGGGGTTAAAGAGGGAAGTGGTGAGTAAGGGAGGAGTATTACTTGGTGACTCCATGAACTGGGTTTTAGATTTAGTTTTTGCAACATCATTCTATACTATTATCCCCAGGCCTTCAGTAAAGCAATGTTCAGAGTAACTGCTTGATCTTAGCCAATTCTTAAGATATTTAAAAAAAAAAAAAAGGCTCCGTCCCAGGCTTGTACTGAACAGTGCCAAGGCTTGGAGAGCTGGTGCAGCTGGGGGAAGCTGGTCAGGACTGCTGGGGAGACTGCAAAAGACTCTAGAGGTAGTCTGGAACAAATGACGTGGTGAGAAACTAGAAGGGAAAATTTATGGAATAGGGAGCCTTCTCCAGGGTTTTCCAGAAATATTTACGGAGGGAAACCTAGTAAAAGAAGAAACTTCCAGCAGTTAAACAAAATGGAGGTTTGGAGTCGTCTTATCATGTCGACCCTAAAGAGTACTATGACCACAATAGGATGGAGGCCCTGGTGACATTTACTCCTTCAACAAGCTCTCAGAGGAATAAATCATGCTAAGCTGAGCCTGAGCCTCTCTTCTCAGAAGAGCTATTGCCTGGGAAACCCACACTCACCAGCCAAATGCTCTCTGTTGGTATTGCTTCCACCCTTGAGCCAGGCAGTCTAGCTGAAGGTTGCCATCCAACTTCAGCGTCCATGTGGCCCGGGGTTTTGCCTCTTGGATTAGTTCTTGAAATGTCTGCTCCCAAGTCCAGAAATCTACAACCATTTTTTCCCTCTGAAGCTGAGAGAGTAGCTTTCAGGTTTGCTCGTTTCTCAGGAAGAGACAAACAGTTTCAGTTTCGGTGTTCGGTTCAGTTTCTGTTTCTGTGTATGGACATGAGCTGTTTTTTTCAACCTTCATTTTAGACTGTCTGAGTACACAGAACAAGTCTTTGTTCTGAAAACAGACAGCAGCAAAACTGTGTTAGTTAATAGGCCTTGCTGAGAGAGAGATAAAGAGCTCTGTTCTAGATTCTGGGGTCACATATAAATTCGCTTTTATTTTCTCTCTCTCATTTTTTATAATAGGCAAAGTGAGAGGTGACAGCATGCTGGTAGCCCTCGCAGCCCTCGCTCGCTCTCGGAGCCTCCTCGGCCTCGGTGCCCACTCTGGCCGCGCTGGAGGAGCCCTTCAGCCAGCCACTGCACTGTGGGAGCCCCTTCCTGGGTAGGCCAAAGCCAGAACCGGCTCCCTCAGCCTGCTGGGAGATGTGGAGGGAGAGGCACGGGCAGGAACCGGGGCTGCATGCAGGGCTTGCAGGCCAGCTAGAGTTCTGGGTGGGCGTGGGCTTGGCGGGCCCTGCACTCGGAGCGGCCGGCAGGCCCCCAGCCCTGGGCAGTGAAGTGCTTAGCACCTGGGCCAGCAGCTGCGGAGGGTGCGCCAGGTCCCCCAGCAGTGCCGGCCCACCGGCACTGAGCTCGATTTCTCGCTGGGCCTTAGCTGCCTCTCTGTGGGGCAGGGCTCGGGACCTGCAGCCCGCCATGCCTGAGTCTCCCCACCCTGGGCTCCTGCATGGCCCAAGCCTCCCCGACGAGTGCCACCCCCTGCTCCATGGTGCCTGGTCCCATCGACCGCCCAAGGGCAGAGAAGTGCGGGCACACACGCAGGACTGGCAGGCAGCTCCACCTGCTGCCCCCGGGGCGGGATCCACTGGGTGAAGCCAGCTGGGCTCCTGAGTCTAGTGGGGACTTGGAGAACCTTTATGTCTAGCTAAGGGATTGTGAATACACCAATGGGCACTCTGTATCTAGCTCAAGGTTTGTAAATGCACCAATCAGCACCCTGTGTCTAGCTCAGGGTTTGTGGATGCACCAATCAGCACCCTGTCAAAACGGACCAATCAGCTCTCTGTAAAACAGACCAATTGGCTCTCTGTAAAATGGACCAATCTGCAGGATGTGGGTGGGGCCAGATAAGAGAATAAAAGCAGGCTGCCCCAGCCAGCACTGACAACCGGCTCGGGTCCCCTTCCACGTGGTGGAAGATTTGTTCTTTTGGTTTTTGCAATGAATCTTGCTGCTGCGCAGTGTTTGGGTCTGCTCTGCCTTTATCAGCTGTTAACACTCACCCGGAAGGTCTGCAGCTTCACTCTTGAGCCAGCAAGACAATAAACCCACCAGAAGGAAGAAACTCAGAACACATCCGAACATCAGAAGGAACAAACTCTGGGCACTGTGCCTTTATGAGCTGTAACACTCACCATGAGGGTCGGTGGCTTCATTTTTGAAGTCAGTGAGACCAAGAACCCACCAATTCCGGACACAAAAGCACTGTTTTTGGCACTGGGAAAAGAGTATCCTGTAGCTAAGAAACAATTCCTGCCCCCACAGATGCTCACACCCAGGTGGAGACAGGGAGGTTAGGAGCAGCGTAGGGGAGCACGTGTTTAATGCTCATCTCCTACACCCCATGTATCCTCACCAGTCCCGCGAAGGATTATTCTTGGAGTTTTGCAGGTTAACTGCACAGAAAGCTGGGGTACTTTGTCCAAATCCCCTCAGTTAACGAGCAGTGGAAGTGAGACTTGAACCCGGGTCTGTGTGACTCCAAAACCTGCCATGTGTCCGCCCACCTCACTCCCTGAAGAGAAGCTGAGAATGGCATTTCAGGTTCCAGGCTGGCACACTGGAGCCAGTGTCAGAGGAACCGTAGGGAGATTTCCTGGGTCCTGAGGCAGGAGGTCAGCTGCATGAAGGGATTATCAAACTCTGCCCTCCACTCTGTAAATTATGTGGAAGGGCAAATACGCACAGGTGTGGGGGCCGTCTTTCAGTGGTAGGATACAGAGAATTCCCATTTTGGGGTAAGGGATTGAGATGAGATGACCTTTAAAGACACTTGTAAGTCTAAAACGCGGAGATTCCAGAGAGTAAGCTTTGTCCTCCTGGGGCTTAAATTCAAATAGGGGAGATAGGACAAGCAGGATGCTTACTTAGGTCTTTAGAACACCCGCTACAGCTTCTGTGTCTGAGACAGGATCAGCCTCAGTCTTCCTGGGTTTTCTAGGCTTCCATGTGCCCTGTCAGCGACTCAGAGACACCCTCTCTCTTTCCTTCCCTTCCTGGATACCTGTGTCTATACACATGATATAGGAAGCTCTAAGAACTTGTAATTGGATCCACAGGATGTTAGAGTTGGGAAAACCCTTAGAAATCAACTTATCCCTTTTCCCTTTAATTTTTATACACGAGAAAACTGAGGCTGGGCACCGTGGCTCACGCCTGTGATCTCAGCACTTCGGGAGGCCAAGGAGGGTAGATCACTTGAGGTCAGGAGTTTGAGACCACCTGACCAACATGATGAAACCCCATCTCTACTTTAAAAATTACAAAGTCAGCCAGGCATGATGGCGCATGCCTGTAATCCCAGCTACTTGGGAGGCCAGGGCAGGGGAATTGCCTGAACCCAGGAGGCAGAGGTTGCAGTTAGCCGAGGTCATGCCATTGCGCTCCAGCCTGAGTGACAAGAGCATAACTCCGTCTCAAAAAAAAAAAAAAAAAAAAGAGAAAAGAAAACTGAGACCCAGAGGAATAAGGTCTCTTGCCTAAGGTCACACAGCAAATTAGTGCCAATACAGGGCCTGGCTTCAAGTTCTGCTCTCTTGCTCCACCCATGCATAAATCATTTCTCTACCCTTTCTCTTCACTTTCCGCTGGGTTTAGGATCCCAAGTCCACTCTACTTATTCTGTATCTTCAGAGTGTACCTTCAGAGAGTCCCCTTACCCCTGACACCTCAAATGCTCTGTTTTTCCCAAAAGGTAGCTTGATCCGGCGCATTGCATGCCTTCATGATTTCCTTCTGCCTCTTCTTCATGTGTGCCCTTTGATATACCCAATTGTTCAGGTCAGCCTGGTCCTTTGCATGGGGGTTCAGCAGGAAGATTAAGGGTAACATGTGTTGAAGAAACACACTCAAAGTGCTTTTTCTATTCTGTCACTCAGTAGCAATCAACACAAAAGACTTCTAACCTAATATGTGGGGAGTTTCCTCACCAAGCAAGCAGTCACTTAATTCTGCAGAGGACACCAACTAGATGACCTCTTATTCAATTCAGTTCTAATACTATCTACCCCAACCCAGCATGAGATCCCAAGGGTGGAGGGCCCAGTCCACAAGACTGTTCCCCTACAACTTCAGGCTGGGGCTTGGGGCCAGTTGAAAGCCCCATGTTATTTTACCTGTGCTTCTGACCAACTGGTTATACATTAGGATTCCCTCCTTAAGTTCGATTAATTTGCTGGAGTGGCTCATGGAACTCAGAAGAACACTTACTTATGTGTGCCAGTTTATTATAAAGGTATTAAAGGCGATACAGATGAAGAGATGCATACGGAAAGGTATGGGAAGGGGCATGGAAGCCCACCCTGGGCACACTATCCTCCAGGAGCCTCCTTGTGTTGGGCTATCCTGAAGCTGTCTGAACCCTGTCCATTTGGAGCTTTTATGGAGACTTCATTACGCAGGCATGATTGATTAAACTATGACCACTGGTGATGAACTTAGTCTTCAGCCTTAGAGATTAGGGGATGAGACTGAAAGTCCCAACACTCTAATTCTGCCTGGAACTTTCTGGCGACCAGCTCTCATCCTGAAGCGACCTAGGAGCTGCCGGCCACCTGTCATTTCATTAGCATACAAAAAGATCTCTTCAGAGATTCTAAGGATTTTAAGAGTTGTATGCCAGGAAATGGAGTCAATGATCAAATATATATTTTACAGTATCACTTTGAGATTTGAGGGCTGGATGAAGCCCACTACCTACCTTCCTCATTACCAAGAAGGAACGGAAAAAGAAAGAGAAGGAAAAGAAGAAAATACAGCCCCTTCTGCAACCCTACAGTGTACTTAAGCCACTTGGTGGGTGGTTTGTTTGTTTGTTTGTTTGTTTTCACCAAGGCATTGTAACTCCAGAATAATAGAATTGTGGGACTTGGTCATTGAAAGAGACCTTAGATATCTTGTGACAGCCCCTCCAATTTCACTGAGACCCAGTGAAGAAAATGACTTACCCAAGGAATGCGATGTGATAGTTGCAACCTTCGAGCTTTCAACTGTTGACGGTTTATCCCAGATTGGTTAAACAACTGCTAAGAGACAGCTGGAAAAAAAAAAAAACTGATGAATTCTGAAGAAGCGGGGCATAGCAAAATTTAGATTCTTAACCGTTCAGAGCTGAAATGAATCTACAAGGTCTTATAATCCTGGGATGGCAAACAATGTCTCTCCCCTTTTCTTGTGTAAGACAGACATTGCCAATCAACCTTCTCACCTTTCCCTCGGGGTCTGGGTGTTACTTAAGAATTTCCCTCATCACAGCTTTCTAGGCAGCCACTAGAAACTGATTGGTATATGAAACATTTTTGCCATTTCTGCAATAGTCCAACAAATTACAAAAACTGAAGTCAAGATAGATTTGGGTTAATCAAGGCTTAAGTTCAGTTTTTGGAACCTTAGGCATGTACCCATTTTTGGAATATCATATGACCCATCACAAATAGGGCTAGCACAAAACTTAACACATAGAAATATGTTCTTCTTGGGGACATTTTAGGCTTGGGAAGAAAGGAGGCTAGACAAGAGTGATAAGAATTGGTGGGTATCTGACTGAAAGAGATGAACGTCTATGGCACTTGGCTGGCAAGGCCAGCTCTTACCCCAGGACACTTGTCCAACCTCTGTCTTGGTGGCCAACTGCTCTGTAAAAGGTGAAACAAGAAGTAAAATGAAGTGTGACACCCAGAGCCAACTGCTACTCAGGCCTAGGGGCTAAGCCTGCTAAGAACACCATTCAGGAGGGCAAAGATTAGATTAAAGGTAACCTCTGAGAAATAGCAAGAAGAAATGTATAAAATCAAAAGAACTAAAATAAAAACTTACAAGTTTCCAAAGGGGCCGTTTGTTTCACAGCTTCTGTGAAAATCTGCTGGGCCTCAGGCCTCTTGAGGCCCATTGTTCAGATGTGGAATTTGCCTCAACAGACAATCATTTGGATATTTTTTAGTAGAAAGAATGTCTGTGAGCTTAATGAAAGCTAAGCCCTGGAGAGGTGACCAGTTGAGACCACTGCAAATAGAGACCCCGACTCCTATTCTTGACAGCCACCTCCTCTATTTCAGCACAAATGGTCTTAAAATCAGAGGCAGGACTTTTTCTGCTCTGTTCCAAGGCTGTGGTGAACATAGGTACCCTACATATGCAGAGTGTTTAATCACCCCCATATCAGGCCAATGTCAGGAAACAAGCAGGCCAAAGCTATACTCTGTAAATGAACTTTTCTCCTGTTCCTGATTCACTTTACCAATCTCTCACTCCTGCCCTCAGGGATCACTTTTCATATTAACTACTTGCAGCAAGTTCTTGCCTCAGGCTCTGCTTTTAAAAGAATTTCAACCAATACAGAGTGCAACTTATTTTCTTTTTCTTCTTCTTCTTCCATGTGTAAAAAAGTCCGTTTCCAGTCTGACTTGTAAGAAGCTTGGAAGTCATCACCCCCATCCTCATAGCAAGAGAAAAGCTGAACGAACTGAAAATCAACAACTCTTCTTTTTTTTATATATATATTTTATTTTATTATACTTTAAGTTCTAGGGTACATGTGCACAACGTGCAGGTTTGTTACTCTTAAGTACATCAGAGAATTGAAGTCACAGGGCAAACTGCTACCCTGAAAACTAGAGCAATAGATGGGCAGATACAGGGAGTCACAGCTTATCAGAGCCAAAGCCCAGGAATGGAAGTTCACAGCCGGAACTAGTACTGGTAGGGTAAGAACACTTTAAACTGAAATTGGCAATTGCTGGAAGCTCAGTGAGAACAAGCTTGAGAATTAAATAATTGGGGGGCAAGGGCTCGGTTTTAGGAGAACCCTCACACTTTCAGGAGTTTTACCTCCAGGAGCCCCACCAGGTTGTCACTATGAAGATAGAGAAAAATCTTCTTGTGCATTCATCATGTGAGGAGAAAAATAACCATTTTTGTTAACACTCAGACCTCTCTGTTCTCCCTAACAGTCTGCCCTCAAGGGCAACTGTTTCACCAGAGTAACACACTTGAGTTTACCAATGCCTAATCAACCTGAGAGAAGGGAAATGTGAGCGATAGGAACTACCTCCACTTGTTTCATGTGTGACTTCCTTTCTGCATGACAATGAGGACACAGCCCTCCATGCTTACAGGGTCAGGAAAAGAGAGTCTGGCATAAGCTCAAGGAGTCACGGCTGCCTGTGTGCTTTTTTCTAGGAGAGGAACCAAGTCCCACACAGTTCAGACTAATTATCTACTCAGCTAAAAATATCTGGGAGAGAAATAAAGAATTCAATCAGCCATCAAAATTTCTAAATATATTACAATAATAATTAAACCACCAAGCCATGGAAGAGATTTTAAAGGTTCCCTAAGTTCCATTTATTACTTGCTGGCTTTGTAATAGTTAACAGCTAAGTTACAAGTAAAAACTTGGATGCTATTCCCAGAGTTAGCCCATGGGAAAAGCAATGAACTTAAAATTAGAAGAAGACAAAGTTATCAATTCCACTTCCAATACTTACTGAATTACTTAATCTCTGTGAATCTTAATGTCCTTGGCTGTAAAATGGAAATAATACTCATTCCATTAGATTTAATGATGTATATACTAATATGACATATACATGGACAGTAATAAAAAAATAGATAGGGTTATTTCGAAAAAGAAAGACTATGAAGTGGCATAAGTTAATAGGACTTAAATGGAATACAACATTTGAACTCATTATTTAATGAATGAGAAAGAGATAGGGCTCACATATGGAAAGGAAAGAGATATTTAGAACAAGAATCTAGAAAGTGTCTGTGTCTGTGCGTTCAGGAGAAGAAAAGCAAAAGATAAAATGAATAAGATTTGGAGCACTTTATCTCTTCGAATGCACCTTTATACCCATATCTATATGGTTTCTACAATAACCCAATGGTTTATGTCCTTTATCAAGAAATGTTTCAGAATGGATGCATCTAATGGAGCTTTGTAAAATATAGATACCCAGGTCCACCTCTGGAAATTGATTCCACAGGTATGGGGTGGGACTTGTATTATTTAAAAGCTTCAATAATGATACTGAAATACTCCTGGATAAAAATCACTATAAATAGAAAATATGAAGCTCGAGAAGTTTGACTGACTTGCCAAGATCTCACTTTATGAGTAGCAGAGGTACAATGTGAAACAAGATGCTTTAACTACCACTTGTGTGCTTTCTTCCGTGGTGAAAATCTGGAAGGCAGGGTCAGCCTCTGAGTCTATTCATTATGGCTGAGTTGACCTGGCACTGGAAAGCAGCTTGCTGTCTGATGGATGGAGTCCAGGAGACAGCCACAGTCATTATGTATGAATTTAATTAACAGCAGAGGACATTGAAAGCAAGGGAGGAGAGCTGTGAGAAACAGAGGCAGATCATTTGGGGCTATTACAATGCAAAGCTGAGGCGAGGCCACACAGCCTGCCAATTATAATGCCAATATGTAGTAACTTGACTTTTTACCTCTGCAGTCTCAGTCTGGGCATGAGAATGCAGCTCGGGCCTCAGTGAGACCCCTGTATCCCCTCTTGATGGCAGTGAGAATTTTACGCCTGTGCAAAGAGCAGCCAGGAGCCCAGGAAATGAGAAGGAAACAAACAAGCCCACCCAGGGGTGGTTTGATGAGTGTGTTAAAGGACTCCTGATTTTCACCTCAACGCAGATGTTTTGCAAACATTCAGACTCCTTTCCCCCAGGACAGTTCACAGGATTCACACTGTAGTAGTTTCAGAATTTGACCTAAAGTCTTCCACTGAAGTTATTGATTCTCCTGAGTTCCTTCTGATGGGTCATTTTCACAGCCTGTTTTGTGTACCTCTCTGCGGGGCACTCTTTTGTTCTCAGCCACAGGATCACAGATTTGGTTTTTCATTGTTGTTGGGGCAAAGAGGTTGATTCCCTCTTTCTCTGCCAGCCCTTCAGACAGAGATTTTCTTTTTTCATTTTCATATTTAAAAATCCAGATACAGGCTGGCCCTATGAGCTTCAGTTTTGAGGTATCAGTCGCATACATCAAGAATGTAGAGAGGGATCAGTGTCAGTGCATCCTACTGCTTCAGAACAAAACCCACCGTGCACAGGACGGGCTCTGAAGACGGCGAGGCTGGGAGATCACAGATGATGAATGTTGCTCAGGGCAGCAGCCACTATTGCACACTTTTCTCTCCTTGTGCTTCCCTTACAGCCCCAGGATTTATAATGCTCTGTCTTATCCAATTTTGGTCACAGCCTGATGGATGTCATAAGGCTGTAAATACTCTGAGGTTTTACTTTTCTATGTATGTTTTCTCCTACTTTGTATTTGCTATAATCCATGTCATCCAATAATGGATTAATTTTTAGATCCGCTTTTTGTTCTTGCTAAGCTCCTGAGATTTGGAAGATGAATATTGATAGTATGAATATGTGAAACTGAGCTGAAAAATTATTCTGGCACAAATATATAGGGAGAACAAAATGCAGTATTGTCCCAGGGAATCTGATAAACACAAAGAGAACCAGATTAGAGATAAGAGGACCTGGATTTAAATCCAACCTGTGCCACTAGTCAATTGCCATGATCTGGATGAGCTGCTTCACCTCCCTTTCTGTATAATAAAGCACTGGACCAGGTAGTCTCCAAGTTCGGTTCCAGTTCTGTCATTGTATGGATGGATCAGGGCTCTGGTTCTCCATTAGGAAATGCAAAGAGTCTTCCCAGATCTCAACTTGGTGATGTTGACAGCACCAGGCTGTCCCAAATGTGCAGTGGAGTGATGAACTTGAGCATAGTCCTCCTGAAGGCCAGAGACCTGCCTCCTGGTAGAGCTTACTTTCCCTAGAAGAAAGCAGAGACTTGAGGTGAAGCTGGAAGAGGGAAGGGTGATAGGGTAGATGGGACTGGTCGCCTTGAGGAAGGGAAGTTGCACTAGAATCTTGGCTACTTGATAATACCAAATAAAGATGTTCAATGTGCAAGAGGAAGCAGTTTTATCCCCAGTGGCTCCAAGGGGCTGAACTACATGCAGGAGACAAGAGCCTCAAGGAGAGTAGCTGTTTCAGCATGAATACACACAACCATCATTCCAAGCTGTGGGAAACTATGTAGGTTACCCCACTCACTGCTCTCTCCAGCTCCCTCTCCCAAGTGGTAGCCCAGGAATTTTGATATAGCATAAAGAAGGCCAGGTTAAGAATTAAACACTTGGATTCAAATCCAAGCTCTGCCAGGACTGGGTTGTAGTGACTGGGTGGAGTGACCACATGGTGAGGATATTGAGTAGTTCAGCATCAAATGTCAGCTGGGGAAGATGACTCTAAGGCCTCTTCCAGTCTTAGATTTATGAAAATCTTTGGGTATCTCTCCTTCTTTCCCTGAAATCAAAACTAAAATATGGAAGAAATTGGCATGACTCTGCTTGGTCTGGTGCCAGTCAAACTCTTGGTATAAGTAGGTTAAGTGAGCATTTGTTCACAAAAAGATGGTAAAATCTAGGCTACTACTTCTCCATAGCTTCCTCTAACCCTCACATCAATGAGCACACAATGATTTATATTCATTTGTAGCCTTCTGAAATGTTTTCATTCTTCTCTGTAATTTCCTTAAGTGCAAGTATTAGACAGATTTGAAATATAACAAGTACTATTGAGTCTAGCATTATGGATAAAATCCAATTGAGAATTGAAACAAAGCAAGACATTACTTAGAATCTGCACTTAAGCAAAGAGGCATGATATACATTTATTCTGCCAAGACAAGTCAGGTTTGATGAAGAAAATCCATCCTACACTCCTGACCCCATTCATTTTCAGTGCCCTTCACCTCCATTTATGTAAGTCAGCCAGTTTCATGGCCACATACTAGACCTTGTCATATTCCAAGCTATCTATCTGTCTAACCACATCCAGCTCTCCAATTCAGCTACTTCCACCAAGTCCAGTATTAGACCTTGCAAATCCCTGACCTCTCCATCCATCAGTGCTCTGCTGCCTTTACCTCCTTCTCTCTCTAGTTTAAAAAAATGTAGTTCGACACTAGGAATTGTCCCATATTGCTTGTAAAAATCTCAACCTAGGATTAATCTACTCCCCACTTTATTCAAGCCTGCTGAGTGCTGTTAGGAAAACACACACACACACACACACACACACACATACACACATACATTCATGGCATTGCACATTTATGTTCCCCTATCTCAGTAGAGCCTTCCGTATGGTCCATAAATCTCTCTGCTTTCTTTTTTCCCACTTTACTACAGCTATTTCAAACTGTGTCCACTATCCACAAAATTTCAACTCTGCTGTTTCACTGGCTTACTCTCAGGAAATGACCTTACCTCCTTCACAGAGAAAGCTGAAATCTTCAAATGAGAATTTCCTAAAGTTTATGCCACCAAACCTATAAACTCTCTGTGTTCTGTACCCATGTTTTTATCCTTTGCTCCTACTTGGATAGTAGAAGCATCCTTCAATCTATGTTGAATAATGACTTCAGTGCTTCCCCCAAATCTTGACATTTTAATTTCCCCTGCTCTGTGTATCTAATTTTTTGTTGTTGGCCCCTTCCACTCAGCGCTTAAACATGTTAAAGTAAGTCTTTCTTGTCTCAAATGACCCCAACCTTAACCCTGTATCCCCTTCCCACTATCATTGATCTCCCTGTCATAACCACATTTCTCAAGTGAGCTGCTTACACTCATCACTCTGCTTCCTTCCCTTTCAGCTACTTCTCAACACACCCCCTCTGATTTCTGTCCCCAATACACCACTAAAGCCCATCTCAACATAGTCGCCTTCAAACTCCTTGTTGCTAAGTCCACTAGGTGATTCTCCATCTTCCTAGTGTATACTATAAATTGTATATTGTGGCCTATTTGAAATCATCTTTCTTTGACTTCTGTCATACTGCACAGTCCTGGTTTTGTTTGGTTTTGTTTATTTCCTCAAGTTGCCTGCCACTTTCTAAATAGCCTTTGGATTCTTTCTTCTATGCCTGTTAGTGTTCTTCCGAGTTCTGCCTTCTTATCTCATGCCACACTCCTCTTAGGCGGTGGCACGCATTCCCATGTACAATTGCATTATATATCCTGATGCCCAATACACAGCCCCAATCTCTCCAGAGTTTCCTGATCTTATCCTCAGTTACTCCCTAAAAGTCTCCACTTTGATTTTGAAAATGACAAAATCCAATTTGTCATTTTCTCCCTCAAACCAGCTCCTTCACCTTTATCTGCTGTGTCAGCCAAGGGCCTTATTGCCATCACCTACTAGCACAGCCAGAAGCCTGGATCCCAAGCTGCTCCTCTTTCTCCTTCTTTTTCTGAACATTGAATCAAACAAATCACCATACCCTGAGAATTCTTCTTAGTGAATTAATATCTTTTAAATCCTTCCATTCCCTCTGCTAGCACACTACTTAGGTCACCATTATCTCTGTCCTCCCTGATTCTCTAATCTGTTTTCTAAGCTGTACACAAAGTGACGTTTTGGGTATTCAGTGGCAATTTCATCATGCCAATCCCTCAATTAATACCATTGTTTCTTCTTTAGAGCAAGGCCAAACTTCTCAACTTTACCCCATAACTCTTCATGGCCTGGTCTCTTACCTCTTCAGACCAAGGTTTTTCAACTTTGGCACTCCTGACATTTTGGGCCGAATAATTCCTTGTTGGGGAGGTTGTCCTGTGCGTTGTAGGCTGTTTAACAGCATCCATGGCCTCTACCCACTAGATGTCAGTAACACCACCATGCCAATTGTGATAATTAAAAATGTCTCCAGACATTGCCAAATGTTCTGTGGAGGGCAAAATTCACCCTGGTTGAGATTTACCACGTTAAACTAATTTATCACTACATCCTACACCCTATATGTTTGAAGTTCTAGCCATACTTAACTTTCCTCTACTCTGCTAAGGAACCATTTTCATTTTTTAAAAAATGTGTAATAGTTTTATTGAGATATAATTCACATAGCATACTATCCATTCATTTAAAGTATACAATTCAATGGCTTGTAGTATAATCACAAAGGGGGACAACCATCACCACAATCCATTTAAGAACATTTTATTAACCAAACAGAAACATTATACCCATTGGCAGTCACTCAGTTTTTCTCCAATTCCCCCAACCCTAGGCAATCACCAGTCTACTTTCTGTCTGTGTAGATTTGCCTCTTATGGACGTTTCATATCACATAATACATGGTCTTTTGTGGTTGGCTTCTTTCACTTGGCATAATGTTTTCAAGGTTCAGCCATGTTGTAACATATGTCATTACTTCATTACTTTTTATTGTTGAGTAGTATTCTCTACAATTCTCTACTTTGTACATCATTGCAGTCTCTACATGGAGGTTTGTTCTTACTTTATGGACACTGAATTTTTTTCTCTTTCATTCAAACATTGCTCTTATATTTGTTATATCACTGTCCTTGTACACTGCCAACCCACAGTCTCTACTCTAAGTTCTAGAAGCACAGGTGTATTATGAGTGGCTTCAACAGGCCAATTTAGAAGCCATCTTGCTGTGATCTCATATTAATAATTGGGTTTCTCCTGAATGAAGTCTTTCTTAATCCTCTTTCTCTATCAACCTCCATTCCTCACTTCTCTTTTCATCCTTGCAGTTGAGTTTGGTAAGGTCAGAACTTTTGGGTTGTTACTATAGTGCCCTGTGCATATTTTTATCAAAGCATCACATCATCTGATACCTGTCTTTCTCACTAGTCTAAACATTTTGAAGGCAGAAACTATATGTTACTACTAATATATCCAGTACCTGACACATTGTCTGGCGCAAGTTAAGCATTTAAATAAATTTTTTGTAGAAACAAAGAAAGGAAGGAAGGAAGGTAGAAGGAAGGAGGAAGGAAGGAAAGAAGGAAGGAAGGAGAGAGAAAGAAGAAGAAAGAAGGAAGGAAGGCAGAAAGGGAGGAAGGAAGGAAGAGAAAGAAAGAGAGAGAGAGGGAGGGAGGGAGAGAGGGAGGGAGGGAGGGAGGGAATTAGTCCTTTGATAACCTGCTTTGTATTGTGATTTTCTTGGATGCAGGCCTGGCTTGGTGCTGGTCAGGCTTCCCAGAGCTGGAGTCTTGCCTTTTCACAAAATATGGAAGTGGCAACAAGAACTTCCTGTCAGTCTCTGTGACGACCTGCCCAAGTCACTGATGGCTGCCTTGCCTGGCTTTTATCTTAGATGTACACATGACCACTTCTCCTGGATTCCATGTTGGTGCTCTTCCCATGGACTCACTGACTGAGCTGCTGTCTCTCAATGTTCGTGGTTCTTTTCTGAGCTTGTGTGTGAGCATGTCTCTTGAGCCAGCTGGAAGCTCAATGCAGGCAGGGCAGGGGAAGCAGACAAGCTCATTTAGGAAGCTGGATCCACTGCTGCGGAGGTCAGGGAGTAAACATGGCGGCCTCCAATGGGAGACACTAAAGAGTAGATTCTTTCTTACTCGTTGTTGATTGAGGCAGTATGGAAAGATTTGTTTTGTTTTATATGTAGGTTTAATTTTATTTTTTATGTAACAAACAAAGCCCTGTTTGAAGTGTTTTACAAATGTTAACTTGCTCAATCTTCATAACAACTTCACGGGGTAGCTGCCATTTTTATTATCCCTGTCGAAATACTTTGTGCACACAGCTGATAAGTGGAAGAGCCAGGATTCCAAACCAGATAGTTTAACTCTAGAACCTTGCTTTACTGCCTCTCTCATTGCTGGGCCTTCCCACATGAGCTCTCCTTGTCTGGAGGCTCCTTCAGCATCTCTTTACCTGGCCCATGCCGACCTGCCCTTGAAGTATTACTCAGTATTCTCCTCTAATAAATAAGCTTTTTCTGCTTCCCCAGGCCTAGATTTGGTGCCTGCTCTATGTGCTTCCGTAGCACCCAGGGCATCTTGTATAACAATTTCACACTACAAACCTATTGACTTGACTGATCTCTTCTATGACTTAAACTCTTTAAGAGCAGGAACATTTCTTTGGCTGGTACACATTGCACTCTCACGCTCAGTAATGAAACACAGTTGACCCTTGAACAGCACAGGTTTGAAGTGAGTGGGTCCACTTATACATGGGTTTTCTTCACCTCTGCCACCCCTGAGACAAGACAGCAAGACCAACTTCTCCCCCTCAGTCCACGCAATGTGAAGATGACAAGGATGCAGACCTTTATGATCATCCACTTTTACTTAACGAATAGTAAATCTATTTTCTCTTCCTTATGATTTTCTCAGAAACATTTTGTTTTATCTAGCTTACTTTATTGTAAAAATATAATAAATAATATATATAATACAAAATACATGTTAGTAGGCTGGTTATGTTATCAGTAAGGCCTCCAGTCAACAATGTGCTATTAGGAGTTAAGTTTTGGGGGAGTCAGAAGTCGTACACAGATGTTTAACTGTGTGGTGGGGGCGGGTTGGTGCCCCTAACCCCCACATTGTTCAAGGGTCAACTGTACCTGGCAAGTAGTACATGCTAAAAAAAATTGCTTACATATATAAGTAAATCTAAATATTCCTATTTTAATATTAAAGTATAATGTCATTCTATAAATGCCCATTAGCCTCCCTGCTCCCCACTCATTGAGTTTGACTTAACAGAGTATCAAAGTAAAATAAAAATAACGGGTAAGAGGTTTTCCCAACTTTGCTCTCAAAACTGAATCACACTATTTAAACAAACTACATGATTAATATAGTAGATTCACAAAAGTAAATAAATCTATCCCTGTGTATCTCTACCACTTGCGCACTTGGCTAATTCTGAGAACACACTTAGAAGAGGCATTAAAAACCTGAATATATTACGGATGACTATCCCTTAGCCATTTAACCCTTTCACCTGGGTAGCAGCTGTGTGGCGGAGCAGGAAATAGTGAATTAACGCCACCTCAGCCCTGGAGGCAGCGGCAATGCCAATATGAGTATAAGCCAATTAGTGAGACCTCATGCTTCTTCAATAACAAGGAGTTCAGGTATTGCAGTCTGACCCAGTCAGTCCCATCTCCTACTGGGTCATGTGCTGTGCAGACGTGAACTGTGGGAACTGCTGCAAATTTTTTGTCTCCTTAAGGGAGGTCTGGCTTGGGGTGAAGACATCTGGAAAGCAGAGAACAAAGACTAAAAGAAACTTGGTCCTTGACAACCTCATTAGGCTATGAGGAAAAAGTCCTGTAGCGTTCAGCTTATCTCAGTGAACTGAGTGCTCATTCCCTTTATTGCCTAGACTTGTTTGGATTAGGTTTCCTGGTCCATGCACCGTGAAGGGAGTGCCAGCACACTGGAGCACGCCCGAGGACATATGAGCCGGGTGGCATGGAACTCTGAGGGTCAGCAAATGAGGCCACTGCCCCAGCTAGCTCTCAGATCACATGAAACATGGGAAAGGAAAGAAGCCTGAGCAGAGAATTCCAAGACCCTGACCATCATTTTCTCGAGCCTTCTGCCTACCCTTGTCAGGCTTCAGGAATGCAGACAGGCAAAGAAGAACTGCTGTATATCCAAACCTATTCAGCCCCTCCTTGTCTAGACCTAAAAATTTAAAAGGTCCACAAATAGTTCTTGAGCGATTCAGGCTCAACATCCAATACTGGGAAGGACAGGCTTCTGAAATCAGAGAACTTCATATTAAATAAAATTACTAGGGAATAGAGAGAACATTTCATTTGGATTCTGAGAATCTTAAATAAATATTTCTTTTAAAATGACATCATGCAGTTTTAAAGACTGCAAACAAAGAATATCACCAACAAAATTCAAACGGCAAAGGGGCACTAAATATCATGGAAAACCAAAGCAGGAGGGCAAAAGTTCAAAAACGTCTCCCAAAATCAAAGAAAAGAGAGAAGGTGGTGAACCATTGAAAAACAAAGATGTAAAGAACAAATGCAGAAGATCCCATTTAGGTATACAAAAAATATGGTAGGAGAAAAGTGCAAATTGAGGAGAAACAATTAAAGAAGAAAAAAAATGTTTCTGAGTCAAAAAAGACATGTTCGGGTTTGAAAGGACTTCATAAGAAGCAATCAAAATTAATCAATAGAGTTTTCTACATACACATACTCTGGTAAGTTTTAAGTTTTTTTAGATTGGTTGGGTGAGGTGTCTTACATGTATCCAGGCAGGGATGGGAGGAAATGGCTTACCTACAAAGCAACAAAAATTAGGTTGGCTTCAGGTCCTTTCTCATTAATATTAAATTCCAGCAAATATGATGCAACTTTTGCAGAGTTTAAAGGAAAAATATTCGAGTCTGAAAAATCTATCAAGTTATTTTCACTTGCAAAATGGAAAGAAAAAAAGGATCCTTAACAAGTAGAAACTCAATATATATATCTGCGCTTCCCAGAAACCTTATTAAAATTGTGCTCTAAAAGATAATTAAAATAAATACTCTAGGATGGGAATGTCTTTAGTGCTGCCATATTTAACATACATTTTGCTTTTAGTATCTAACTTTTTTTAACCATATTTAAACTTTCTTACTATTCTGCATACAATGTTAAATCCTAATATGTAACCTCCACAAAGCAGGGAGTTTGGCTTGTTTTTGTTCACTTCCACACCAAAACCAGAAAACCATACAGAATTGGTCCTTAAGAAATGTATGTTGAAGGAATGAATGAACTAACCAGAAATGAGTGCTAAATCAAGTATAATGCCTTTCCCCACATGATTTTTCTTTTTAAATAATTAATATTCTCATTTATATTCATAGACTTCCTAGTACTGAGCCATAACCTAGGAGTGAGCACATAACTCACTCCTGGCCAATTAGAGCACCAGATTTTCTGGCCACAGTGAATGGTTTAGTGATGGCATGGGAACTAAGCCGGACCAGTGAGATGCCACTATGGGGACTTGTGCTGGAGTTGCCAACAGAGAGATGCTCTCCTTCTGCTGGAGTACCAAGCTAATAGAATGTCAGCTTGTACCTAGACAGCTTGCCACAGCCAGGTGAAAATGTGCTTGAGAATGAAACCAGTACAAAGGGAAGCTTTAAGTACTTGTTTCCAGCATGCCGAAGAACATTCTGCCATATCTTTTGGTAATATGAACAAATCAGCTCCCTTTTTTTCTTAAGTCACTTTGACATGATTTCATTTACCACTTATAAATTAGAATTTTCTATATGTTTATGTTTTGTGCTCTCATCAAGTTTTAGCATCAGACATATCAATGCTAGCCCCATAAAAAGATGTAGGCAGATTTTCATATTGTTTGCATTCTTGGAACATGTTGGAAAGCAAATAACGCATACCTCCTTCCACCTTTATTTACAACACATTGAAAGATAGACACTGACCTGGGGGAAATTAAAATACCATACACCCTTTATTACCTGCAAAGATGGCCTGAAGGACATGAGCTCTGCGGACAAAGTGGGATCCTCCTAACAGAACTTTCCAGGCAACTGGAAGGTTCTGGAGAACCACAGCCTCTCCCACTGCCACCCCTACACCCACATACACAGGGTGGGGAGGGGTGGAGAGCCTTGTCTGGAGTCAGTTTTGGTTTTCTAATTTTCCTAAAGAATTCTGTATTTTGTTTAGATTTTCATCTAGTTATACTTTCCTCATTTCTAATGCTTTATATTTTTATTTTCTCCCTTCATTCAAGGCCCAAATTCCAAAGGACTTGCCTTTTTTTTTTTTTTTTTTTTTTTTTTTTGAGACAGAGTCTTGCTGTGTCAGCCGGGCTAGAGTGCAGTGGCATGATCTCAGTTCACTGCAACCTCCGTCTCCCAGGCTCAAGCAATTCTCCTGCCTCAGCCTCCCGAGTAGCTGGGATTACAGGTGTGTGCCACCACGCCCTGCTAATTTTTGTTTTTTTAGTAGAGACAGAGTTTCACCATGTTGGCCAGGCTGGTCTTGAACTCCTGATCTCAGGTAATCTGCCCGCCTCGGCCTCCCAAAGTGCTGGGATTACAGACGTGAGCCACTGCACCAGGCTGGACCTGCGTATTTTATTTATCTTTTTGAAGAATCGCCCCTTTTATCCATTAATTGTATTTTTTCATTTTTAGCATTCAGAGTCATTAATTTATGCTTTTATTTAATTAATTGTATAATTTTATATATGCATCTATATGGCTTATTTTGTTAACTTTTCTGTATTGAATTGAAGGCCTGGTTGTTATTTTGGGCCTTTTGAATTTAAATGTATGAATAGTGCTTATGCTTAGTACCAGCCCATACTTTTGCTGTATACTGTTCTTATTTTTGTTGATTTTTATATCTCAGAATATAGTTTTGATTTGATTTACAATTTTTTAAAGAAATTTGAGATTTTACTTGTTTAGTTTTTGTTTTTTTCAGTAGGTCTCAGTTTTGATCTAGCATTTATGTGGATCTAGCTTGATTGTGTGATAGTCCTAGAATGCAGTACACATTTTTTTTCCTGCTTCTATGGGCATATAATATACATTCTTTATAAGGTACCATATGCTAGATTATCTAGTAAATTCATCCTATTAATTATGTGACTAAACTCATTAATATTCTATTTTTGGTCTATTTGGTCAATTAAATTTAAAGACAAGGTGTTTAAAAACTCTTTTTTGTACAGAAAAATTGGAATGAATAAAAATTATTTAATTCTAGTGAGTCAAATTTTATTCTTATATCTAAGAACTGTGCTTTCTATATCTAGCAATACATTGTTTAAAGTGCATATAAGTTTATGACAAATATGGTCTTGATGTTTTAAATCAAATAGAAAATATTATCTTTTTCCATTTTTACTCCTGGCCTCAAAATTTATTTTTGAAATGTTTTTACATGTGTGTTTATTCATTTATGTTTGTTTTTGTTGTTGTTGTTTCTAGACGGAGTCTCGCTCTGTCACCAGGCTGCAGTGCAGTGGCGTGATCTCAGCTCGCTGCAACCTCCGCCTCCCAGGTTCAAATGATCCTCCTGCCTCAGCCTCCCAAGTAGCTGGGACTGCAGGCACGTGCCACCATGCCCAGCTAATTTTTGTTATTTTTAGTAGAAATGGTGTTTCACCATGTTGGCCAGGATGGCGATCTCTTGACCTCGTGAACCGCCCACCTTGGCCTCCCAAAGTGCTAGGATTACAGGCATGAGCCTCCACGCCCAGCCTATTTATTTTATTATATGCTTTTATGAGGCAAAATGTGATTTTTTTATATACGTGTACATTGTGGAGTGATTAAATCAAGCTAATGAACATATCCATCATGTGACATGCTTATTTTTTATGGTGAGAACTTCACAATTTTCAAGTATACAGTACATTATTATTAAATATAGTCACTAGGCTGTACAACTGATCTCCAGAATTGACACCTTCCATCTAATTGAAACTTGGCACCCTTTGACCAACATCTCCCCTTCACCACCCCACTCCTGCTGCCCCAGCCTCTAGTAATCGCCATTCTATTCTCTGCTTCTATGGGTTCAACTTTTTTTAGATTCCACACACAATTGGGAAATAGTCTCTTCAATAAACAGTGTTGGGAAAACTGAATATCCACATGCAGAAAAATGAATTTGGACCCTTATTTTATCCTATATATAAAAGTCAACTGAAAATGGAGTAAGGACTTAAATATCAGCCCTAAAACTATAAAACTTCTAGAAAAAAAGTAGGATAAAAGCTGCTTGTCATCGGCTTCAGCAAAAATCTTTTGGATGTGACTCTAAAAGCACAGGCAACAAAAGCAAAAGTGGACAAATGAAATTGCATCAAACTAAAAAGCTTACACATACCAAAGGAAACAACAGAGTAAAGAGACCAACTCTAGAATGGGGGGAAATATTTCCAAACTATGTAACTGATAAGAGGTTAATAGCCAGAATATATAAAGAACTCAAACAATTCAATAGGACGAAAGAAACCCAATTTAAAAATGAACAAAGGACATAAATAGATATTTCTCAAAAGAAGACATTCAAATAGCCAACAGGTATATGAAAAAAAATGTTCAACATCACTAATCATCAGGAAAATGCAAATTAAAACTACAATAAGATATTACCTCACACTTGTTTAAATGGTTTATATCAAAAAGACAAAAGATAACAAGTGTTGGTGAGATGTGGAGAAAAGGGAATACTTGTACACTGTTAGTGGGAATATAAATTACTATAATCATTATGGAAAACAGTGGAGGTGTTTCTCAAAATAGAACTACATATGATCCCACTACTGGCTATATATCCAAAGGAAATGAAATCAGTATGTCAAAGACATAACTCCACACTCATGTTCATTGCAGCATTATTCACAATAGTCAGATGTGAAATCACCCTAAGTGTCCATCAGTGGATGAAAAGATAAACAAACTGTTGTACCTCTATCCACTGAATACTATTTGGCCTTAGAAAAACCTGTCCTTTGTGGCTGGGCACGGTGGCTCATGCCTGTTATGCCAGCACTTTGGGAGGCCAAGGCGGGTGGATCACAAAGTCAGGAGTTCAAGACCAGCCTGGCCAAGATGGTGAAACCCCATCTCTACTAAAAATACAAACATTAGCCGGGCAGGGTGTCACCCACCTGTAATCCCAGATACTCAGGAGGCTGATGCAGAGAATTGCTTAAACCCAGGAGGTGGAGGTTGCAGTGAGCTGACATCGCGCCACTGCACTCCAGCCTGGGCGACAGAGTGAGACTCCCTCCATCTCAGAAAAAAAAAAAAAAAAAAAAAAAAACAAGAAAAATATGTCATTTGCAACAATATAGATGAACATGGAGAACATTATGCTAAGTGAAATAAACCAGCCATAGAAAGAAAACATTTGGGTTTTATGGTTTGTTTGGTTATAAAATATTTGATTACAAAATATAGCATACAGAAAAAGATGCATAAAACGTAAATGTGTGACTTAAAGAAGACTCATCTGTTCACTACCCAGGCCCAGTAACAGAATGTAGAATATGATGGAACTCTAAAAGCCAACAGTTCTTTTCAATCTTACCCTCAAGTATTAACCACTCTCGTGACTTTTATAGGAATTGTCTCCTTTCTCTTCTTCATATATCATCCACCAAAGTGTGTATTCCTTACTTCAAGGTTTAGATTTGCCTTTATTAAATTTACACTATAAAAATTATTTAGTATAAATTTGTTGTTTTACTTCTTTTGCTCAGTATTATCTTTTAAAGATTTACTTGCCTTTTGGGGAGCTATAGCTTTTTGGGTTGTTGATGATGCTTTATACTATTCCATGGTTTAAATATATGTTAATTTATTTTTCTCTTCCACTATTGTCTGCCATTTGGGTTATTTCCACTTTGGGGCTATTTCATATAGTGCTGCCATGAATATTCTTAAACAAATTTCTTGTGCATACATTTACATTGATTACACAACAATAAGTAGATTGTATTGTATGATACACATACTGTGTATCATCAAATTTGGGATTTGCCAAATATTGTACAAAGGGATTGTATCTATTTATAAGTCCCACAGACATGTATGAGTTTCTGTTGGCTCACATTCTCAGTGATACATGATTAGTCTTTTTGACGATAATGATTCTGGTGACTATATAGTGATACGTTCCAGTGGTTCTAATTGTGCATCCCTGAGATTACTAATGAAAGCGGTGCTTTTTCACATGTTAATTTCCCATTAAGTTTTCTCTTTTGTGCAATGTCTGTTCAAAATTCTTGGTAACTCTTGGGTTGTCAGCCATTTTCTTATTTATTTGTTTTTTGAATTATATTTTCTTCATACGAATCCCTTGTTGTAAAAATCTTCTCCCACTCTATGGCTTGTTTTTTCACCCTCAATAATATCTTTTGATTAACAAAATTTCTTCATTTTAATATACTCAAACTTCTCATTCTTTTATGGAAAAGAAATGTGTGTTTTTCGTGTCTTTTTAAATTAACTTTATAGGCCGGGCCCTCTGGCTCACACACCTGTAATCCCAGCACTTTGGGAGGCCGAGGCGGGTGGATCACCAGAGATCAGGAGTTCGAGACCAGCCTGACCAACATGGAGAAACTCTGTCTCTACTAAAAATACAAAATTAGCCAGGTGTGGTGGCACATGCCTGTAATCCCAACTACTCGGGATGCTGAGGCAGGAGAATTGCTTGAACCCGGGAGGCGAAGGTGGCGGTAAGCTGAGATCTCACCATTGCACTCCAGCCTAGGAAACAAGAGTGAAACTCTGCCTCAAGAAAAAAAAAATAAACAAACAAACAAACAAACAAATAAATAAATAAATAAATATTTACTGGAAATAGAAATTCTTCTATTTTATCTTATAAAAATATGTATTTTTTTGTTAAGTCTGTCACACTTAGGTCTCAAATCTCTTGAAATTAGTTTTTGCACGTGTTGTGAGATAGGGATCAAGCTTAGTATCTTTTACTTAGATAAAAAAAATACCCTTTCTCTACTGCTCTGCATTATGACCTATATCACATATCAAGTACTTATCTCTGCTGGAGTCTGTCTGTGGCTTCTCTAGTCAAGTTCATTGACTACATCCTTGTGCTGATATTATAGTGTTTTAATCACTGTGATTTTATAATGTCTTCATACCTTATATAGCATGGCTTCCTACCTTGGTTTCTTCTTAAAAGTATTCTGGGTATTTGACTTTTTAAATTTCCATATAAATTTCATAATCAGCTGAAGTTCCTTTGGGAAATTTGGGAAAAAAAGAATTCTTTGGGATTTTGATTGATATTGCATTGAATTTTCAGTATAATCTAAAAGAAGTGTCATATTTACAACACTATCTTCCAGTCCATGAGGAGTGTGTTATATCACTCCATTTAGTTTGTTCTTCTTTAATGTCTCTCAGAAATATTCTGCTCATCTTAAGAGAGACCTTGCACATCTTTTGTTAGATTTGATCCTAGATATTTGATATGTTTTATACTCATAATATATATTTTTAGAATTTTATGTGTTAACTGTTTGTTAAAGGTATGTATGAATACACCTGATTTCTGTACATTAATTTTGTATCTAGAAAACTTACTAAATTTTAAAATTATTGTAATAATTTATCTATAGATTTATTTAGATCTTCTACATATATAATCATATGTCCATGAAAATTACCATTTTAATCTGTCCTTTAAAATCTTTCATACTCTTTTATTTACTTTACTTACTACTCTAACTAGAGTCCCCTGAATAATAGTCAATACAAAAGCAGAACTTGGGCATTTTGTATTGTTCTTACTTTGAGAGAGAAGCTTTCAACATTTCACCATGATGTGTGAATTTGCTGAAGGTTTTATGAAACTACCTTGCAGGCTTGCTAAGAGCTTTTATCATGAATAGATCTTAAATTTTACTAAATATTTTTTCTTTATGTTTCTGTGATTATATGATATCTTCTCTTCTATTCATGTGGCAAATTCATTTATGATTTTTTGTTGTTGTTAAATGATCCTTAAATTTTTATAAGAAGTCAATTTAAATGGGATGCATTGTCTTTTTTATATATTGCTAGAATCCACTTGTCACTATTTTGTTTAGGACTTTATATTTCAGTGAAAATGAACTATAATATTTCTTTTGCATACCACTCTTGTCAGATTTTGATATCAAAACCATATTAACCTTAAAAAAACAAGTTAGAGATTGCTCCCTCTTTCTATTATATGAGATAGTTTGTGTAAGACTGACATTACTTCTTCCTTAAATGTTTAGTAGAATTATTCACTGAAACCATTTGAAAGCTTGAGGTTTTTGTTTGTTTTGTTGTTTTGTTTTGTTTTTGAGATGGAGTTTCGCTCTTGTTGCCCAGGCTGGAGTGCAATGGCACAATCTCGGCTCACTGTAAACTCCGCCTCCTGGGTTCAAGCGATTCTCCTACCTCAGCCTCACAAGTAGCTGGGATTACAGGCATGCACCACCATGCCCAGCTAATTTTTGTATTTTGAATAGAGACAGGGTTTCACCATGTTGGTCGGGCTGGCCTCGAACTCCTGACCTCAGGCGATCCGCCCCCCTCAGCCTCCCAAAGTGCTGGGATTACAGGCGTGAGCCACTGTGCTGGCCGAAAGCTTGAGTTTTTTATTTTGTATTTTGCCCTCAAGTAATGTATTACTTACCCTTTTTTCTTTTCTTATCTGAATTTATTCTTTTGTCTTTTATTTCTGTTGTGATTTGTTTTAGTTCTACTACGTATTTCTATTTTACTAATGGTTAGTTTTAAACATTTAACAAACACACTTAAACTTTATGCAAATACAAAACTTAGAAAGTGAAGTAACTATGTTTATATTCCCTCAAGAAGAGACTCTGAGTGCTTTCTCCTACTCTGTCTTCCTTGTGCCTGTTAAAATGATTGGAATTTCTACTCTGTCTGAGTTGTTAAAATATTTCTTTTAGTGCTTCCTCTTCCATAAGAAACTTGATTTATATTTTAAAATAAGACTTACTGGATTCATTGAGAATCAATATTTTTCTTGTGTATTTCATCTCCCCCAATCTGTCTTTTTTCCTGATTAAATTTTAATTTGGAAGGCATGCTTTTTCAAGTTCTCTGTAAGAGGCTCATGGGTTCATACTTTTGGAGTCCTTCTAGTCTCTGGCTGTGGAAGATCCTGTAATCACAGCCCTCTCCCACTGATATTCTTTGAATATTTCCCAGTGTCTTTAGCTTCCTTTGTTGAAGATAAGAACCCTAATGTCAAATTATTTCCTTTCCCTTGTAAGTAACCTATTCTGTCTTTTTAAAAACTTACAAAACGTGCTTTTTTATTCCTGGAAATTAGAGTTTTCACAAGAAAATGTTTCTGTTATTTCATTAATTATGTACATAATTCTTTGACTTCCAGTCAAAAATCTTTTTTCAGCTCCAGGAATTTTTTTTAAACTTTTTATGTTATTGTTTCTTCATTCTTTTCTCTTTCTCCTCCAGAGCTGCACATCTTTTTAAGTTATGCATCCTGAATCTACCCTCCATTTCTCTTTCATTTTTACTAACGTTTTCATTAATTTGTCTTTTTTTTTTTTTTGCTTTATGTTGTGGAGTATATTTTTAAGTCTGTCTAAAGATCAATAATTCAATTTTCAGCCTCTCCACATATTTTCACTCCTTCTAAAGATCATTTTAATTTCAGAAATCATTTTTAAATTTTCTTCCTAATTTCTGAGATTTCTTTCTTACTATGAGTTTTCTCTTAAGTAATATCTTCCTGAATCTCATTGAGAATTTGTATCAGAGTTCTCTCTTTTGATCTCTTCTTTCTCCTATTCTGTTTAAACCAGCCCTACTTTATTTTGACTTGTCAATATCGTATTTCTCCCTTTAGGCTTCTATTTCCCTCAAATGTCCGCTATTTATGTCATAGTCTTTTACTTTTTTTTTTTTTTCTATTTTCATTCTTATGAACACAGGCCTAGACCTACCAGCACCATCAGCCAGTATAAGTCCCTTCAACACTACGAAGGCTAGGCTGTGGAGGACTTACTTCAAGGTGTTTGTCCCTTTCCAGGTAGATCAACAGCAATGGGGTAGAGAGGAGTGGATTTCTAAACTGAGGAGAGAGAAAGGCCATTAGGTTCACCAACTTCTCCAGGTTCAGGGAGAGGGAAAAGTGAGCACTGCTAAAGAGCCGTGCCCCTCTACAGGACTGAGACCCACCAGGATAGCTGGTGTCAGCAAGGCTGAGCTTCTCCTGGGGCTACGAGCTGTATACTAACTGTAAGGCCGGGCTTCTCCCACACTTTTCTCCTTGTCCTCTGAGGGGCAGGCTATCATCCATGGCAAGCAGATCCCCAGACACTGCCTAAATCATCTCCATGAAAACCGAGGCTGCAGTCAGGTAGGTGGGACCTCTTCCAGGCTTCCTTTCTTCTCTGGTCTCTGGCCACATAGTGAGTGCTGAGACAGGGAGTGAATTCAAAGCATATAGATAGAATATTTCATTTCCCTTCTACCCCCTTAGAAAATACATTCCATTATTTGTAAATTGGAAAGTAAAAATAATTACTATCTTTAAAAAGGGACTTTTTTTTCCTGAGATGGAATCTCATTCTTGTTGTCCAGGCTGGAGTGCAGTGCTACACGATCTTGGCTCACTGCAAGCTCCACCTCCTGGGTTCAAGTGATTCTCCTGCCTCAGACTCCCAAGTAGCTGGGATTACAGGTGCACACCATCACGCCAGGCTAATTTTGTATTTTTGTAGAGACAGGGTTTCACCATGTTGGCCACGCTGGTCTTGAACTCCTGACTTCGGGTGACCTGCCCACCTTGGCCTCCAAAAGTGCTGGGATTACAGGCATGAGCCACCACGCCCAGCTGGGAACTCCTTTTTGAAAGCACCTTATGTGTAGAGTCAGAGGACCCTGCACTAGATTCATGGTGGGGAGCCAGAGGGACCTATGTTCCTCATCAGTGAAGCAGTCATGGTAGAATAAACCCAGGCTACTCCCCAGTAACCTTGTGAAAAATCGAACAAAACAAACGTGAAAATACTTTATGGGAGATAAACCACCATTAGAAAGAAAGCTGATGTTGCTATTAATGTCAATGAGAATGAGAGTTATAATAAAGAAAAAAAAATGGACTGCCTCAAATAGTAATAAAACATCCCATCACTAGAAGCATTTGTAAGGAAGGCACGCAACCCTCTCTCAGAAATGTTGGGGGAGATTGATGCATAGGACCTTCAAATCCTTAATCTCCGAGTCCCTTTTCAATTTTCTAAAACCTGTGATTTATTCAGTACTTGGCAAGTGTTGTAGGCCTGGGAACCAAAATCTCCCTGAAGTTAAATTTAACTCCATGAATTTGAAATCAAGGAGGAGCAAATATGTATTGTAAATTGGGGTAAAGTATGACTGCAACATGTGGCTAATGCACACAGACTTCTCTTTCACTAATGACAGAAAAAATTACAATGGGAATTCTCCAGTAAAATAACTAGCTGCAGCCCATTGGCATCACCCTGTCAGGCAGAGGGAGAGAGGAATCCCAGATTAATTAGTAAAATTTGACAAATTTTCTCTCGAGTCCTAGACTCCAAGCCCACCTGCTCCTACTACTTCAGAGGCTCAGAACGCAAAGCCTCCAGTCTGGGCCTAGATGTGGTGTAAATGGATACATTTATAGGATACAAGTTATCAAGAAAGTCCATTCCCCCATGCTCGAAAGAAACTTGGATGAAAATCACATCTCTGTCAGTTATGTCCAATATATTCTGAAAACTAATGAGCCTTGTTAGGAAATGAATGAGACTTGAAACTGACAGTAGAGCCCCATCCTCATGAAACCAAAGTGTAAGAAGAATGCAAAATGAAAGGAAAATCAATCTGGCTGTTGAGGCTTTGTTTGATTTACCTAATTGATGAATTCAACCAACACTTACCAAGAATCCTTTATATATTGAAGCCCTTGGTTCAGCACCTTGGAGAGGATCCAGAAAAGACCTGGAGACCTATTTTGTTCCTAAGATATTTATAGTATCAGGTACTAACAAACTATGACAAAGTAGAAAATAACTGTGATATGTAGAAGTAGGAGGTTCAATTAAGGAGTGAGTGGAACTTGGGAAGATTATTCTTACCAAGAGAATCGGGAAAACTTTCCTAGCCAGTCAATATTGGAGCTGAATCTTGAGAATGAGAAGAATGCAGACATGCCAGGAGGAAGGTGAGTCAAGGCACTACCTGAGAGGCAGGTGAGTGTGAGGACTGTTCATGGTACAAGGAGCTAATCCACAGCATTTATCAAGTGCCTACTGTATGCCAGGAGTTGTGCAGAGCTCTTGAAACAAATTATTTCATTTGATTGAGAAAACTGAGGCACAGATAGGCTGATCACCTTGCTTGAAGCTTAGAAGTGACAGAATGGATGCCATGTCTGGTAGTAGTTATAGGAGTTTGTATAAAAGGTGCTGACGCTAAATCAAGAGGACTTTGGATATCAAGCTTAGGAGGCAAATATGTCCAGCTCTTGAGATATTCTCTATAGGTCTTGTTACTGAAAAGATTGAACATATTAGTTATTAGCTAAATGTTTCTCTCATCGTAGTGATTTGGGATGTCTTGAAAACCTGGGCTTCTATGGCAGAAGTGAAGATGTTCAACTGCTGTTACTTTTTCTTACCACATGGTTCTTGCCTCTAAATTAAGCAGAACTCTGAAATAATCTAAGAAAAGTCTTACTTCAGTTGGAATCCTTTGACTCTGGCAGAGGAGAAGTAAGGAGTCTTGCCACAGGTAGGCAACAGACTGGTTTAGAAAGGAGTCCCCACCACTCACTTCAGCCTGAGTAAGAAAGCCCTATTGTGTGGAGAATAGACAGAAGAGGCTAGAACAAGCACCTACAAACCAGGGATCAGCAAACCAAGTTCAGCTTTCCACTTGCTTTGTAAAGAACATTGTAATGAAACAAAGCCAGGCTCATTCATCTATTTATTGTCTATGGCTGCTTTCACACAACGATGAAGTGTTGAGTAGCTGTGACAAAGTCCATGTGGTCCACAAAGCCTAAACCCTCTGGCCCTTTACAGAAAAATGTTGCTGACCTCTGAAACAAAAAACTCAGAAAATCCTAGCATATCCACATGGGAAGGGAGAGTGGCCATCCTGTAATCCAATTACCTTCTCCCTCTCCACCCTGCTGCCGCCCACACACCGATAAAGAATCTGAACCCAAGAGAGGAAGAGATTTGCCTAAAATCACAGAACTGGTAAGAGAGCATACTTGGGGTCCCTAACTGTTAGACTAATATTCCTTCTGTTAATACCACACCAATCCTGAAAGGCTAAGGTAAGTTGTTTTCTTTTATTTTTTTCCTTTTCTTTTTTTTTTTTTTTTTTTTTTTTTTAGACAGAGTCTCACTCTGTCACCAGGCTGGAATGCAGTGGCATGATCTTGGATCACTGCAACCTCCACCTCCCTGGTTCAAAAGATTCTTCTGCCTCAGCCTCCCAAGTAGCTGGAACTACAGGTGTGTGTCACCGCACCCAGCTAATTTTTGTATTTTTAGTAGAGACGGGGTTTCACCGTGTTGGCCAGGATGGTCTCGATCTCTTGACCTCGTGATCCACCTGCCTCGGCCTCCCAAAGTGCTGGGATTACAGGTGTGAACCACTGTGCCCAGGCAGGTAAGTTCTTTTCTAAGCAACTATTCAATAACTACTTCCTGAAACACTGGGTGCCCAGCACCATCCCTTCTCAGGCTGCTGTGAGGAGTACAAGTTGCAGAAAGGAAGCCTGATGCCTTCCCATCATGTGGTCTGCACCAGAAGTGGTGGGAGACCTCACACAGTGGAGCAGTACCCTAAAACCTGCAGCTTGCGAAGGGAAAGGATACAGCATCATAATTTCCCTCTTAACCCTCTCAGAAAGTCCCCACAATGCAGATTGACTTTACATTCCTCTATGAGTCCGATGCCAGCAGTCGGTCCTCCAGGGCTGGAAATGATTTCTGCTTGTGGATAATGCCTCAGATGAAGTCGCCAGCTTGCGTTTAGCAGCCGTGTAATTCAGGATGCCTACAACTCTGAGCAGCACTCAGGGAATGAGACACATTGAGGAAACGGCAGGCACTCGGCTGCCATCCTACCCTCAGCCTGGGCTGGGGCTCTGCTTAATGAGCAGAAGGTCAGGCGGCCTCCCCAAACTGTTCAAATTACTTTCCTGCTCTTCTTCCCCATCAAGCTCAGGTAGTTAAATGAGAGCAAGTGTGACTCCACTGAACATAGGAAGCAATTCGAGCGTGGGGTTGTGTGTGGTAAAGCTTTCAGTGTCTAATGCAGACTGGCCATGTAGGGGAAGTGTGTGGAGTGTATGTGTGTGCGGGTGGGGGGGTTTCTAATGGTTAGGAACCCTAATTATGCTCCCTTAGCAGTTCTGTAATTTTAGGCAAATCCCTTCTTCTCTCTTGGGCTCAGATTCTTGTCATAAGCTAGTGGGAAGAGGAGATAACAGAGTGGATTATGACTGTTTGATCCACCCCCATGAGTAGATTACATGGGAGCACCATGTTTGGGGAGGTGAGAGATTTCCTCAAACAGGAAAGTCTTTTCTGGAAATAGCGGAATTGGATCTGGACTTTTTATCAGAGATTTATAGAATCATGCAATCAGAATGTCACCTGAAGGTCACTGACTCCCAGGTGATGCCCAGAGTGAGAACTGCACCTGAAGCATCTGAGACAGACAGGCTGTGCTGAGTTATCCCAGCGGCACGCTCACTATTTCCCGGGGCGCCCGCCATGTATTCAGACAACTTCAATTGTCAAGTAATGATTCTTTACATTGAAATGAACTCACAGTTTTCAGTCCTGTCTTCAAGTCCACATAGAATGAGTCTGTTCTCCCATTCCTCATGTTGGCACTGAGGGTGTTTGCTTTAGGCAGTAAAGTCCCCTTTCTATCCCCTCTTCTGTCCTCCTGATCATGGAGCAGATGGATGGATGATGTGTGTGTACATATGTGAGAAGACATGTGTGTATGCACATGTACATATGTGTTGGGATATGCACAGGAGAGAAGAGGGAGTAAATACAGCAGTTCTGAATTAGTACAGTATAAAAGCCAGGTGGAAGAGAGGGTAGAAAAACAGGCAGGCTGTACTGCAGAGGGCATTATATGTGAAACTCACGCAGCTAGACTTGAAGTAGGAGAGTGACACAGCCAAACTGGCAGTTTAAAAAGATTTCTCTGTGGCTGGGCTCAGTGGCTCAAGCCTGTAATCCCAGCACTTTGGGAGGCCGAGGCGGGCCAATCACCTGAGGTCAGGAGTTCGAGACCAGCCTGGCCAATATGGTGAAACCCTGTCTCTACTAAAAAATACAAAAAATTAGCTGGGCATGGTGGCGCATGCCTGTAGTCCCAGCTATGCAGGAGGCTAAGGCAGGAGAATTGCCTGAACCTGGGAGGCAGAGGTTGCAGTGAGCCGAGATCGCGCCACTGCACTCCAGCCTGGGTGACAGAGGGAGACTCTGTCTCAAAAAAAAAAGAAAAAAGAAAAAAAAGAAAGATCAATCTGCCCTATGTTGCAGAGGAGATGCCTGCAGGACCAGGACAGGAAGATTCGGAAGAAAATATTCTAAGAGGTCCAAGTGAGAGACAGTGAGTGCTGAGCAAATCAAAGGACATAAAGATGGAGAAACAAAGTTACCTCCAAGAAATGTTCAGGAGGGAACCTTGGCAAGACCTGATGACTGGTGTAGAGTTTGACATGGAGAAAAGAGTCAGGGATGATGGCAAGGGGTTGGCTCGGGGTGATGGGACAGTCAGCAGATGGAACATCTTCAAAAGTCTGCCGCTGCCAGAGAGTTTTATTTTGTGGCCACCTCAGAGCCCTCCCAAAGGAGTTTCTGCAGAGAGAGAAGTGATACATTAACTTCATGAGTTGGCAAGGCATGAGGAATAGGAAACACTAATTACAGGCCAAGATAATTAACCAGCAGGTCTGGGATCAGCTGCATGTAACCTCAGCTCATCTGCTCCTGAAAATGACCAAGGGAAGATGTGGAGGAAGAGTGTGGGCAGGACATTTTGCAAATACTGAGGGAGCAGCTGAGCTCAGGCCTTGATGACACTTGAGTTTGATGTTCTCGGCACTTTGGCTCTGGTTTCTGGAGCCCTTGGGGGTGCCAGATGCACTGCAGCCGGCCAGCCGGTTGTCCAAACATCACTTATGCCTCTGGGCCACTAATTACAAGGCTCCCCTTTAGCCTTACTGCTGTGCTCCATTAGGGCTTGCTGGTGGCAGGCACAGGAAATGGACTAGAGGCCATTAGACCATCCAGATTGAGAAAGGTCAGGTCTTGCCTCTTGGGACAAAAGCCTAAAGCCTAGCTTTATAATCTGATGCTTGAAGCAGGAAAAAGATCTCAGGACTAGGAAAGAGGGATAAGTTCTCGTCCAAGCCCAGCCATATGACCTTGTGCAAGCAAATCATTTCACTTCACACAGCCTCTGTTTGCTTACCCCTTACCTAGGCATAAATAAGCCCTGGTTGGGAAGATCAGATGATATCAAAAGCACGGAAACACCTTGTGAACGGCAAGTGCATTTTAAGAGCTATTTTTACTGCTGTTAATGTTAATTTCTAGCACAAACATTAAGGCACACTGAACTGGGAAGGAAGAAAACAGGGTTTTAATCCCATTTCTGACTCTGATCTTCATGTGACCTTAGGCAAGTCACGTCTCTCCAGGCCACAGTTTCATCTGAAAACTGAAAACGTTGATTTAGATCAGTTATTCTCAACTAAAATTTTGCATTAGAATTGCCAGTGGAGCTTTGTAAAGATGTCCATTCTCCACCCCAGATATGCTGAAGCAGATTCTCTAGAGAAAGGAATGGTTCTCACGCCCACTGAGAACCATTGGAATGGACGGTCAAGTTTTGCCTGCCTCCCACCTCTGCATACCTGCTCCCTCCACTGCTAGAACTATAGGACCCCTCTCTTAGGATAAGGCTGGATGCAACCTTCAGCACTGACCCTATCCTTAGGCTGAGGCACTTAAACCACCTCAGGCCCAAGCTCTGGACCTCAGCGTCAAGTCCTCCGAGCCCCGAACTGGCTCTGATCTCTTGTCTCAGTCACATCTAAACTCCACCCAGACATCAAGATGTGGTGCTCACCTCATTCCCTAGGAGAGCTGCATGATGGCCTTGTCCAGCTCTGCTTGGAAAGGCATTGTCTGGCTTTTCTCAGAGTCTGAACCCTAGGCTGATGGGAGACCTGCTGCTAATGGAAAGATTGCCCTGCTCTGACCACCTGCAGGGATTATGCAGCTATCACTGGCTGTCAGACCCTTCCTTTTGTCATGCCACCTGCCTCACAAAGAACTCCTTCCCATCCTGAATTCGTGTTGGACAGCATGATGGGCTTCCCAGGACTACATGTGGCCTGTTGTGCAGCGGAGCAGGTGGCATTTTCTGCCTCTAGGCTGCCTACTCTATCCTTCCCTACTCCAAGCTTATTCCTACAGTGTTCAGCTGCAGCCAATCATTTTGTCCATTTCTGCCCCACATGTGATTTCAGTGGTTGCTAATATCCCTCAGGGCTGAAAAGAACCACAGCGGTTTCTCCGGACTTCAGGAAAAGCACTGAGCCTCTCTGGGCCTGTTTGCTCATCTGTAAAATAAGAGTGGCAACCTCTGCCTTGCAGGAGCATTAGCTGACTCAAATGCTCCTCCCCATCTATTAACTGAATGAACTTCCTGTCCTCTGGCCTTAGGTCTTAAGTGTTGCTTCCTAAAGAAGGTCTCCCTCACAAACATTCCCCCGCAACTCTTCTGTGCTCTGATAGCAACCTGTACTTTTCCTCTGCAACTCCTTAAACTTGTGTAATTTTCAATTACCAGTTGAAAGTCTTTCTCCCGGCCTGACACAGTGGCTCATGCCTGTAATCCCAGCACTTTGGGAGGCCAGGGTGGGTGGATCACTTGAGGTCAGGAATTCAAGACCAGCCTGGCCAACATGGCGAAACTCCATCTCTACTAAAAATACAAAAATTAGCCAGGCATGGTGGCGGGTACCTGTAATCCCAGCTACTCAAGAGTCTGAGACAGGAGAATCACTTGAACCTGGTAGGTGGAGGTTGCAGTGAGTTGGGATCACATCACTGCACTCCAGGCTGGGCGACAAGAATGAAATCCCATCTCCAAAAAATAAAATAAAATAAAAAATAAAGTCTTTCTCCCTTACTATTTCATAAGTGCCATGAGGACAAAAACTGCCTAACTCATCACTGTTAAATCCCCCATACCTGGAACATAGCGGACATGAAATACACATATCTGATGACAGACAGATGAAATGTTGAATGTGTCTGACACATAGCTGGTGCTCACGAATATTATTCTCTCCTCTCCTCTCCTCTTTGAGAGTAGACCACTAAGCCCTCCACAGGCAGTGATCCCTCAGCACAGAGCAACACAGAGCAGAGCTGAGCTGCTGCATGAGGCCGAGCCCAGCCTCTCTCCTGGGTCCTGTGTGATCCGAAACCCAAGCAGCAGCCCCAAGTCACTCGAAGTCTGGTGAGAGTGATGCCCATATCAGCAGTTATCAATCCTGAAGTATTCAGTATTTAAGAATTTTCATCTGGAAATCTTTTTTAAAATAGTGGTGCCTTGGTCCTACTCATAGTGATTTTCATGTAGTTGGTCTGGAATGTGGCCTGGTCTTTGGTATTTTTAAATAATTTCCCTAGGTGATCCCAATATACAGTAATGGATGAGAACCACTGATCTGGTTCAATCACCATTTTTCAGATACAAAGGCTGAGGCGCGAGGGGGAACGGAGTTAGCCCAAGAACCTCCAATACCTTTTGCAGAGCTGGAGCTAGAAGTAGAAGAGCTAACTTTCCACCCACAGCTCCTTCCACTGCACCAAGTAACAAATTGAAATCCCCTTTATCAATAACAGAGGCTGCTTTCCTGGCATCAGACAAAGCTGGGAGCAGAGAGCTTGTTTTTTCACCCTAAAAGATCTGTTATTAAAAGCCTGTTTATGCAAGAAGGGTATAATTAAAAGTGAATGAGTGCCATTTTTTATCGCAATGAATATTAATTAAAGGAAAACACTGAGTCAATACTCATTAGAAAAAGACGGAGGCTGAAAGGCAGACTGCTCATACCAGGGTTGTCAATCACATCAAGCAGTAATGAGATGACAGGACCCTAATAGCAAAATGTTGCTCTATTTTCCTCAAATCCTCTTGGATTTAGAAGTTAGCCAAAATGCAAATCTCAGGCTAGGCTCCGTGGCTCTGCATTCTGCTTGGGCACAGGACTGTCTTGCCTAGGACACAGCCCTCCGTGGGAGTCAGGCTGTAAATGGTTTTACTTATGCAGGGTTAGAATGCTAGAGAAGTAAGTGGCCTCTTCAGCCTCCCTAGAGAGTGAGGGGCCAAACAGATCCAGTGATTCTTGCCACATTGTTCCTGTCCCTGAGCCCTGGGAGAAAGGCAAAAGCACAGACTTTCCCAAAGAAGAATCCTCAAGTCATCAGCAGGTCGCCAGAGCTGATAAATTAGGCTCAACTGGGAGGCTTTTAAAAATGTGTTTGCCAGGCCTTGCCTTGGTCCTACTGAATCTGAATCTTTTGGGCTGAAGAGACGTAAATGGGAGTAAGCATTTAACAGATTCTCATGTTAAACTCTGGTTTTTAGCCCAGCTCAAGATCTTTGCTTTCCTTTGTCAATTGGGGTCTTAGATGATTTTAGTCATCTAAGAATCAATCAATCATTGATTCATTCATTCAGCTGATAAATATTTATCTTCATTAGGCACTGTGCTAGTCACACGTGAAGACAGAGACTTGACCTCTGTTTTCTAGTTTCCTGTGGTTTAACAACAGAAATTACCATCGTGATGACTGCGCCATGAAGGAGGAACACAATGGTGAGGGAACACAGAGATAGGAGAGCTCAGCTCTGAATGGGGAGTCCATGAAGGCTTCTAGAGATGATGAATGGAGAACTAGGTTGAGTGGCATGTTCTCCCAGCAAATGTGCAGAGCCTTAGAGAGGTGGCTGGAGAATCCATTTTAACTGGAAGGCAGAGGGTGTGGTGTTTCATGAGGCTGATGAGTGCTGGATGGGGAAGAGCTCATGCCATGTAAAGGCATGTGCATTTCATCATGTCAAACACAAATTGTACCTAAATTGTCTGACGGAATACAAATATCAGCAAAGAGGAAAAGAAGCGAATGGTTCAGGAGACTGACACACACACTGGTGGGTTCTAGTGGGAGCACATGCAGAGACGGCAGGTTTAAATGCTTCTTCATTACACTGGACATTGGAACCAAACAAGTGTTTGGGGGAGTGATATGGTTTGGCTTGTGCCCCATCCAAATCTCATTTCGAATTGTAATCCCTGCATGTCAAGGGAGGGAGGTGACTGGATCATGGGGGCAGTTTCCCCCATGCTGCTATCATCATAGCTAGTGAGTTCTCATGAGATCTGATGGCTTCTTAAGTGTTTGGAAGTTTCTCCTTTGCTCTTCTCTCTCCTGCTGCCTTATGAAGAAGATGCTTGCTTCCCCTTCGTCTTCCACTGTGATTGTAAGTATCCTGAGGCCTCCCTGGCCATGTGGAACTGTGAGTCAAGTAAATCTCTTTCCTTTATAAATTACCCAGTCTGGGGTATTTCTTCATAGCAGTGTGAAAATGGACTAATACCGGGAATTTCAAAAGAAATGCCAGATAGGAAGGGCACATCCACTTAGGAGCCAAGATAGCAAATATTTAAGTAATAATGGAAGACAATTAAAAAAAGAGACCAGAAGTTCAGAGAAAGGAGTGATATCTTCCCAGAGAAGCTGAGTAGATCCTGAGCAGGCAGGGAGGAGAGGAAAAGGAATTTTAAGCTGGGCAAGTCTTGGCCCTGGGACCAGCAGCTGTGAGCAAGGGCCCTGACCACTATTGTAAACCGAGAACATCTTCCTGGGCTTTTTGACCCATGGCTGTGGACAAATGCCTAACAAATTCCTAAAGAGAAGGGCCCCATGTCTGGTTGCACCTGCACAAACAGAGCAGCAGGATGGGTACCAGTTCTGACCACCAGGAACAGGTGAGCTCCGCACTCATGTGGGTCCATGTGGAACATTTTAGAAGAGAGTAAGTGGATTCTATTTTTTCTGAGACTGGTCTTACAGAATTGGGGTTCCTCAGCTCTGGCAGGGCCTGCGGAGCTCCTCCATACCAGCTCTCACAACTCAGAGAGACGCGAGATTTCAAAATGAATGTCTGAGGGTACAGGGACCCTCCCACTATCACTCTGCCATCTAGTCCCACCTGAAATGAGACCTTTTCCCTTGAAGGACCTGTTCTCTATTCTTCTGGTTAGCAAACCCAGCTTCACATTGCATTGGACTCACCTGGGGAATTTTAAAACTTGTTGATGCTTGGGTCCCACCTCTAGAGATTTTTTTTTTTTTTCTTAGAGACAGGGCATTGCTTTGTTGCCCAGACTGGAGTGCCATGGCATGATCATGGCTTACTGCAATTTTGAACTCCTGGGCTCAAGCGATCCTCCTGCCTCAGCCTCCCAAGTAGCTGGGACTACAAGCACATACCACCATGCCTGGATAATTTATTTTTGTTTTTTGTAGAGACAGGGTCTCACTATGTTGCTCAGGCTGGTCTTGAACTTATGATTTCAAGCCGTCCTCCTGCCTTGGCTTCCCAGAGTGCTGGAATTACAAGCATAAGCCACTATTCTAGGCCAGAAATTCTTATTAACTGATGTGGAGTGGGGCCTGAGCATTAAGCCTTGTAAATATTGCCCATTCTTACTCTCATTTAGATAGTCAACCAACAGATGTTAGAAGGAAGTTAAGGAATTATTCAGCAATTGAGATGTTCGCTAAGAATGTTATTCCCATTTTAATGAAGGAGTGTTTTCTTTTTCTTCTTATTCATATCTTGTTGATTTTCCTTTCAAACTCCAAAAGCAGTTCACACTTATTGCTATAGTCCAAACAACACAATAAACATTTTTGTATATCTAAAATTAAGCTATCTATAGTCTCCCTTATTTATAATAACGAAAACAATAACTTCCTACTACCCACATCCTACATAGGGATCATTTGGGGGTTGGGATCTAGCATAATATTGATTTTTTATAGTCCAACAATTATTGAGATTTAATTTTAAATTTTCTTTCGTTACTCAAGAATGTTTCTCTCTCTTATGAATTCCCATTGTATTCCTTTTTCATTTTAAAGATTAGAGCTTTCAGGAATTCTTATAGTGAGAATTGTGCAGACTTTTGTATCCTGCAATACTTTTATTTTGATCTTGCCTTTCAATGATCACTTGAGTCGGTACAGAATTCTGGGTTCAAAATTATTTTCCCTCATAACATTGAAGATACTATACTATTCCATTGTCTCTTGAGGCCATTATTGCCAACCAGAAGCTTGTTGTTTATTATTGTTCTGTTCTTTCTCCTTTGTACATAATCTTTGGTTTCTTTCTAGAAGCTTTTATATTGTTTTTGCCTTCGTTTTCCAAAATTTGGCTAGAATATATCTAGGGTTGATTTGTTTCTTCCCACTCATTTTGCTTAGAAACCTGGTGTGCCCTTTCAATCTAAAAATTCTGGCACTAGGCTGGGCGCAGTGGCTCATGCCTGTAATCCCGGCACTTTGGGAAGCTGAGGTGGGTGGATCACGAGATCAGGAGTTCAAGACCAGCCTGGCTAAGATGGTGAAACCCTGTCCTGTCTATACTAAAAATACAAAAAACTTAGCCAGGTGTGGTGGCGGGCACCTGTAATCCCAGCTACTTGGGAGGCTGAGGCAGAGAATTGCTTGAATCCGGGAGGCAGGGATTGCAGTGAGCCGAGATCATGCCACTGCATGCCAGCCTGGGCAACAGAGTGAGACTCTGTCTCAAAAAAAAAAAAAAAATTCTGGCACTAGGATATTATCTTATATTGTGTCTTTGATTTTTTTCTCATTCATTTTGTCTGTTCTCTCCATCTTTTACTCTTATTATTATAGATACCGGAATTTTTACACTATCCTCCGAATGTCTTAACTTTCCCCATATATTCTATCTCTTGGTCCTTCTGTTTGTTTGTTTGTTTGTTTGTTTGTTTTTGTTTGTTTTGAGATAGAGTCTCACTGTGTCTCCCAGGCTGGAGTTCAGTGGCGCGATCTCGGCTCACTGCAACCTCTGCCTCCCGGGTTGAGGCAATTCTCCTGCCTCAGCCTCTGGAGTAGCTGGGATTACAGGTGTGTGCCACCATGCCCGGCCAGTCCTTCAGTTTTAAGTACTGGCAGAATCACTCCATTCAGTCTTGCTGCACACAACCTTTCTCTTCACGTATATCCAATGAGTCTTTGCAGCCCATTTATTGACTTTCTTCTCAACCAGCTTTTTTTTTTCATTTCTAAGATCTTTAATTGGTACTTTTTTATAACAGCTTGTTCTTATTTTATAAATGTAAATATTAATTATAGTTTCTACATTTTATTTACTGAATTTTCTCTTTCCTATGGTGCTATTTTCTGTTAAGTTTTGTTCCTTTCTTTCTCAATATTTGTTTCCTTAAATACTTAGCGATTATTTGTGACATATTCAACTTTGTATTAGAGATGACTTTCAAGGCCATCTGAGAGTGCTCTTTCTTTACCAAAATCTGACTCTAGTCCTGTGGTGGAGGAATGGGATATGTTCTAGGCAATGAGTTGTGGCTGTGCCCAGACTTGGGCATGGGAGGTGGAGGGGTTCCAGCTTCTCTTGGATGTCACAGGTACATCCCTGCCTCTGGGGCCACAGCACTAGGAGGCACTGTCCTGTAGCACTCATTCATCCGGCTTGCTGCTTGGCTCTGCGAAGGGAGTTCAAGGTGAAGACTGACAGCACTACTAGTGGGTCTTGAGACCCTCTAGGTCTGGGGAAGTAGTCTGCCAATGCTCACATATAGAGGAAGCGGGCCTCTCTTTGAATTTTATTAGCACTGGGCTCAGAGACACTTGGGAAATACATGAACCCAAATATAATCCAAAGACAAAAAAAAATCCTTTAAACATTTCACTATGTTGCCTTTCCTTATTCTAGGGTGAATGCATGAGTTTAAAAGGCCAGACCCTAGTGGTTACGTGTGCATAGTTAACTTGAATAATTTAAGTGTTTTCCACAAGACCTGAAGCTTAATAAATTAGAGCCACTATGAAAAGACATTCAAAGAATGTATTATAGTCATCAAAAGTCATACGCTCTCCTCTTTTCCCCTCTATCTCTACTGCTTCTCTTTTTAAAATCAGATTTTAAGTTAGAATGGGTCTTAGAAGCCATTTACTTCAATCCCTATATTTTCACTTTTTTGAGGTTAATACATTAATATTTCAAGGTTAATTAAAACATTTTCATTGCAGCAAATATGGAAAGTAAAGATAAAACAATATGAAAAAAGTCATCCATAAACTCATTACCAGAGACCAGATCAGCTCCATAATGTATAAGCTGTGGCTCAGGAAGGAGAAGTGGTGGGCCGGGAATCTGGCTAGCAGTGAGTAGGTCATTTGTCAAGTCTTCTCCATGCCAATCCTCTGTCCTTCCCCCTGAAACAGGAAGACTTTGTTTTTTCTATTGGTTGGAGAAACACAAGATTGACAACAAGCCTGGGTAGGGTTGTGGTTTTGCAAAGCGAGTACAGCACACAGAAGAGAAGGAGAGGCAAGGGAGTTGGGAGTAAATACAAGGAAGTTGTAGCAATAGACCCTGAAGGAAACATTACTGTCTTACCCAAGAAGCCTAGATGAAACCTCAATTCTGCCTGCTCATGCCCTCTTTCCTGTCCCTAATTGTGTTGGTCACAGTGTCTGTCTTTTGAATCTCATGGCCTCTCAGAGCTGAAAGAATCATTCTGCTCTTTGCTTGTCTTAAAGTGTGAGTGTGGTACGGGCTTTGTCATTCCAGGTGTGAGGCCGTGCCAAGACCAGTCTCGGGAGAGCTGTGGTGGCTGTGCGATTGTTCCCCTGCACTACCAGGAAAACTCTTCTAAGAAGCTTCAATGTCACCTCCAACTTGAAGTCCTCCTTCCTCTGCCCAGGTAGTGACTCAATCCCAGCTCTGTGTTCCTTAATACTTAGGGCATATTTCTCCTACAGCATTTATAGGGTGAATGTTTATTTATAGGTCTGTCTTAACTGAACTTCCTAAAGACAAAGATATAACAGCTAGAACAATTCCAGGCACATAGCAAGGGATTAATAAAAGTTTGATGGATTAATGAATGAATGTTCAAATTAATACACTTCACTAAGGAAGCTTACCAAATATTTTGGAAGCATTTTTGTTTATATAGAAAACAGCCCCAAGAACAAATAAGATAAATTCACCTGCCATACTAAACATGATATAAACATTCTAATTAAGGCTTTCTTCTGTTAACATAGACATTTATTCCCTGACATATCCTAGAATCAAGGGTGGAAAGCATGTGAGCAGTCATTTACTCTAACACCACAATCACTGCTTGAATTTATTCTGCAGAATCTCAGAAGAGTGCTAATCTAGTGCAAACTCCTCCACTGTCAGGGATACACCTGCTCTCCAATTCACCTATTTCAAACTCAGGAAAACACTATTTTTAGAAGAAAACATTTTAGGAAATGGAAAGAGAATTGAATTTAAAGTTAAAGATTTAGACTTGAAGTCTAGATCTGCTATTAGCCAGCTTTTGTGTTCATCTCTTCACTATCCCAAGCCACATTGTATTATCTTGAAAGTAGAAATAATAATAACTGCTATCATAGGTGACTGTGGACACAAAGTGTGAAAATGAATATAAAAGATTTTGTGAATAGTGAAACATTGTGTACATTTAAGGAAAGAAAGGAAGGGAGGATGGGGGGGTTGGTAAAATTAAAGTGATCCTTCTCCAAAGATGAGAGGGGAATCATTGCAGTCATGGAATATCATATTACAGGGAACAGGAATGCCTTCCTTGAGGTTACGTGGGGAGTCAGCAGAAGGAATCAGTTTTGTAACTCTAATCTGATGCCCTGTCTTTCCTGCCTCCATCCTCCCACCTTTCTGATCCTGTGTCTCTCATAGGGAGCTATGTGCTTTGAGCCACACTGCCTGGGTTTGGATTCTGGCTCTGCCATTGATCAAACCTCAAAAAGTACTTAACTTCTCTGTGTATCACTTTCCACACCTGTAAAATTGGTGTAATCATAGTATCTCCACGTAGGGTCCTTTCTTCCCTCTTATCCAATTTTTTCTTCAGGGTCTATCACTACAACTTCTTTATATTTACTCTCGACTCCCTTGCCTCTCCTTCTCTTCTGTGTGCTGTACTCGCTTTGCAAAACCAATACTCTTGTTAATCAAAACTCTCCTTTTACTCTCTGCCTACTACCATGCAACTGAGAGGAGCTTGAGAAAAACCCATGACCACACAAACTGCCCTGCTTTAAATATAGGACAAAGGACCACAGGTGTGCCCTTAAAGCTACCTGGCTACCATATTGTATTTTCTTATTCTACTCACTCTCCTACCTGCTAGAAACAATTTTGCAGCTTCCCCTCTCCTCAATCTGCCATTGCCCACACCTGCGGCCACTGACCTTGCTTTCCACATCTCTGAGGGAATGGAAACAATCAGACGAGCTTTCTATGGAATGTCACAAATATATCCATAAAACTGCCAGCATGTTCAAACGAATCCTCTACCTTCCCTTTTATTACTAAAGACAAATTTTCCATCTCTTTTCTAAAGCTGTTATGGGTTCTTTGTGTATTCCAAAAATTCATACGTTAAAGTCTTAATCCCCATGGCCTCAGGATGTGACCTTATTTGGAAATGAGGTCATTGCAGATCTAATTAGTTAAGATGAGGTCATACTGGAAGAGGGTGGGCCCCTAATTCAATATGACTGATCCTTAAAAAGAGGAAAAGTGTATTCACAGACGTGCACATGGGGAGAATGCCATATTAAGATGAAGGCTGAGATCAGAGTGATGCACCTACAAGCCAAGGAACACCAACGATTACCAGCAAACACTAGAAGCCAGGGAGCAGCATGGAACGGATTCTGCCTCACAGCTCTCAGAACAACCAACCCTGTTCACACCTTGATTTTGGACTCTCAGCCTCCAGAACTGTAAGACAATGAATTTCTGTTGCCTAAACCACCCAGTTTGTGGTACTTTGTTATGGCAGCCTAGTAGACTACCATGAAGTCCAACCCTTCAATTACCTACAGTGGCTAGGTCTTACCCCCTTTCAACTACTCAAAGACGTTGTTTTAAAAACACTTCCTTTTCTCCCCTATCGTGTTAGTTTTTCCCACTCTGTTGCATCATTCTTATTGGCATCCACACAGGCTGTTATTTGTCCCATCATAAAAAATAATAGTTTTTAGCTTCCTTTGACTCCACTTCCTCTGCCTTCCACCCCCTCTTTTCTCTGTAGTACTTTGCAGCAAAAAATCTTGTGTTGATATATTCACTGTCTCCAGTTCTTCTCCTATTTTCTCTTAAAGAGACTCGAACTAAGGCTTTCATGCTGATGACTCCACATGAAGAGCTCTTGTCCAGGTCACCAGTGACTCCACATTGCTAAGCCCAGTGGTTGATTTTCAGCCATGCTCCTACTTAAGCCACCGGCAACATTTGATGCAGCCAATCTTTGCTTCCTCCTTGAGGCATTTCCTTTCCTTGGCTTGTGGGACAGCACCACTTTGTCTTTCTTTGTCCTTTTTCACTGACTGCTCCTTCTCATTCTCATCTTCTCTGAGACTCCTGACATTGGAGCCCACAGGGCCCTGTCCTTGGTCCTCCTCTGTGTGTGCATACATTTCCTCAGCAAGCTCTTCCAGGCTTAAGGTTTTAACTACCACTTGTGTACCAAAGACTTCTAAATGTATACCTTCAGCCAAGCCTGTTCCCTGAATCCCAGACTCACCTGTCCTGCTGCCCACTCTGGTAGATACCAATAAGCTTAACATGTCCCAAACTGGACTCCTCATCTTCCTCCACATGCCTACTCACCAGTATTCTTCTCCCTCTCAGTAATGGCCAACTCCATCCTTCCAGGATCTCAGGCTAGAACCTGGTAGTCATCTTTAACTCTTCACTTTCTCTCACTCCACAGACTCACTAAGTCAAGAAGTCTGATTGGTGCTACATTTAAACCATATCTGGCATCTAAACGTTTCTCACTTCCTCTGCTAAGCTATCATCATCTCTCCCTAGAATTATTTCAATCGCCTCCGACTGGTCTCTGGACTTCCACTTTGGCACCCTATGTCATGGGGGTAACTGGCTGGGGCTGACTTCGTAGGTGGTAAAGGAATTTATCAAGAGAGTTGTAGGTACAAAAAGGCAGATTTATTAGAGAAAGCATGAAATTTTTTTGCAAGGTGGCAGTGGGCAGCACAGCAGAGAAAGGACTATCTGCAAAGATGCAGGGGCTGGAGGAAAGTTTTTTAGCATCCTGCTGAAGGGGGATATGTGTGGAATAAGGTCATTGTGCCTGCCAAATAAGGTCATCATACCCATGGATTGTTCTCCCCCACCTGGGGCCCCTTCCTCATTGTTGCTTCCTTACCTTCTCAGGATTCCACACCCTACAGTCCATCTCAACTCAGCAGTCAGAGAGATCTTGTAAAACACAAGTTGCATTAAGTCAGCTCACTTTTAAAGTCCTCCAGTGGCTCCCTACTTGATCCTACCGGATTTGGAGAGAAAGCCAAACCCTTACAGTGGCCCCTTAGGCCCTTCATGGCCTCTGCCCATCCTTTTATCTCTGACCTCATCTCTTTTATTCCCCTCCTTCCTCCACTCCAGCCACAGGACTCCCTGCTGGCCCTGGACCATCAAAGTTGCTCTCCCCTGAGAGTCCATGCACTGGCTGGTCCTTCTGCCTGGATCGCTGTGCCTCCAGCTACCCACAGGGATAACTTTCTTACTGCTTCTGCTTAAATGTCACTACCTCAATGAGGCCTACCTGGATGACAATTATTTAAAATTGTAATCCCTGCTCTCATTTCCTTTTCTTTTCCCTGACCCATCACCTCCTAACATACAATATAATTTACTTATTCATGTGATTATCATATATGTTCTGCCTCCCTGTGCTAGACTATAAGCTCTGGAGGGCTGGGATTTATTTTTCTGTTTTGTTTATTCATGTATGCAATAAGTGTTTGTGAAAGGAAAATACATCTCAGGACCCCCAAATCACTAAGTGAAAGGCAAAAGTCAAGCTGGGAACTGCATCAGGCAAACTGCCTCCTCTTTTAATCCTAAATAAGATAGCTGCAAATATTTTTTTAAAAAACTATATCCCTCCCTCACAATTTGCCTGCAAGGAAATTCATTGTGGGCCTCAAGATCTTTGCCCTAAACCAGTTCTGTGGAATTTCACCCTGACAACGTAAATTGATAGCTTATCTTCATAGGTGCAGGACAAAGGACAGACAGAATCAAGGTAATTCCTCTGCTCACCTGAGACAAATGCATATCCAATTGCTTCCTCTGTCGTATTGCTTATGCAAAAATGCAGATTCACTGAGCCAGACTAAGGCATAAAAGACCATTTCTCCTCTACCCCTTCTTATATGTAGCGTGTGTCTTCAGTGAAATATTGATCAAAGACCCAAAAGAATGCAAGCTTTTGTCTCTTATCTACCTATGACCTAGAAACCCCCATTTTGAGTAGTCCCGCCTTTCTGGACAGAACCAATGTATATCTTACATGTCTCATGTCTCCCTAAAATGCATAAAACCAAGCTGTGCCCCAGCCACCACTGGGCACATGTCATTAGGACCTCCTGAGGCTGTGTCACAGATGTATCCTGAACCTTGGCAAAATAAACTTTCTACATTGATAGAGACCCATCTCAGATACTTTTGTATTCACATACTCAAAACAGATTTGTTGGATGAGTGAATAAATGAATGGATATAAAATTTTTAGAATAGTGCCTGGCACCAAAAGGGTGCTTAATAATTATTTGCTATCATCAATATTACTGCCCATTGTTCAGATCACATTTGCATTATAAAGATCTAGGAACTTGGTTGGCAAAGAACCCCTTGAAGGAAAAGACCATGGGCGAGGAGGAAAACGCAGGGAATGTTTGCGGATTAATGAAGCTCATCCAAGACTCATTTATTTCCGGTAGACTTTGCATGGGCTCTTTGATTTTTCCCCAATCGATATGTTATGCCAGCCTTGAATGGATCCCTTGGACCTAACCCTGGCAGAGCTCTGCTAAAATCACCGCTCTGGGTTTCTCAGGAGAACCACAGGCCCAATTTAGCTAGCAGGAAGTAAAAATTAACAACTTCGAAGAAACCTCAACCTATTTCTGCTGTTATCTCATTTCCAGAAATTTTCTGTCTTTAAGAATAAATAAAAGAAGTAAACTCTAGCCAAAGAGCTGGTAATGGTTAATGCTACTAAACAAAGAATAAGCAGGCTCTGCACAGTCTGTCAGGATATTCCAGTGATCAGTAGAAAATACAAATCATTTAAAAATTGTTTTTAATAGAAGGGCTTACAAGGGGACTGACTTAATAAACCCATGTGACTTCTGCTTTACAGGATGACTCTGGCTGTGGCTTTTAAAACAGAGTGTAGGGTAGAAGTAGGGAAACCAGCTAGGAGGCTACTGCAATCATCCTGGAGAGAAGTGATCACAGCTCAGATCACAGCAGTGACAGTAGAAGATGTGACAGGTGGGTGGGTACTAGATATGTCTTGAAAAAGGGAGTCAGTAGGACTTCCTGGCTGGCCGGATGTGTGATGTGTGGCATGAGAGAAAAAGAGAGGTCAGAAACACCAGCACAGCTTTGGAGCTGAGCATCTGGAAGGGCAGAGTTGCTCTCAGCTGGGTTAGAGGGAGCCCTCAGAGCACCTCACCCCACCCCTAGGACACTGCTGATGTTCAGAGAATGTGTGCGTGCGGTTGCCTTACATTTTTTTTGTACATGAATATTTCACGTCTTTTTTATTTTAGTTTATTTTATTTTATTTTTTTGACAGAATCTTGCTCTGTTGCCCAGGCTGGAGTGCAGTGGCACGATCTCAGCTAACCGCAACCTCCGCCTCCTGGGTTCAAGCGATTCTCCTGCCTCAGCCTCCTGAGTAGCTGGGATCACAGGTGTGCACCACCACACCCAGCTAATTTTTTTTTTTTTAATAGAGACAGGGTTTCACCATGTTGCCCAGGCTGGTCTCGAACTCCTGACCTCAGGTGATCCACCGCCTCAGCCTCCCAGAGTGCTAGGATTACAGGCGTGAGCCGCATGTCTTCTTTAATGCAGAACTGACATGTATTTTTCAATTTTCTCAGAAGCAAGAGAGAGGAATTCAAAATCCCTAATCATTAATTCCTCCCGTCCCTGCCTTTTTCACTCTGTCCAGAAAAATTAGTTTTCTGAATAATTTTCATGGAACAGAAATAGCTCAAGTCTGACATGTTCTTCAATAAAAATGCAGATATTAGTGACCTTCACACACACAGAGCCTCTCCCGAGTGAACATAGCCCCTCAACGTGCAAGTCTTGCCTGAATGCCTCGATGTCCATTTAAAGCCACCTGGTAAGAGGAGCAGGTATTTCTGTAACTGAGAGGAGTATTGGGAAGAGGCTAGAGACAACATTTTATATTTCTGAGCCCTTGGGATAAGAAAGAGCCCCATTTTCTTGCCTGAAGTCCTCTGAGCAGTTAGAACCACTGGGCCACTGCTGCTCATCTGTAGCCCATCCACTGATGGCTCCTTGCCCAGACACAGAGCCTGACCCAGCCAGTGGACCTGGAGAGGAAAAGGGGATAAGATGAGAAATGGGAGTTGAGGGCCTCCCAGCTCCCCATTACTAATATTAATTTACTTTCTATATGCAACTATGGCTATGGGAATTTAGGACCACATGAAGCAATAAGATCAAATGGAAATCTTGACCTGCTTGTTTGGGTGAATCAATTTTCCTGGAAGGCTCAGGGCACTGTGGGGAAAAAACGCATACGAGGTGAAAACATGGCTGTTGCTAGAGCCCAGGAGACCCTATGAGTTCAGTCAAGGCTGGGAGAGAGTCAGGGGCTCTACCCTGTGACCCCCAGGAGAGTTTGCACCCACCATGTCACAAGGGCACTGCTATATGCTCAGAAGGGAGCTGTGTTACGAATTTTCAAATGATTCACTGCTCTCTAGATCAAGGTTGTTGTTATCAAGCAAAAGCAGTAGGAAGAGTGTGTGAGTAGAGCACTCCGTAGTTAACAGAAGGTGTTCAGATACTTGCTGATTTGATTCTCAAACTACCCTGGACTGTCGGCTTCATCAAGACAGAGAATCATGTCTGTCCCATTCATTGCTATCAACTGTGCTAAGGACGGGGAGTGGCACGTAACAGGCGCTCCGTGCATATTTGTTAAATAAAAATAAAAGAACCCAATAAGATAAGAAATAGGAGTTATTATTCCTATTTTATAATTGAGGCCGAGAGTCCCACAGTTAATAAACGGCAGAGTCAAGACAAGACTGAGCATCTTAATCCCAAGGTCATTGCTAGCTATTTTGTCTTATGAAGCTTCTAGGTCACAAGCTTCAGGATGCAAAGAACTCCAAAGGTAGGAGCATATGGAGGAGCTGTACAGCGCAGAGAAAAGCAGGCAGAGTCCCTGGAGCTTCCCAGAACACAGAAAGATTTACAAAGAAAGCTCAGGACTGAGATGTGGACACCGACATGGCAAGAAGCTTCACTTCCTCCCTGCGTGGCCAGGACACATCCCCAGCGAGCAGGGACTCATTGGGGATATGTGTGGCTCTTTAGCCTCCCCTGCAGGAGAGTTTCAGAATGCACCCTCTCTAAGGGGCTGAAGTGCTCATAGGAAAGCCCAGATCTGATGGATGATCCACTATTGAGGTATTCCTAAACAGTGGGATGCATCACCCCCACTTCTCCAGAGGAAATAACCAAGAGTTTAGTCTTACTACAAATTAGAAAGCTGCTAATGTGCATAGCTCGTTATGAAGTACAACTATAAGACATTGGGTTCTTAAAGCTGAGAGGAACCCTAAATAGTCCATAGCCTGGGTTCCTAGATAAAAGGTCTGCGAAGCTGCTGAAATAATCTGCATATTATGAGTATTCTGGAGGGGATTGTCCATGACTTTCATCAGATCCTCAGAGGCGTCTCAGATTCAAACCCAGCCACAGGAGGGTCTAGAATTACCTCCTCAGCCCCTCAACTAAGCAGATTTGCTCAAAGCCGCAGGGATGGGAAGTCCGTCTTTCCCAAGGCAGCTGAGGTCATTTCCTGTGATCAATTCCTGCTCCCCACAGAGAGTGAGGAATGTACAGATGGTTCCACTAGAACCCGAACAAAACAACTCCCTCCATGTGTCCGGCATATGAGGTCCAAAAATGAGCTGTAGGGTGGGAGTACTGGGACAGCCTTCAAAATGCACCAGCCAGCACGGAAAGGGCTGCTTTTGAAATTTGTGCATTTAAAGACAACTAACGACTAGTTTCATTGCCTCCCCCAAAGTGAAGTTTTTAAGTGACAGATTCTGCTCCTCTGTCTCATAATATTCTTACATAAAGGTTAGGCATGGAGCTGATGGCACCCATCAGCCCCAAATTCGAGTAGACCACCCCCAGAATGAAGTCTAAGTCATGGAGACAAAGCCCCGCGCTTGTGCTGAATGAGATCCTCTAGTGCTCTCTGGTGGCTACGACTTGTTACTGCACCTTTCACAACACATTTGTACGAAGTTTGTATTTCTGATTTTTTTTAAGTATTCCAAAACTGAAATCAGTTTAAAGTCCTCTCTTTGCTTACATATGAGTTGGGGCTCAAGGATTGTATAATCAATATGTCATGTGACTTATCAATGGCAGAGCCAACACTGGGGCTTAGGCCTTTCCTCTTGTTCGGGAGCTGTTTCCCACTCTGAGATTTGAAGGTGGGTGCAAGTGAAACATGGTGGAGAGCAGGAACTGCCAGGCTCAGGGTGGGAGCAAGCAGGTGTGTTAAGGATATCTCCGGGGCACAGAGCAGATTTGAGAGTTGGGGGCGACCCAAGAGCTGCACAGGGGCCAAATCACCAAAGGTCCTTTATGCCAGGATATGGAGCTTAGCGTCTGTTTGTAAGGAGGAGAGCCCCATGAAGGATTTTAAGGAGGAGAGCAATGGGATGGGGTCAAGGCAGCAGTGGGGAGGATGAACTGGGAAGCATTAAAAAGTAGGCCCACAGGCCGGACACTGTGGCTCGTGCCTGTAATCCCAACACTTTGGGAAGCCAAGGACGGTGGATCACTTGAGGCCATGAGTTTGAGACCAGCCTCGGCAACATTATGAAACCCTGTCTCTACTAAAAATACAAAAATGGTGCATGTCTGTAATCCCACCTACCCAGCAGGCTGAGATACGAGAATCTTTTGAACCCGGGAGGCAGAAGTTGCAGTGAGCTGAGATCCCGGCACTGCACTCCAACCTGAACAACAGAGTGAGATCCTGTCCCACACACACACACACACACACACACACACACACACACAGAAAAAGTATGACCCACAGCCTGGGCTAAATAGCAAAGCCTCATCTCTACAAAATATTTAGAAATTAGCCAAGTGTGGTGGTGCACACCTGTAGTCTCAGGTACTTGGGAGGCTGAGTTGGGAGGATCTCTTGAGCTCAGAACATGAAAGCTGCACTGAATCGTGATCATACCACTGCACTCTTGCCTGGGTGACAGAGCAAGACCCTGTCAGGGTGGGTGTGGAGTGGGGGCGGGGAAGTGTGGTCCAGGGAAAGTGTCAGAATCTCCAGGAGAGACAGCTTATAATGCCTGTTCCTACCCACCTCCAGAGACTCCATACAGTCGGTCTGGACTAGAACTCCAGTCACACCTTTAGTAAGCAGAAAGCTCCTTGGGTGTTTCTGACACAAATGATTCCAGAGCCACACTTGAAGAGTCACTGGAGGAGAATGAGAGGAGGAGGCAGTCAAAGACAGAGGCAATTTGCAAGGGATGAAAGGGAAAGAGTGCCTTGAGATTTCAGCTGAAGGGGGGCAGTCCGGGGTGTAGGAAGGAGAAAGGAGAACAGACAATGTGTGAAAAACTAAAGGAAGATTGTCTTAAGAGGGAGACAATCCTTCACAAAAACATACTCAGCAGGAAAGTTAAAGTAGGTGTGAACAAAAAACGGGTTCATACCTACTCTGTGGATTGGATGTGGCCACTCGGAGGGTCCCTAATGGCTCCACCTGGCAGCAGTTTTATTGGAAAAACGAGGGCAGAATCAGACAATAGAGAAGAGGAGCTAATTGGAGAAGAGAAATAAAGAGAACTCAGGAAATATTCCTCTCTCCAGAAGCTTGACTGGGAAAGAAAACGAGAAAGAGGATGAAGGCTGAATGGGAAGGGAAATTTTGTGCCACAGAAAGATTTTGTTTTACAGATGGGAAAGATTTGAATATCAGTCTAAGCTGTGGAAGACGAGCAGGCTGAGAGTCACAAGCAGTGGATACAAGACAGAGCAGGCATCGCTGGAGAGGGGAGGTTCCTGAGGACCAAGGAGGAAGGCCCCTTCCCTCTTGAGGCAGGTGGCTAGAAGCAAGGGGAGAGTGTGAGGGAAAATAGATTTGCAGGTTGATTAAAGGCAAAGGCAATGAAAATAAATGTCCTGAATACAAAAGCTCATTTGGTAAAATTTGAGATACTATTAATCTGGGAGAATTGATGAGTTCATTAAACAACTGAAGATTCAAAAAGATATTTACAATCTAGAGTGAAGAGCTACAAACTGGCTTCTGTAGTGTAAGTGGAAATTCTGCAGTTGATTTTTAAATTAGCTTGTGCAAATACAGGAGGGTGACTTGATGTAATGGCAAATGATAACATAAAAAATTAATTGATGGTATCTCCATTTGACTAAAAAGGCTTAGGAGGCTTTGAAAAGCCAAGAATTTGAGGTTATCAATGTGGGTTCTCAGGGGTTTGCAGAATTCTAGCCTAACAACTATTATACCAATTCTTTCTAAAGATGCAAAGGCAAGGAATAGTGGGTGGTGTGATTGTTGAGGCAACTTAATCTATACTGTTCTTTATAATATTTTAATGTCCTTTATTTGCAAACCTTGCTATTTAAGCTATAATTGGAAACCAGTTCTCTGTGATCTATCTCAAAACTGACTATACCAAAGGATGTGGCTACAAATGAGGCTCATAAACCTCCCTGACAACCTGGGAATTTTTTTTTTTTAAATAGAGTCTCGCTTTGTCACCCAACCTGGAGTGCAGTGGTGCTATCTCAGCTCACTTCAACCTCCGTCTCCAAGGTTCAAGCGATTCTCTTGCCTCAACGTCCTGAGTAGCTGGGATTACAGGTGTGCGCCACCATGCCCGGCTAATGTTTGTATTTTTAGTAGAGATGGGGGTTTCACCATGTTGGCCAGGCTGGTCTCGAACTCCTGACCTCAAATGATTTGCCTGCCTCGCCCTCCCAAAGTTCTGGGATTACAGGCATGAGCCACCATGCCCGGCCTGGAAAAACTTTTTAAGAAGTGTCCCCACAGAAATTCCAATTGATTAAGTCTGGGCAGGGGATGAGGTCAATGAATCATTCTGATGATCAGTTAGATTTGAAACCACTGAACTGCGTAGGAAACTAGTCATTAACTGGTTTGGAGGTGACTGGTTCCCATCCTAAACACCTACAGAGAGATAGAACTTTTTTCCTTGTGCTTCGCAAGCATTCAGAACAATTAGATTGGGCCTGTAGTGGGTATGACAAACTTATGTGCTTGAATCTGTGGCTAATTATGATTTACTAGAGGCATTTGTTGGTATTGGATATAAAAATGTAGAAAGATCTGCTTAGACTTATAAAACTCATTTTCTTAAAACAATTCAGTTTTCAAAATAAATTCAATCAGTATGTATCTATTCTTTTTAATATTTTCAAGTGAATAGTCATTAATAAGCAATAGCTATGTGTAATGATGCTGTGGATGTTATGAAGAGAGATGAATAAAGTCATAAGAGGTGGTTTGGAACTAACTCGTCATACCCAGAGAACCTACATTTTAAAAAATGAACAAATAATTTATCATCTGTATTCTTTAGGTTTAATTTTATTAGTCGTCATATTTAAGTTATGATTGATATACCATGAAGTCCATGCTTCGTAAGTGTATTGTTTGATGGGTTTTAGTAAATCTGTCCCGCTGTGTAAGCACCATCACCGTTCTAGAACACTTCCATTTTCTGACAGCAAAGTCCCCTCCTGCCTGTATACAGTCCCACAGCCTCAGTGAATCTCTGATCTACTTTCTGTCTCTATTATTTTTGCCTTTTCTAGAAATTCCCTATAAATGGAATCATAAAACCTTTAGGGTTTTGTGATGGGCTTCTTTCACTCAGCATAATGTCTGTGAGGACGATCCTATTCTTCGTGTGTATAAGTGTAATCAGTCACTCCTTATTTTTCGCTGTTGCATTTCTGTCTGTGATCCATTTACTAATCAATTTTTTGTGTATCATGTGAAGTAAGACTCTAAGTTTATGTATTTATGTATGTATGTATTTATTTATTTTTGCATCTGGATAACCAGTTGTCCCACTACTATTTAAAAAGACCATCTTTCCCCATTGAGTTACCTGGGCACCCTTGTTAGAAATCAATTGACCATAAGTGTACAGATTTATCTGTACATTCTCTCTTCTGTTCCATCAATCTTTATGTCTGTTCCCACAGAAAGCATAAGTATTAATTTATGAAACCTTTGTTTCAGTTATATAAAGTAGGCTATTGTGTAAAATGTATTTCCTACTGAGGATTATGGTAAAAATATTTTTTAAACGACATTTGTCTAGGGAGTGCCAGATAATATTCACAATAAGACACAAAAAAGAGTCCTAGAATAAATAGGCTGTTGGAAACCCATAAAGATTGCAGAACCAGGTACACCCTCATGCTTTGCAGAAGGGGAAACTGAGGCTTATGGAGAGAAACTAACCTTCCCAAGGTTATGACAGAATGCAAGACTGGAGGACCCCTGCCTGGAAGACCCCATCTTCCCACTGCACCTCCCAGCTTCTTCTATCTCCTCCCTCCACCAAGCTCCTGCTGGCAGCAGCTGGCAGAGCCCACGGGGGCACAGGGCTAGGCAGCAGCCCACTGGTGCTCCTGTCTTAACCCCTCTCCTCAGCCTCCTCTCTGAATCTCTCTGAAAACAGTCTCCCCAGATGCTGCAGAGCCCTGCCAGGTCCAGATGACAGTTCCCTGGGCTCCTACCCCTTCCTTCTTCGGAGATGAAGGAGCTGGCTTTTCTTCAAGGACTCTTCTCAGAATGGAAAAAAGAAAGCAGTGCCACCGACGTCAAATGGCTCTTACACAATGGTGGAGTCTTGCTCAGAATTGTGTAAATAACTGGGGAACATATGAATTAAATTTCCCTCTACTTACCCAGGGATGTAATAAGTCAGGACTGTGAGAAAGGCTGCCACTCGGCCCCAGCACTCAGAACACCTGAAGGAGTTGTCATGTCCCCAACCCTAGTGGCTTCTTACCCTGGAGCATTTCTATCCCTCTCAAGTTCCAAGGGCTCCTATGCTCTGCAAGGCACCCACACATGGGCTTGCCTCTGTCCCTGACAGGGTGGCCTCGGTCATGACTGCAGCGTCCCAGGCAGCCTCCACCCCTTCTTCATAGGGAGAGCATGCTTCCAACCTCTCAGACAGGGCTGGATATGTCTGATCATTAGTTCATTCATTCATCCCTTCACTCAACTAATACTTGTTAAGCACTGTGTTGGGAAATGCTGTGCTAGCAGTGGGAATGCAACAGTGAACAAGAAAACACAGTCCTGCTCTCATGCCTAGTGAAAGAACTTTCTGGCATTCCAAGTTAGCAAAGCTTTTAGAGACAGGTGAGTTCCTAACACTGGAAGTGTTCTGCAGAGGTTGAGACTCAAGCATCAGTTGAAGAATTGAATGGTCAGCCTCCAAGATCACACCCAAGTGCAAGGTTTCAGGAGGCTTTTAAGTGCCTTCAACGCTGCACCTGCTCTCTTCCTCCCTCCTGCCTGTGCAGTTCTCTTCGGACAGCACCTGCAGAAGCTTTCAGCCAGAGGTTTCTGTTGAGGGCATGGATGGTCCCTGGAGAAGCAACGATGAGTCTGAGTAAAGCAGATGCTCATTTTTCCTGCCTGAAAAAATAATTTTAAAAAATCATTATAATTTTTTAAAATGTTCTGTCTTCTCTGTCCCTTCAGAAGAGATCTGAGAACTTTCTCCTGAATGTGAATAAACCTGAAGAATAAAACAAAAATACTCAAATATAAAAGTTCTAGAAGAGATGTTCCCATTGGGAGAAATTGCATAAAGAATACATGGGAAATCTCTGTGTTATTTTTATAACTGAATGTTATAAAATTAACTCAAAATAAAAGGTATAACTAAACACCCCAAGAGTTCTTGATGCTTGTACCATGGGTATGTAAGATGTTACAATGAGGAGAAGAGGAGTGAAGCAGGCTTTAGCAAGGGAGCTGCAGATCCAAGCCTGGGAGACAAAGAGAGGGCATAGCCTGGGAGACAGACAGATGACAGCCTGGGTGAGAGAGAGATGGCATGACCTGCGAGAGACAGAGATGGCATGGTCTGGGAGAGAGAGAGATGGCATGGCCTGTGAGAGAGAGAGAGATGGAATGGCCTGGACAAGAGATGGCATGGCCTGGGAGAGAGAGAGATGGGATGGCCTGCAAGAGAGAGATGGCATGGTCTGGAAGAAAGATGGCATGGCCTGGGAAAGAGAGATGGCATGTCCTGAAAGAGAGAGAGAGAGAGATGGCACGACCTGGAAGAGAGAGAGAGAGATGGCATGGCATGGGAGAGAGAGAGATGGCATAGCCCAGTAGAGAGAAATAGATGGAAGGCCCAGGAGAGAGAGGTGGCATGGCCTGGAAGAGGGAGAGAGATGGCAAAGCCTGGGAGGGAAAGAGAGAGATGGCATGGCCTGGGAGAAAGAGATGGCTTGGTCTGGAAGAGAGAGAGAGATGGCATGGTCTGGGAGAGAGAGAGAGAGAGATGGCATGGTCTGGGGGAGAGAGAGAGAGAGATGGCATGGTCTGGGGGAGAGAGAGAGAGAGAGATGGCATGGTCTGGAGGAGAGAGAGAAAGAGATGGCATGGCCCAGGAGAGGGAGAGAGAGAGAGATGGCATGGTCTGGGAGAGAGAGAGAGAGAGAGAGAGATGGCATGGTTTGGGGGAGAGAGAGACAGAGATGGCATGGCCCAGGAGAGAGAGAGAGAGATGGCATGGCCAGAGAAGAGAGAGAGAAAGAGATGGCATGGTCTGGGGGAGACAGAGATAGAGAGATGGCATGGCCCAGGAGAGAGAGAGAGAGAGAGAGAGCTGGCATGGTCTGGGGGGGAGAGAGAGAGAGATGGCATGGCCCAGGAGAGAGAGAGATGGCATGGCCAGAGGAGAGAGAGAGAGATGGCATGGCCCAGGAGAGAGAGAGATGGCATGGTCTGAAAGAGAGAGAGAGAGATGGCATGGCCCAGGAGAGAGATGGCATGGCCTTGGGCATGGGAGATCAGAACAGGTCTCATTCCTCCAAGATAAAGGGTAGAGGGAGAAATTGCTCCAGCTTCTCTAATTTCTCCTTTCCTACCTACAACAAAGCCCTGCCCTCTATAAACCCCACCCCCTCCCCACCCCCACCCCTGCAGCTCCAGAGCCAGGAGGCTGGGACTCAAGTTCAGAGAAGGGAGGATGGGGCTCAGGCTGAAGTGCTGGCTGCAAAAGCAGAGGGAAGGAAAAGAAGGAGTGAGGGAATTTCCCCAAAGTCTAGAACAAACAAGCTGAGAGGGGAGAATTGAGCAAATTTAGTCAATTCCGGTGTGGGGGGAATGTTCCTGGGTAATCTGGGAAACTAGATAAGTTGAAGGTTGCCTGTGATTGTGTTTGTCAACACACAGGTGATCTAGTGGAAAGTTACATGGACGATGAAAAAAAAATGGCTAACATTCAGGAAGCATTCAAGTCAATGGCTGACTCTACACTAAGCAGCTTACATATTATGTCTTCATGAAGTAGGCATTATTCCCCATTCATACATGGTGACTGTATGTCATACCAGTACCTGAGTTACATGGACACCCAAACTGCCTGAGGCCTGGAATCAGACTCTTGCTCTATCCACTAGGTTGCTTTATAACCTCCTGGGCTCTGTCACTGCCTACAAGCTTTACGACTTCCAGCAGATTAACTTTTCTGAGCTTTAGGATTTTTTACCAGTAAAAGAAGTTATGCTAAGTATTCCCCAAAAGATTTTGAGGTTCAGATAAAATAGCAAGTTGAAATGCAGGTTGCTTCATGAGTCTCAAACACCAACCTAATCGCTATTAGTAGTGGCCATGGCCTCTGACATTCACAAGGCCAGCCACTTAGAGAGTGGACATTTAGTTCTCAGCACCACTGGGTTGACATTTTAATTCTGTTTTAAATAAAACCATTACTCACTAATGTAACTAATGTTTTATTGTTGCTAATTCCAGAACCATTACACTATGGAGCCAGAAGTTAAAAAGAATTTAACTGAAGACCAAAACATGCTCAGTAGCAAATGCCTCTTTTATAAATAATTTCTGTTCCCAATTCTAACTTGGAAATTAAACAATACACTCCTGAACAACCAAGGGATCAAAGAAGATATCCAAAAGTATCTTGAGAGTAGTGAAAATGGAAACACACATAACTAAATGTGTGGACTTCAACAAAAGTGGTCCTAAGAGGGAAGTTTATAGTAATAAGTACCAATATTAAGAAAAAACAAAGGTCTCAAATAAACAACCTAACTGTATACCTCAAGGAAGTAGAAAAAAAGAACAAACTGAGCCCAATGTTAACAGAAGGAACTAAAGATTACTTCTGAATACATAAAACAGAGACTAGAAAGACAATATAAAAAATCAACAAAACTAAGAGATCTTTTTAAAAAAGGATAAAATTAACAATTATCTGGGCTATCTAAGAAAAAATAAAGAGAAAACTCAAATAAATAAAATTATAAATGAAAAAGAAGACATTAAAAGTGATACCACAGAAATTCAAAGAATGTATTTTATGTCAACAAATTGGATAATCTGGAATAAGTGGATAAATCCCTAAAAACATACAACCTACCATGAAGGAATAGAAAATCTAAACAGTCCAATAATGAGTAAGGAGACTGAGTGAGTAATGAAAAACTTCCCAATAAAGAAAAGCTCAAGACCAGATGGTTTCATAGGTGAATTCCAACAAACATTTAAAGAGGAACTAAAACCAATCCTACTCAAACTCTTCCAAAAAAAAAAAAAAGATGAAGAGGAGAGAAAACTTCCTAATTCATTTTATGAAGTCAGCATCACCCTCATACAAAAGCCAGACAAGGATAATACAAGAAAGGAAAACTATAGGAAAATATCCCAGATAAACATAAATGGGAAAATGTAATAAAATAAATATAGCAAACTGAATTCAACAGCATATTTAAAAAATCATTAATCGTGATGAAGTGGGATTTACCCCTGGGATGCAATGATGGTTTAACATATGCAAATCAGTAAATATGATATACTACATTAACAAAATTTAGAAGAAAAACTATATGATCATCTCAACGGATGCAGCAAAAGCATTTGACAAAATTCAGCATCCTTTCATGATTAAAAAAGACTCTCAAGAAATTAACTATAAAAGAAATGTAATTCAACACAATGAAGACCATATATAACAAGCCCACAGCTAACATTATACTCAATTGTGAAAAGCTGAAAGCTTTTTCTCTAAGATAAGGAGTAAGACAAGAGTGCCCACTCTGGCCACTTCTATTCAGCACAATACTAGAAATCCTAGCCAGCGCAATTAGAAAAATAAAAATAAGGACATCCCATTCAGAAAGAAAGAAGTTAAATTGTCTCTGTTTACAGAGGTATGACTTTATATACAGAAAGCTCTAAAAACGCCATCAAAACAGTTAAAACTGATAAACAAATTCAGTAAAGTTTCAGAATACAAAGTCAACATACAAAGATCAGTAGCATTCCTATACATTGACAACAAACTAGCCAACCCCTGCCCCCGCCAACAACAACAAAAAAAAACAAAACTGAGAGGCCAGGCACAGTGGCTCATGCTCCCAGCAGTCTGGGAGGTCGAGGCAGGCAGATCACCTAAGCTCAGGAGTTTGAGACCAGCCTGGCCAACATGGTGAAACTTGCCTCTACTTAAAACACAAAAAAAATTAGCCAGACATGGTGGTGGGTGTCTGTAGTCCCAGCTACTTTGGGAGGCTGAGGCAGGAGAATCACTTGAAGCCAGGAGGCAGAGGCTACAGTGAGCCGAGATCGTGCCACTGCACTCCAGCCTGGGTGGCAGAGTGAAACTCCATCTCAAAAAAAAAAAAAAAAAAAAAGAAAGAAAGAAAGAAACAGAAGATTCCATTTACAATCCCATAAAAATATTAAAATACAGTCATATGGTGCTTAATGACACGGATATGTTCTGAGAAATGTCTTAAGTGATTTTGTCATCGTGCAAACATCATGGAGTGTACTTAGACAAACCTTAATAGTACAACCTGCTACACACCTAGGCTATATGGTATAGCCTATTGCCCCTAGGATACAAAACCAAACAGCATGTTACTGTACTGAATACTATAGGCAGTTGTAACACAATGTGTATCTAATAGAAAAGTTAATGTGCTGCACTGCAACGCTAAGGCAGCTAAGACATCACTAGCGATAGGAAATTGTATATGTGGTCCAACATTAATTGAAACATTGTTATACAGCACATGACTTTACTTAAGAATAAATGTAACCAAGGAAGGAAAAGTTCTATACACTAAAAACTACAAGACATTGAGAAAGAAATTGAAGACATAAACAAATAGATGTCTCATGTTCATGGATTGGAAGAATTAATATTGTTAAAATGCCCATGCTAACCAAATTGATCTACAGATTCAATCCAATTCCTATCAAAATTCCAATGGCATTATTCACAGAAATAAAACAAACAATTCTAAAATTCATAGGGCTCCATAAAAGACCACAAATATCCAAAGCAATCTGGAGAAAAAAGAATAAAGCTAGAGGCATCACACTTCCTGACTTCAAACTATATTAAAAGTAAATAATTAAAGCTATAGTGATCAAAACAGCATGGGACTGGCATAAACACAGACACATAGACCAATGAAACTGAATAGAAAAACCAGAAATAAACCCATGCATCTACAGCCAATCTTTGGCAAGGATGGTAAGAGTTCACAATAGGGAAAGCTTAGGCTCTTCAATAAATGGTGTTGAGAAAACTGCACATCCTCATGCAAAAGAATGAAATTGGACACTTATCTTATACCATATATGAAACTTGAAGTGGATTAAAGACAAATGTAAGATCTGAAACTGTAAATCTCCCAAAAGAAAACACAGAGGGAAAGCTCCTTGGCATTGGCCTTGGCAATAATGTTACGGATATGATCGATACCAAAAGCACAGACAACAAAAACAAAAATAAAAAGGTGGGACTACATCAAACTGAAAAGCTTCTGCACAAAAAAGGAAACAATCAACAAAATTAAAAGGCAACCGACAGAGAAGAAGATATTTGTAAATCATGTATCTGATAAGGAGTTGATATTGCAAGATACATATACAAGAAACTCATAAATCTCAATAGAAACAACAACAACAAAATAACGTGATTGAAAAATGGGCAAAGAACCTGAATAAATATTTTCCAAAGAGCACATACAAATGGCCAATATGTATTTTAAAAAGTGCTCAACATCATTAATCTTCAAGAAAATTCAAATCAAAACTGCAGTGAGATATTACCTCACACCTGTTAAAATGGCTTAAAAAATAAGAAGTGTTGATGAGGATGTGGAGAAAAGGGAACTCTTGTACACGGTTGCTGGGAATGTAAATTTATACAGCCATTATTGAAAACGGTATGAAGATTCCTCAAAAAATTAGAGATAGAACTACCATACAATCCAGGCAATCCACTTTGGGGTACATATTCAAAGGAAACAAAATTAGTATCTCAAATATCTGCACCCTCATGTTCATTGCAGCATTATTCACAATAGCAAGATATGGAAACAAGCTAAGTGTCTGTTGATGAATGATACATACACACACACACACACACACACACACACACACACACAAATGGAATATTATTCAGCCTTTACAAAGAAGAAAATTCTGTCATTTGTGACAACATAAATGAACGCAAAGGGCACTGTGTTAAGTGAAATAAGCTGGGCACAGAAAGACAAATACCATGTAATCGCACTAACATTCTACTCTCAAATTCTATGAGTTCAACTTACTTAAAAAGTAAGGGGCTGGTAGGTGGGAGTGGGGATGCACAGGTACTGGTTAAAGGATGCAAAATTTTAGTTAGATAAGAGGAGTAAGTTCAAGAGCTGTATTGTACAACATGGTGACAATAGTTAATAACAATGTTTTGGATTTTTGAAAATTGCTGAGAGTAAATTTTAAGGGTTTTTACCACAGAAAAAGTATGTGAGGTAATAGTATACATGGGCTAATTAGCTTGATTTAGCCATTCTACAATGTATACATATTTCAAAATATCATGTTGTACACCATAGACATATACAATTTTCATCAATTACAAAGTAATTAATTTAAAAAATAAATTAAATTAAATGTTTACACATAAAAAAAAAAATGCCTTATGATTAGCCAGCTTCCCTGAGATGGTTTTTTGTGAATAAGTATTTTTATTTTTAAAATCCTGCTTTTAAAAAAACTATTGTCATTCAGATTTGCTGTGTTGTGGTAGCTGCAGTGTTTAAATTTGCCCTGTGGTTTGGCCAGAGAAGCCAATGGACCACCCGGCCCCTGTGCTCCATACCCATGACCCTCAGGCAAGACGGGCTCCGGCTGAGGACCCAGAAGGTCTTTCCAGCTCTTTTCTGAGTGGCCTTATCTGACATTTTTCCTGAGCCTAGGGAGGGGCATGAGAATCAGGAGACCCGGGTACTTGGGTATTGTTAGCTCCCTGGCTTACCCTCCGGTCTCTCACCCACTCCTTCCCATCCCCCATACTACTATCAAACGGTGAATTATTATTATTATTATTATTATTATTATTATTATTATTATTATTATTTGAGACAGAGTCTCGCTCTGTCGCCCAAGCTGGAGTGCAATGGTGTGATCTCGCTCACTGCAATCTCCGCCTCCCAGGTTCAGGCAATTCTCCTGCCTCAGCCTAGCGAGTAGCTGGGACTACAAATGCCCATGCCCGGCTAATTTTTTGTATTTTTAGTAGAGACGGGGTTTCACCGTGTTAGCCAGGATAGTCTCGATGTCCTGACCTCGTGATCTGCCTGCCTCGTCCCCCACAAAGTGCTGGGATTACAGGCGTGAGCCACCGCTCTCGGCCAAACAGCCAAGCCAAATCACTTCTGGCCATATCATTTTCTGTTTTAAAAAGACTTTGTGTAGCCCCATTGCCTAAAAATGTTGCAGTCCTCGGCCCTGGCCCACTGTCAAGATTCTGGATTGGTTGGTCTGGGGGATGTGGCAGAAGTTTGAGTTCTTAAAGTTCCCCACGTGACTCTGATGTCCAACCAGGGTTGAGACACACTAACCCATGCCATAAATTTTCAACACTGGTCTGGCAGGGGAGGCTGTTTACATTCTGACCCCTGCTTGACGCCCACTCCCCTTGTCTTCCCCATCTCGGTAAATGGAGCCAATTCTTATGCAGAAATTCTGATACTTATCTTTGCTTTCTACCTCTCCCTTATCACTCACTCTCATTTTATGGCCAGATTCAGGCTTTTCTTCTTACAAAACATCTCTTGTCTTTGCCTTTGTTTACTTGATTCCACGTCCACTGTCCCCACTCTGCTCTATCCAAGTCATACCCAGGGCCTCTTTATGACCTCCATGGGCCTCCTCATCCATCAAAAAACATTAAAAAGTATATATTTAATGCTATGTTGGTATAAAAGCAGATATAATCCAAGCTGGATTTATTTTTTTTTATTCTGATTTTTAAAGAAATCAAAATTAAAACATTTTCATGGGCCCCTAATGGTGCTGTGGCCCCAGGCTCTGCGCTCACTGTGCCTGTTAGTATAAGTGGCCTGGATCCTGGCCACTGCCACAGCCTCCCAGCTGGTTTCCCTGTCTCCCCATCCTCCAAGTCCATTCTCCTCATAATACAGACAGAGACATTTTATAACTGTGAATTACATTGTTCCACACTCCTGCTTATAATGCATCAGTGATTTCCTGTTGTACTAAGAATACAACCAAAACCCTGACCATGGCTTACAAGGCCAGGCATCAAAAGTTTGGTGTATTATAAATAAGAATAAAGCCTCTTACTATTGTACCCTCCACATAAGTAACTTTTAGTGTTTGAATGTTTAAATTGAAGTGTGAGTAGTCATTTGATTTGTGGGTGGGGAATTGAGCAGGGACATTTAGACTAAAGAAATAGTTTGTCTGTGATCAGTAGCTAACAATTTTTAAGTCTATAGTGGTAGAGTGTATGCAACATATTCAGGAATGATGGTTGAAGCTGAGCTTCAGAGCTTCAGGCCTCAGGAGAGCCATCGGCCTCTTGAAATTATATGCCAAGTTTTGAGAATATGTGTTGTATTTAAGTTTTTCTTGGAAGAAGCTACATTCCACAAATAAGTATTAATTTCCTACTATGTACAAAACAAAAACAAAGGCACTATCCTTGGTACTAAGACTACAACAGTAAATAGGGAATATAAAAATGCTTTCCACTTGGAGATTTTATTATTCTAGTGGGGTAAAAAGCAAGCAATAAACCAATAAGTAATCAAAATAAATAGCCTCTTAGCTAGTTGTCAGTGCCATGAAGGAAAATAAACTAGCTTATGGAGATAGTGAGTGGGGATAGGAATAGAGGCTGCATCCTTAAACAAAGTAGTCACAAAGGACTTTGCTGAAAAGTTGACATGTTTAGAAAGAACTGAAGGAGGTGAAGGAGTGAACTATGAGACTTTATTTGGGAGTGTCCCAGACAGAGGGAATCTAACTATCTTTAGATCCTCAATAATTTACCAGAAGATGAAGTACCGCTTCTTTGAAGTAAGAAGAGAGTCAAGAAACAGGCAGAAAAAGAGTCATCTAAGGAGTGCTGGTGACTGGTTGTGGAATTCAAGGAAGATGTAAGGCCAAGAGATTCTGATAGACTGGTATAAAATGAAGTAGTGGCAAAAAAACTAGATGAGGTGGAAATCTAGACAGAGGTTCACTGAAGGAGTGCAAGACCTAGAAAGATAGAAGACTGTAATTAGAGAGTGGGGTGTAAGAATTTCAGATTTCAGAGGTAGACATGGCTATGGGTATAATAGATGGCTAAGGTGAAGTGGAGGAAGTCATCTTTGAAGGTGAAGAGGTCAAGGAACTGAGAGCCCAGTGTGCCCAGGGCACCAGGAGCAATTGTGAAGGAGAGGTAAGCAATGGTGACACATCCCCAAGCAAAAGGAATGAAGGATTGGACAAAGAGGTTGAAAGGTGACAGTAGCAGAGATGAGTAAATATGGAATAGCCAGAGTGGAAGAAGAGCAGAAGAATTTGGAGAAAGAGTGGAAAAGTAATGGTCATGAAACATCAGTAAGGAGTTAGGGAAGTGAGAACCCTGATTCTCCCATGATCAGAGTCATGCTCCCCAGATGTTGGGACCATGCTGTATGGTCCATTTGCTTCATACGGCCTACTTTCTCATATCCTATGGTTGAGTATGCTTGGTCCATGTGGCTGTAGCATCGGAAAAACCTCTGGGAAAGGGGAGACAACATGAATGGATAGAACTATAATTGGGCTGGGTGCAGTGGGATGTGCCTGAAGTCCTAGGAGTTGGAGTCCAGCCTAGACAACATAATGAGACCCCATTACTAAAAAGAAAGGAAAGAGAGAGAGAGACGGAGGGCGGGGGAGAGAGAGAGAGAGAAGGAAAGAAGGAAGGAAGGAAGGAAGGAAGGGAGGAAGGGAGGCAGAAAAAAAGAAAGAGAAAGAAAGAAAGAAAGAAAGAAAGAAAGAAAGAAAGAAAGAAAGAGAAAGAAAGAAAGAAAAAGAAAGAAAGAGAAAGAGGAGGAGAGGAGGGAGGGAGAAAAGGAAGGAAGGGAGGGAGGGAGGAAGGAAGGAAGGAAGGAAGGAAAAAGAAAAGGAGAGAAAAGAAAAGAAAGAGAGAAAAGGAGGGAGGGAGAGAAAGAGAGAGAAAGAAGGAAAGAAAAGAAAAGAACTATAATTAATATAAAATAAACTTAGGTGAACAAAGGTAAAGAAGGTATGGATGAGTATATTAATTTGCTAGGTTGACATAACAAGACACCACAGACTAGGTGGCTTAAACAACAGAAATCTATGAAGTCTATTTTCTTACAATTCTGTAGTCTAGAAGACTAAGATCAATGAGTTGGCAAGTTTGGTTTTTTCTGAGGCTTCTGAGGCTTCTCTCTGTGGCTTGCAGATGTGTCTTCTCCCTGTGTCTTCACATGGTCTTCCCTCTGTGTCTGTGCCCTGATCTCCTTTTATAAGGACACCTGTCATATTGGATTAGAGCCCACACAAACTATCTCACTTTAACGTATTCACCTTTTTAAAGATTCTGTCTTCACATTCAGTCATAGTCTGAGGTAGTGGTGGGCGAGGACTTCAACATATGAACTTGGGGAAGAGACAATTCAATTGATAACAGATGGTATATGTATCAAGTACTTAAGAACTCGGGGAGCCCAAAGCTGGTGGATCACCTGAGGTCAGGAATTCAAGACCAGCCTGGCCAACATGGTGAAACCCCATCTCTACAAAAATTGGCCAGGCATGATGGTGGGTGTCTGTAATCCCGGCTACCCAGGAGGTTGAGGCAGGAGAATCGCTTGAACCCGGGAGGTGGAGGTTACAGTGAGCCGAGATCATGTCATTGCACTCCAGGCTGGGTGACAGAGTGAGACTCTATCAAAAAAAGCAAAAAACAAAAAAACAAAACAAAACAAAACAAACCTCCAGAATTCTTCCTAATACCTCACCCATGCTCCTGCAAGATTACCATGGGGAAAATAACCAAAAAGGAAACCAGATATCCTGTGTTACCAGCTAGGCTATTACCTGATTTCATAGCATTGGACTCTTCAGTAATTCTGGGTTAAATGACAGGGCTTCCTTTGATTTAAGTGGGGCATCCCTAGCTCCTGCCAGAGCTTAAATCCTAATCTTGGTCTCCTATCACCCTTTGTCCAAGTGCATGGAGAAAGAAAGACAAAGCCAGAATGATTTAAAGGAGGCTGGTCTCAAGCTGTTTTTTCACTGTATGAAATAGGGCAGAAAGCAGGAGAATAATGTATAATATGGCCAGTTGATGACACTTTCACTGCCCCCTAATAAACAGACTTTGGTCTGGATAAGAATGAAGAAGAGGGTGGGAAGCAGGTTGGGCTGAGAGGCTGGAAAAAGGGGAGAGATGTCCTTTCTTACATAGTGACTGAAGTAGGTTCTAGAAGTGATCATCCTAATGGCAGCCGAGAAAGTGTGAGGATTTTGTTCTTCAGGAGAAAAAACATCTCAGTGTACCTTTATTTGACAATACCATGTTCTAGAAAGCCAGGCTGTGTTGACCAAGCAAAGGTCACTTTGTACCTTCAAAAAACAATTAAGTTTCTTTTTAGGGTACTTACTCTCAAATAGAATGGTCAAAAACCTAATATAAAAGAATATGAGCATGGCTAAGATATGGAATGAATCTAAGGGTCCATCAATGGATGAATGGATAAAGAAAGTGTGGTGTGGTATATATACACAGTGGAATGCTACTCAGCCTTCAAAAAGAAGGAAATCCTGTTCATTTGTGACAGCATGGATAAACATGGAAGACACTATGTTAAGTGAAATAAGCTAGGCACAGAAAGACAAATCTCACATGATGTCACTTACATGCATGTCTTAGTCCATGTAGTGTTGCTGTAAAGAAATATTGGAGACTGGGTAATTTATAAATACAAAGGGTTTATTTGGCTCGCAATTCTGATATTTGGAAAAGTTCAAGATTAGGCATCTGGTGAGGTCCTCAGGCTGCTTCCACTCATGGCAGAAAGTGAAGAGGAGCTAGCATGTGCTGAGATCAATCACATGAAGAGAGAGGAAGTGGGGGTGGAAGGGCATGACAGGCTCTTTTTTTTTTTTTTTTTTTGTGATGGAGTCTCGCTGTTGTCACCCAAGCTAGAGTGCAATGGCTGCAACCTCCGCCTCCCAGGTTGCAACAATTCTCCTGCCTCAGACTCCTGAGTAGCTGAGATTACAGGTGCCCACCATGACCAGCTAATTTTTGTATTTTTAGTAAAGACGGGTTTCACCATGTTGGCCAGGCTGGTCTCAAACTCCTGACCTCAGGTGATCCACCCTCCTCGGCCTCCCAAAGTGCTGGGGTTACAGGTGTGAGCCACCAGGCACAGCCACCAGGGTCTTTTTAAGGCCCACTCTCATGAGAACCAATAGAGTTAGAACCCACTCATTCCTGAGGGAGGGCATTGATCTATTCATGAGGGATCCACCCCCAGGACCCAAACACCTCCCAGTAGGCTCCACCTCCAACACTGAGGATCAAACTTCAACATCAGGTTTGGAGGGGACAAACATCCAAACTATAGCAACGTGTAATCTAAAAAAGTTGAACTCAGAAGTAAAGAGTAGAATGGTGGCTGTTAGGGTGTTGGGGGAGGTAATGTGGTAGGGAGATATTGGTGAAAGGATACAACATTTCAGTTAGATAGGAATGTATTCAAGAGGTTTATTGTACAACTATAGTAAATAACAGTATATTGTATTCTTGAAAATTGCAGAGATTAGTTTTTTTAATGTTCTCAGTGCAAAAAAAAGTATGTGAAGTAATGCATATATTAATTAGCTTGATTTATCCTTTCTACAACGTATATATAGTTCAAAACATCATGTTGTACACAATCAATATTTACAATTTTTATTTGTCAATTTAAATAAACAAATGTTAAAAAGAAAAAAAAGAGCATGAGTACAGGGTAATCGGTGTTCATGATCCCAGCCTCACCTACCTTCTGTGTGACCCTGGGCAAGGTATTTCTCTCCTCTCGGACTCAATTACCTCCTCTTAATATTGCTAATTTGGTAAGTAAAGTAAAGATGATAATGTTTGACTTTTTTGTTGTTTTCAGGATGAAATGAGTATTAAAGGAGAAACATTCATTTTGGGAATAACATCTTGTTTCATACCAGAGTGCACCCCCTTTTTAAAACTGCTTTGAGAGCCTCTAAAACTATGATCCAGTCTTAATAATAACGTAATAGGTATAGTTCCACACACTGAAATAGAGATGTCATAAACTGAGTAGAAATGTGCTTTAAACACACACACACACACAAGCACACACACACAACACCAAATCCAGCTCAACATTGTGAATTAGAAATCCAAAGCCCAAGGAAGACCAAAAGTTCAAGGTTGCACATTGGGTTAGGACAGAAATTGGCCTCTGTCTCAGGCATCGCAACTCACACTACAGTCCTCTCCCACCTTGCTGGGATGCTTTCACTAAGTCTACTCTCCAGAGCAATGTTTCTGTATTAGTAAGGATCTCCAGAGACATAGAACCAGTAGGAAATATATAGATTTATAAGAGGGGATTTATTATAGAAATTGGCTCACATGAGTATGGAAGACAAGAAGTTCCAGGATATGTCATCTGCAAGCTGTAAAACCAAGACAGCCGGAGCTGCATTCAGTTAGAGTGCAAAGGCCTAAGACCCAAGGCAACCAGTGATGTCTAAGTCCAAGGCTGAAGGCCTGAGAGCTTGGGAGGGTGGGATAGGCATGTAACCACTGGTGTAAGACCCAGAGTCCAAAAGTCCAAGAACCAGGAGCTCTGATGTCTGACGGCAGGAAAGAACGCATGTCCCAGCTCCAGAAGAGACAGCAAACACACCCTGCCTCTGCTTTCTTGTTCCACCAAAGCCCTCAATGGATCGAATGATGCCCACCACATTGATGACAGCAGATCTTCCATACTCAGCCCGCTGGTTCAAATGATGATTTCTTCCAGAAAGGTCCTCACAGACACACCTAGAAATAATATTTTACCAGCTATCCGGGCATCTTTTAACCTAGTCAGGTTGACACATGAAAGTAACCATTGCCATTTTTAACACTTAATAATTTATCTTACATTTTTTCATATGTCTTAATACCACCTATATTATTATTTATTTCTATATTTTTGATTAAATCTATTCTGGAATTTTTAACTGAAAGCCACATATTTAAAAGTGTGTCAGCCAGGTGCAATGGCTCACACCTGTAATCCCAGCACTTTGAGAGGCCGAGACAGGCAGATCACTTGAGGCCAGGAGTTCAAGACCAGAGTGGCCAACATGGCAAAACCCTGTCTCTATTAAAAATACAAAAATTAGCTGGGCATGGTGGCAGCACCTGTAAACCCAGCCAGCTACTCAGGAGGCTGAGGCTCAAGACTTCCTTGAACCCGGGAGGTGGAGGTTGCAGCGAGCCAAGGTTTCGCCACTGCACTCCAGCCTGGGCAACACAGCGAGACTCCGTCTCAAAAGAAAAAAAAAAGTATGTCACTACCACTGATAATACCTTTTTTTTTTGAAATGGAGTCTCATTCTGTTGCCCAGGCTGGGGTGCAGTGGTTCAATCTTGGCTCACTGCAATCTCCGCCTCCCAGGTTCAAGCAAGTCTTGAGCCTCAGCCTCCCGAGTAACTGGGATTACAGGCGCCCGCCACCATGCCAGGCAAATTTTTGTACTTTTAATAGAAACAGGGTTTTGCCATGTTGGCCAATCTGGTCTTGAACTCCTGGCCTAGAATGATCTGCCCGTCTCGACCTCCCAAAGTGCTGGGATTACAGGCGTGAGCCACCACACCCAGCAATACTACTTTTTTTAAATTGTCAAATTCTAGAATACTAATGCCTCCATAAGCTCTGAATCTGAGACCCATCATTCCTTTTTAAGAGGCAAATTAGTGTTAATGGCATAATGGCCCCTTGAAGCTTTCTTCTTAACTTTCTTCTTAATAATATCAGGAATGAAAGACAAATGAAAAAGGCAGGAACTTCTTGGCACGTATGGTAACGACTCATGCAACACCCATTTCCAACCTCGGTCTTCCTTGCTGCCTGCCTTGCCATATAAGCTGCAAAATAAGAATTTGACTTCCCAGCCTCCCTTGCTGCTAGTGCAGGTTGCACAACCCCGCTCTGGCCTGTGAGACACAAGCAGAAATCTCCCAGTGCTACCTCATCCTTGTCCTCCTTTTCTCCCCTCCCACTTTGAATGTGAACATGACATCTGGAGTTACAGCAGCCTTTCTGTGACCAAGAGGTGACAAGCATGAGGAGAAAAGCCCCATCCTAAGGTTGGCAGATTGGAAACAATCTTGATCAGTTGCCCCAGCCCCACCTGCTTCCTTACTTCTTACTCTGTGAGAAAAATAAGTCCTATCTGCTTCAACGTTAGTCAAGATTTCTCTTACTTCCTACCAAACAGAGCCTTAACTGACCCAGTGTTTGTTAATTCTGTGAATGTGATGTGTGAAATCAATGTGACACCCCTGGTGATGTGGGTTTCATGCTTTGGGAGGCCCTTCTGTAAGCCAGCTGTATTCATTTGCCAAAGATGCCATCACAAAACACCACAGAGTCGGGGGGCTTAAATCACAGATATTTATTTTCTCACAATTCTAGAGGCCAGAAGTCCAAGATGGGAGCTGACCATAATCCCAAATGCCATCATCCCCAATGTTAAAATCCTGAAAAACAAAATTCCAAAAATATTTTAGAAAAAACTTTTTCAGCCGGGTGTGGTGGCTCACGCCTGTAATCCCAGCACTTTGGGAGGCCGAGGTGGGCGGATCACCAGAGGCCAGGAGTTCAAAACCAGCCTGGCCAACATGGCGAAACCCCATCTCTACTAAAAATACAAAAATTAGCCAGGCATGGTGGCGGATGCCTGTAATCCCAGCTACTCAGGAGGCTGAGGCAGGAGAATCGCTTGAACCCAGGAGGTGGATGTTGCAGTGAGCCGAGATTGTGCCACTGCACTCCAGCCTGGGCAACAACAAAAAAAGCGAGACTCCGTCTTAAAAAAAAAAAAAAGTTTTCAAAACGTTGTAAAATATTTACTTACATTTTTAAAGGGGATTTATTTAAGAAACATGCAAAAACATGACAGAACTCTTCATAGGCTACTTTACACAATAAAATGGACAATAATACCATATTTTTGCAAGCAGAAACACTCAGATATACTAACAACAGTCACATGGGTATAACAGTTATGAGCAGATGAACCATATTCATAAATAAATAAATCAAAAAGCAAAATATAAAAATGTATATCACACTGTGGTTGGTAATTGTGTGCCCCCAGCTTTATACAGCAGTCATCTGAAATGCTGTGATTCTTAGACTCTTCTAAGTCTTTTGATAAGATTGATCAAAAACCGTGATGAGTCACTACCATATCACCACCACATCAGTTGCCCAAAGAGCCAAGGCATTGAGAAATTTTATCTTTCATAAAAGCAGATGTACAAAGAAGATACATTTTCATTTGTCGAGGAAGTTTTAATGTCTTTATGCACACACATACTGCTTACACACAAGTTCAACATTTTGAAAATGCACTTTCATGGAGTTACATTTGCAAAAATGCACAAAGCAAATTAGGACTCTCTAAAACTCTTTATACGATGCATGCAGTATTGGAAATGATGCAAAGATGAAATAGGTAGCATGGCGAATTATAAAAAAATAATGCTGACAATTTCAAATAGTGAAAAAAACTAAAAATAAAAACTAAAAACTAAAAAGAAAATTCAACAAATAAAAAAGTTATGGAGCTAGATTATGGGCAATTGCATGGAGATAGTCCATAAGAGCTGGCCAACTTTCACAGTCATTAACTATATTTTTAAGTCTCACATCACAAAAAATAGCTGCTTTTTTTCTTTTACGACATGGCTGTCCTTGGAGAATATGTTCACATTTATTTTCCATGTGACACTGCTCTTTTCAAAATTCTTCTATGGTTTAGTATACAACTACATGAGTATTCCCCATTTTTTCCCATCTTCTGTGCCATGCTTCCGTGTTGTGGGTCTGTGGAAATCTATTCCATATGCACACATATATAGACCACAAATCTGGTGGAAGCAATACTGGTGATTGAACTGCAACAATACTGCCCATCATGCACATAATCGTTTTTGAACCAGTTAGTAACTTCGCTGGCTTCTTCAGGCAAATGTGGCTTTAATTCATTAAAAGCTCCTGGAATGCCATCAGCTGGAATGAATGCCAATACTGAAGTTTTTGTCATTGCTGTATCACGTGACCAGTCCACTCATCTGAAGTTTCTGCCAAACACATTGGACAGAATGGAAAAAAACAAACTTTATTGGTAATACCTTGAAGTTCACCTTTAGAAACCTCAATCACACCTAATTCCAAATCTGTCTTTATGGTTTGAGGATTCAATTGAAATCCATTTTCCTCTGCATAAAGACAGTGACAAAGTAAAGAGTTCCACCTAATATGATGCAACTATCTTGTGATTTTGATTTTGGGGATTTTAGATGTTAGGGATTTAGACTTTAGAGGTTTTGACTTTTTGGAATTTCCATATTTGGGATTATAGATTTCAGGCTTGTGTCTTTCGGGACTATAAACAAAAACTGTCCGAGATGGAGGTGTTGGCAGATTTGGTTTCTTTTGTGGCTTTTATCCTTGGCCTGCAGGTGGCCATCTTCACCCTACGTCTTCACATGGTCTTCCCTCTGTGTGTGTCTGTGTCTTAATGTCCTCTTATAAAGACACCAATTGTATTGGATTAGGGCCCATTCTAAGGATCCCATTTTAACTTAAACACCTCATTAAAAGCCCTTTTTCCAAACACAGTCACCTTCTGAAGTACTGAGGGTTAGAAATTCAACATATGCATTTGAGGGGAATGTAATTCAGCCCATAACAGAGCCTAATCATTTATTTTTTTAAATAGAAGCTATTTTTTGTCTTCTGTAAAATCTTGTAATCACATGACAGCATGGCACATGAATGTTCAGAGTCCACAAGAAGCACGAGAAATTTGCAGACGACAGGGAAGAGCTTTGCACTTGAGATCAGGGGGCCCTGGGCTCTAGACATACATCATTCACTTACAGGCACGGGCAGGCTTAGTTTCTCTGAACCTCAATGTCTTTACTTGTAAAAAAAGATGTGAATACTATATGCAATAATATATATAAAAGTATCTGGCATATACAAATGACATCTTATCAAATCAAAGGTGCCATCAATTATAAAATGTATCATTATGTTATTTGTACCAAAAGTGGCAAAATCATGCCAGGGGAGATTTTCAAATTACAGATTCAGGAGACTTACCCACAGATTCATTGGGTTTGAATCTCCTGGGATGAAGCTCAAAGATTGTCATTTTTTAAAAATATTTTCCCCATTATTCTGTTGATAGACTCAGAAGCCAGGACTTTCGGCATGCTGTCAGTCAATGTGCTGAAGAACCCAGATTTTCATTCTAAGCTGCCATCTTTGGAGCTATTTATCAGTTTCTCAAATATTCTGTAGGAAGCCTGGATTTCAGCCCTTACCAACAAAAAGTCATTGCCCAAATTCTTTACGTTTTCTAACCCATTCATTGAATTCCAGAAGCTCTAGCTCAAAAGTTGCATAAAATAAATACTTTGGTAGAACATGTAAACCAAAACCTCTTCCAGTGGTAGGAATATTGCCGCATTTACCCTTAGTAGGCAGCTCTCTGATCCCTTTCCCGGACTACAGGACTATAGTGCGCGGGTGCTGAGCCCACCTCAGTCATTCTACGCTTTCATGATTCTAAATGATGTCAGTTCCTTGTATGCATTTTTTAATCGCTTTTGCCAAACTCAAAAAACTAGTTGAACCTTTTTAAATATTACTTTTTCTGAATATCTGTGATTAAATTCTTAGTATCAGTAATATTATGAGCACAGAAAAAGCCAATGTCAAGATTATTAGAGCTATTTTGGACTCCTTGACAATCTTTTAGGTCTAGCAAACTACCTAACCCCCTCCCAACGACATCATTTCATAGTCTTCATATCCACATGTTGATATCTATGATCTCAACTGAGTCCCACCCCCTGATTTCATAATTGAACACACTGATGCCCCACCCCTCCACCCCTCAACCCCCACCCCTGAGAAAGTAAGTGACTTACCCAAGGTCACATGCAAGCTGGCCTATAGTCACTGAGCCCAGTTCTGTTTCCAGCCTAATGTCCCTTCCATTCCTCCCACCCCTGATGACCCATGATCTCTTAGTGACACTTCAGGGAGATTCATCAAAAGCATCAGACAATATGTAGTGTAACCAAGTAGAAAACTGTCCTGAATCACATGCAGATCATTCCTGGGCCACGTAGTTCCTGTTTTTATGCAGATTTCCTCTGAGCCTTGGCTAACTCCCAGGGAAGCGCACATATCAGATCTGCTATATATTGGCAGAACTTTGGCTTAGAACACATCTCGAATGCTTTCCATTGAACATTGGCAGCCTTGAAGAAACATGGCTAGAAAATTATTCCAGGAGGCCTAATTGCTCTGTGACACTTTCCAAGGAGAAGCTGATGGCTTTCTCGCCCAAGCTCTTCCCTCTGTACCCAGAACAAATGACTGCAGTTCCCAGTATATGCCCTAAATTAGGAGAGGGCAAACTCCGTGGCAGCATGAATTGAGGGAATGTCTTTACTGGGCAGGGGCCCTCTTCCCAGCACAGTGTGCATTTTGCCAAGCTCTTTCTCCTTCAGTTTTAAAACCCTTGTGTATTCCAAGAGAAATGTCGTCCATGTGTTTCTGATTCATTTACACGTAAATCATTAAAATGTTGTTTTGTGAGAGTTATTTAATGTGTGCGGAGCCTGTGAGTCTTCTTAACGGGAATGTTAAAAGCTTTTTTTCCTGTGCTGACTGAGACAGAACACATTTTGCTAAAACAGTGCCTGAGTTCAAACATATCCTCCCATCTCATATACTTGTACCTGCTTTATCAACCACAGCCTCTTGATAATGCCAAGCTTGGCAAGGCTGGCATTCAAAAGTGTGAAAATTAGAGAAACTGGAGAGAAAATGGAGTAAGAAGTACAGTGAGAGTCAAGCCACTGTTCCCCAGAACGTGCCAAAGGAACGTTATCTGAGGGTAGACAGTGCATGTGTCTGCCGCTTTGGTGAGTGTGGCTGGCAGCCCTCTCTCTGGTACTCCCCTGGACACTTCTACAAGCACAGTCTTATTTAAGCCTCATAGTAACTCCCATTTTCCAAATGAAGACACAGAATCAGATACCTTAAGTATTGTGCCCAAAGTACACAGCTGTCTTGGGTAGAAAGGAAAGATTACAGCTAAACTCTGAGTCTAATCTTCTTTTCAAAATGACTCAGATTGAGTTTCTCTATGAATGCCGTCTGTGTGTGTGCATTTGAAATTCCATATGCATTATAAAATGTTAATGAGTAGCAGTGTAATACAGTGGCTAACACTTCAAATTCTGCCTCTATTACTTTCTAGCTGTGTGAACTTGGGAAAGTTACTTAACCTCTCTGGGCAATTTCCTCTGAAAAATGAGAATATTGCCAGCCATGTATACAACATATAAAGATGACTGAAAAGAATTCATATATTAAGTGCTTAGAGCAGTGCCTGACACGTAGCACTCAATAGCTGTTAGCTTCTAGTGCTAGTGGCAGTGGGGAGTCATAAATAACTGGATGATCTTGGCAAGTGGCATATTCTCTCTGAGCCTTAGTGTCCTCACTTGTAAAATGAGTATAACAGCAGCACTTTCACCAGTTTGCAAAAGTAACTTGAGATGATGTTAATGACTAGTACTGTGTCTAACACAGAAAAGGTGCACAGTCAAACTTAACTTTTACACCCAGATACACCTCTCCCTATTCAGTGTTGGTTGTTGTTGTTGTGGAGGGGGTAATTTTCTTATTATTCAGCTCATCTTAGATCTAGTGTTGATTTCTCCGGAAGCCATGGGTATAGACATATATACAGGCCCAGGTCTTTCTACACCCCTGGGGAGGTGAGATTTCTTGCTGCGATGGGCCCTTTCTGGGCTGGAGTAGAGCCGCACACACTCCGAGCAAGTAAACAGTGCCACAGGTATTGCTCATGGGGAGGAACAACCAGCCAACTTCAGGACTTGGTGCTTCCCCAGTTCCGGGCCCGTGGCTCTGTTCACAGGAAAACCTGTCGTTGTGTGTGACTCTGATCACGAGAAAACCTGTAGTTATTTGGGGCTCTGCTCACAAGGAAACCTGTAGTTATTTGCAGACAGACGCTCTGGGATTTAGACCTTTTTTTTTTCTTCTAGTGTAGGTGCTAGAATTGCCTTCTTAGTTGGTTGTTTCTATTTAATTGCTTTTCTTTCATGGGTGTCCTGAAGAAAAGCAGAAAATTATAGTCATCTGGCAAAAAAGACTAAAGAGAAATTAGACTTTGTCCCCTTTCACTCTCTCTCTCTCTCTCTCTCTACACACACACACACACACACACACACACACACAGAGTGATACAAATACCTGCTTGAGCCCCTCAGTTATTTTCTCTCAAGGGCTGAAGTCAGCCACACAGGATAAAGGAGGGAAGGGAAGGAGCAGATCTTTTCGGTAGGAAGACAGATTTTGTTGTCAGGTTCCTGGGAGTGCAAGAGCAAGTCAAAGGAGAGAGAGAGGAGAGAGGAAAAGCCAGAGGGAGAGAGGGGGAGAGGGGATCTGTTGCAGGCAGGGGAAGGCGTGACCTGAATGGAGAATGCCAGCCAATTCCAGAGACACACAGGGACCTCAGAACAAAGATAAGGCATCACGGACACCACACCGGGCACGAGCTCACAGGCAAGTCAAGCTGGGAGGACCAAGGCCGGGCAGCCGGGAGCACCCAAGGCAGGAAAATGAGGTACGTGCCAGGGGAGGAGAGGGCACGGTTCCCTTTTGGGGACCAGTGTCAAATAGCAGGGAAGGTCTGACCTTGTCACTGACAGACTCACCTGCGTGTCCTGCATGTGGTAGTGAGGGGCTTTCTCATCAATTCTTAGGGCTCTGAGAAGGGAGCTGTGGGTGGGCTGGGTGCCTTCCCCAGGACTCCAGGAGACATAAAACTTGAAACGGGAGACTTCGTGCAAATCCTGCTCCGGACGCTGCTGAAGCTCAGATTTCTCCCACTGCCTGCACAGGGTGCTGCCTGCTGGCGAATGTGACTCTCCTCCTGTTCACCCACAAGGCTGATTTTTCCGTGTTCCTCCTCTGGAAAGAGCATTGCTTTCTCTCTTCCAGCACTTTGTGAGTTAGATATGTGTTTGTGTGTTCATTCCTTCTGACCAGAAAAGAAACCAGCTTCCCATAGCTTGGCTCTGTGGTTTCTTCAACCTTTACAAGTTTGCCAGTTAAACCTCAATTTAGAAAACTAAAAATCTGTCCCCATTTTACAGTTCCCTATAAATTTTCTGCATTTCTCATTGAAATCAGAGGCAGCTGGTGGCATGAATCAGGCTATGAAGTACACCAAATGGCTCTTAAAGAGATATCATACTTAAAAAAAAAAAAAGGATTTTAGAGTTCTGAAATCAAGAACTTCAAATTCTAATTGGTTTTAAACTCTTTAACCTTTCTTATTCCTCATTATACTTGACACTCCTTACCAGACCTTTCATACAAGTTCTATCCTGCAAGTCTGAAAACCCAACCACCCTAGTTATTTTTATTAGTTAAGTGTTAATGCTGTTACACACACACACACACACACACACACACACAATGCTCTGCAGATGTGTAAGTCCCTAAACACATCTTTTACTATTAATTTTCTTTTCACTTGGGAAAGTGTTTTTATTTGTTTCTCTTCTGCAAAGTAACCTAGCAACTTTTCTGGACCTGAGACCAATGAGAGGCTTCAGACTATGTTAACTCTTTGAACTCCGATTACCTGTGGTTCAGAGAGATAACCAGGTCCTTAAAAAGTGAGTGCAATAATTCTGTTCTTCTTAAAGCCATAGTAATTTTAAACCTGCCATTAAACATCATTTTTCTTTCTCCAAAAAAAAGTGATTTATGTCAATCTACATTGAATGATAATCTCATTTATCTGTCAATGATCTGGTCTGAATCCCACCCTACCATTCAGTGCCCCAGCCCATATCAAACTACTTGGCTGAGTAACAATTCTGTATCTTTGCATATGCTCATCCCTCAACCTGGAGCAACCTTCTTCTTTATTTTCCACCTAGAAGACCTGATTGTTCAAGCTGGCACAAATATCTCTTTCTCTCTCCTGACCACCATATTCCAGAGTGAGCATCCCCTCCTTTGTCCTTTGTTCTGTTTCTGTCCCTTGAAGCTGCATCTCTTATTGTCCTTGTAGTATCCCCTTGTTTAAATGTCCACCTCCCCTTACAAGTCTCAGCACTCCTTAAGTTACATGATCTATGTCTTCATCTTTGTATGGCCAGCACCTAGCATAATGTCTATTTCCTACCAGCCATTCAATACCTATTTGTTGAATTGAATTCAATTTTTGAATAGCCAAGCAACTACGAGAAAGGTGCTCTGCTAGAAAAGTCTCCAGCAGGTCTTGTCTCACATGGATACAGTATTTCAGTGTTTGCAGAGCACTTTCAAGAGCACTGTCTCATGGGGGTTTCAGATTCTGGATGAAGTAAGGATTTATGGATAAGTAGTGGGTATAAAAGCAGTTAAGCAACTTGCCCAAACCACACTGATGATCATGAAAAGGTCCAGATTCAAATTTGGGTCTTCGGGCTCCAAGTTCAGGATTTTTTCTACTATATTCCACTAGACTTTCAGCCAAGTGTATTATTCTAAACTGACGGCTCATAATTCTGACTGTACGTCGGAATGATCTGTGCTGCCTTGAAACATGCCAGTGCTCAGGCCTCACCCCAGAGCAATTAAACCAGAACCTCCTGAGGAGGGACTTTGGCATTAATATTTTTAAATTTTTTACGTAAAGCCATGGGTTTTTCAATTATTTTTCACAGGATTAATTGCTTTGGCCAGATGCCTGGGCATGATATGGGCATGGACCCAGCTTCTTCTGTGAGCTCTTTTTATTCCCTTCTTCTGTTGAAGTTAATTCACCATATGGTATTGAGCATGATGTGACATCTCTTGGGGTATCCTTTTCATCGTCTGTCAAATTAGGGTGCTCTGTAAAGGATCCATGCAGTCCCTTCCAACTCTTCAATTCAAAAATGGAGTCTTGGTGTGGAGTGGGTTGAAACAAGGGGCGTGTACGGACAGTGTATGGAAAAGATAGCAAGTGCCGTTCATGCCGCAATCATAGATATATGCAGGCATTTTTACAGAGTCCTGCTAGCCTGTTCCTACGGGGGGCCTCTGAAATCTCAGCTCTATATATTACTTTTGACATTTCTGCAATGTAGCTAAACTTTTTGATTAGCCGGAGGATAGATAGCAGGTGTTGGGAACTATACAGCCGGTGCCTCGTATACAAGAAGCCAAAAACATTCAGAGAGTGTGACGAGGAATGAAAGCTGCCACTTATATTCTTCAATTTACAGCCCCTAACGCAAGCAGGCAAGCATATGCTCAAGCCCATTACATGAAGGGAGATATTTGTTTCATATGTTTGAAACCGTTTTGAGATGCAAACAAAGTAGAAGGGAAAGCTTCCTGGGCCTTCCTCCCACGCTGACCAGTTGCCTACCACACATGGCACCGGGCTTCTGGGCTACACAGGGCTGTCTGCTGCCAGTCCTTGACAGAACCGGCCTCAGGAGGCTCAGTGTCTCCTCGATGTGGTCTGGAAAAAGCAGTCATGGAGGAAGTTGACCTTTCGGCCTTGCATAATTTGGGTGTCGCTATTATAGGGAAGTCCGGTTTAGGAGCCAAAGCTCATTCCTGACTCTTGCTTTTTGGGAACTGGCAGGATGGAATAATTATAACTAATGTTTGGCTAGGGCTGGACAGTTAACAAAATACTTCCCCATCCTCCTTTACGCTGATAGCAGTGCTGTGGGAAGTCGTTATTATTACTACTTAATGGATGAGGAAACAAGACCTCCCATGACCTCCTAAAATGGAAAGGATAAATAAAGTCAAAGCTGGAGCTGAATCTAGCTCTTTTGACCCAGGGCCAGTGCCCTCCCCTCCTCAGCAGGGCTGAACCTGAACTCCCAGCCCTGTTAACACTGGTTCATTTCCTCACTTGAAAATGGGATGCCTGGGCCCTGCCACCTGGTTTTTTGACTCAGCTTTCCAACTAATTCACAGGTTAACTTGGACATATGCCTTCCCTTCCTTCTGCCTCTGAGGCCCTCCTTCCACAGATTGGTTTAAGAAAATATTGACATTGGCTATGGGATTAAGACATTTTGTTTTCTTAATAGAATCTCACATATTGCTATTGTAGGGACCTTGAAAAAAATTAAATAAATGTATTTTCTTTTTATTGAAAAAATAGTACATGGTCCTTCTTGACAAATGTAAACATTTTATATGCACAAAAATGGAAATACTTATATTCCCATTTCAGAGATAACTACTGTCAATACCTTGGTGTATATCCTTTCAGACATTTTGTACTTACCTATTTACACTTTATGTAAATATTAACATGACATAGCTACATAATCTATGTATGTAGTTAACTTGCTCTGTTTACATACCCAAAAACTCAAATGTATGCATTACACAGATATATGCATCTGAATACATGGGCAGACTGGGTATTGGAGAGAAACAACGTCCTGATTAGCAAATATATCATTGTTAATCTGAAGATGCTGGTATGGTTTCCCAGCATTGACTTTTTAGGCTATCTAAGACTCAGGCCCCACTTTCATGGATTCATTCATTTATAATCTGTTATATATCAGACTCTGTACTGGGACCTTTATATACATCACCTTTAGTGCTCATAGGAGCCTTATGAATTAGATATTATAATCTCCATTTTACTTCTGAGGAAACTGGGGCTCAGGGAGACTAGTTGCCCAAGTTTTCACAGTCAGTAAGTGAAAGAATTGGGACTTAAATCCAAGTACATTTCACTCCAAAGGGTGTGTCTAACGTAGTGCAATGTGATACCCACAATAATAGAGAAATGTGCAGGGAGCAGTGGCTTGTGGAGGAGTGAAAGGATACTCCATAGCTGGGAAGCTCTGAGCTGGATGGTGGAGGATAAGCAAGACAGTGGAGGATAAGTAGGTGAGGAGTGAGCAGGGCACATGCAATGAGGCTGGAATGGAAGGGCATGGTGTGCTCCCAGAATAACAGGGGGCTCACAGGGCTGGCTACTGAGATGAGGTGGGAAGGACAGATCAGCCAGATCAAAAGGGCCTCAACAGCCATCCCAGGAGCAGACGCTTTACCCTGCAGACACAGTAGAACAGTGTGGTCCTATCTGTGTTTGAGAAAATCAGCTTTGGCAGAAGACTGCTGGTGGGTGGGTTGGGGATATCAGTTAGGATGCTATAGCAATAAGCCATATAGGAGAATGTAAACTATGTAATTAACTGGAGAGGAGGAGAGATGGATTTCCAAAACACAGGAAGCAGAATAAGTAGGATGTGGTGACTCTTGACTCTGGGGTAAATGAAAAGATGAATGGTTAAAGTTCAGGCCAGGGAACTGGTTGATGGTAGTACCATGAACAGAAATCAGAAATGAGAGCAGGAAAAGATTAGGAGAGGAGTGATGAGGCAAGTTTGGGCCCATTAAGTTCAAGGTTACTGGACCTCACAGGGGAATCGGTCTGTTAGACAGAAGCCTGGTGTGGTGAGTACAGACTGACCAGAAGGGCTTTGACCAGCCTTAGTCATTCTGCCTCGTTATTGCGTCAGCCATGGTGACGTGCTCTGTAAGTTTTATTGAATTTTCCTTGTCTCTTTTGCAACTCTTTATTAGTCTATTATTTCTGATTCCTACAGGAATAAGTTGTAGGTTTTTGATCCTTTTACCAAGAGGAAGAAAACTTGCTTTGCTTATTCTTTCTTTATTAAAGATTTTGCATACTTTGACTGAGTTTGTGGTGAAATACCATTTTCAACGTTAAATCTGTTTAAGGTACTACAGATTCCATCAATGCATTTAAGCCTCACCCAGTATGATAACATTTACTTTTTCAAAAAGAGAATCAAGAGTTAAATGAAGCTGAGCTAAAGAAATATCAACTTTTACTTAATTATGAAAATTACATTTTCAACAGTAAAATGGAAATGTCAGACTCCCAAATGTGATACTTTCTAGGAGTTTAAGTTAACACTATTATCAGAGCTTTGAATGAGCAAAACCAGAAGAAATCTTAGAAATTATCTAGTTACTATATTCCCATAATACAGACTGAGGAGGCAAGGTCAGAAGGGGAAAGCTAATTACGGCAGGCCAGAGACAGAGACATGCTGAGATCTTGTTCTCCTGGCTGTGATTGAGATGAATGGCAGGGGCCTGTGTTTATAAATGTAAGTAGACCTACATTCATGTCTTTCAGGTGGCTGCTTCTCTATTATGCTCTGTGCTTCTCCCTGTCAAAGGCTTCAGCCCACACCGTGGAGCTAAACAATATGTTTGGCCAGATCCAGTCGCCTGGTTATCCAGACTCCTATCCCAGTGATTCAGAGGTGACTTGGAATATCACTGTCCCAGATGGGTTTCGGATCAAGCTTTACTTCATGCACTTCAACTTGGAATCCTCCTACCTTTGTGAATATGACTATGTGAAGGTGAGACTCCTGATGTCCCCTAACTGGGCCAGGCTCTCTTCTGGGATTTAGACAAGGCAATATGAAATTAGACCCTTCCAGGGTGGCATATAGTAAGAGAGACACACAACATCACAATGGTATGAATTCAGGTCAAGGTGGAAAGCTAAGTGCAAGCTGATGGGTAGAACTAGAAAGGTCCATGAAGGAAACTGAAGCTGATTGATAGAGTATGACTCAGCCCAACACAACATCCCTTCTTTCTTCCTGTTCTCAAAGCCTTTAGTGTTTCTACCAGCCTCTGTTCCAAGATCACCTTTAATTCAACAAGCAGAAAAGGGCAGAGACCTCAGAGTAAGCAGTAATCATGGAAAGAGAACCATAATTATGTCCAAAGTTGAGGCATTAGAAAGCATTGTCCAATTTCCCAAATAAAGATCAAGTATTTGGGAAGTGCAGGATATACAGTAGTAAAGAGTCAGAGATGAAGTAGGAAGGTGAGTGGAGGCGAGATTCTTAAGGGCCTTGAATGTCATGCCAAGTAGTTTGCATTTTATCAGCAAAAAGTGTGGGTAGGAAGGGGACGGTCACCATCAGAAGTAGATGTAAAAAGTAAATATGGGGGAAGAGCAGGACCACATCAAAACAATATACCCTGGAATTTAGAGAACCCCCCACAAAAAAAAAAATTCCATGGGTGGGAAGCTGTTCTTCTTTTAAAGTGAGGCTGAAAAAGGTCAGAATATTTCTAAGGGATCAAGTTTATTGCAGTTATATCTAGTTAAAAAAGACGTGGAGACCTAAGAACCTACCTTCTAAGCTCTCTCCAGCTTCCTGAAAGAGGTTCTCATCAAACAACTCTAGAGCATTTAGATATTTTTAGTATTATTGTAGACTCATTATTCCATAGCCAGTAATTCAACATGAATTAACCTTGTATTAACCAGAATATTTGGTCAACAGCAGAGAAGTGAGTTTACAAGGTGCTTTTACAATTATAATCTCAATCAAACTTTAAAACAATTTTGAGACAGGAGCCATGACCCCATTTCACAGGTAAAGAAGTAACCCAGGAAGGTTAAGCAACTCACCCAAGGTTGTACATCTGGTAAGTGATGGATTAAGGTCTCAAACCCATGCCTTGTGTTTTTGAATCACATGCTCTTTTGTCTACACCAAACAACTCCCAAGCTATTCTCCACTGAGCCTAAGATACAGCAGAGGCATACAAAGGCACTGTGCTTCCGCTTATTTTATATGTAGAGTATTGTCATTGTATATGTTGGGTCTGCCTGCAATGTCCCATTTACAATAGGTCTCTGCGTCTAAAAATTTTCCAAAATTGGTGTTCCATGGTAGGGATTTTTAACCTCAGCACTACTGATATTTTGAACCAGATCATTTGCTGAGAAAAGCTGTCTTGAGCATTGTGGGATTTTTAGCAACATCCCTAGCTTCTACCCTAACTAGGTGCCAGTAGCAGCCCCGGCCCCACCAGTTATGGCAATCATAAATGTGTCCAGATGTTGTTCAATGTCCCAGAACCACTGCTATATGGGATGATGCCCTCTTAGAATGCCCTGTGCTAGGGACGGTGGAAATTTTAGGACACAAAAGATCTGGTCCCTTAAAAAGAAAGATGAGTCTTGAAAATAGCCATTGCACAAGATAGAAAACAGTGATGGCAATAAAGACTAACTGATAAAGAATGAGAAAATGTGGAACTGGTTGCTCTAAGAGACAACGCGGATTGGTAATCTAGATGCGATTTCTACAAATTCATTAAAAATAGAACAAATTTCTCAGGGTCACAAGGATCAACCAGGGGGGTCTTCACTGAGGCCATGAGTATGTATCATCCTAAACTGAACTTTCTGACAAAAAGGCCAGTTACGCTTTTCAGGATAAAAGGGTTATCCAGAGTTAAACTCCAGGATAAGATGGATTGTAGGTATGGGTCCTCAGGCTAAGTGGAATCTCCCGGCCCATTCCCCCAAATAATGTTGGTCACAAAATCATGGCATTCTTTAGTATTTTGGTTGGAGAGTTGTCTTAACCGGAAGAAAAATTACCAAACACTGGTTTAATATGACAATAAGTTCCATGGATTTAGACAAGGCTAGATATGAACTTTCTAACCACATTTTTCTCTACTTTCAAACATGCTAACCATCTAGAAATTTTGTCAGTGCCAATAGCTTTTATTGGTACCTGAGGCTCAAGATCACAGAAATTATAGAATTTTTTTGCTCAGTTGTAGGGATGACTTCTTCTCATAATTTGCCCCCTCTCCTCCTTAAGATTTGACTCTTAACTTCATAGTCATTGAGAAACTCTTTCTCTTAAGTTTGATTCTTTTTCAGACAGAAGACAAATTTAACCTTGTTAGGTCTCCTTCATCAAGATGATAAACACACAAGAGAGGATTTAGCTCATTTCTTTGCTCCAAATAAGTGGAGTATCCAAGGAAGGCAGATGAAGCAGCTGACATAAAGCAGCATTTTGTTAATGGGAAAAAATGATGATACTTTTCAAGAGCAATAATATAATCTGAAGACCTCTTCTAACACTGAATTAAAGACACTGGAATAGATTTCTATCCAAAGCTTGACTTTCTTGGCTAGAGAATATTTTGGAAATTGGTTGATGGTTTCTATCTAGAGTGGTGAGACTCCTTCCTGAAACCACAAGTAGATGGACATGGGCCCTCTGGAAGGGGCAGCATGGTCCTGGGCCCTTACATGGAATTCAGGAAATGCCTTTTCTGGTCTCAGATCTGTCACTAACTCCCCAAATGACATGGAGTGGAGAAGAATATTATTTTACAGCACCCTCTCTGCTCCAAAATTAGACAGATGACCTCTGGGCATAACAGAGAAGTAGTCTACTTGAGGCAACTTAGGGACTGAGCTGCCTACCTGAAGTGCCCTACAGTCCTTGCATCTGTGAGTTGGGACAATTTTCCAGTTCCTTTCAAAGAAGAGATTAACATGGTGGCGGCGGGAGGTGAGATAGACTTCTCCACTTGTGCTTGCACAGCTGACTCTCTTCCAGAAGGCCACCCTAATGTCAGCATTAGCCTTCTGCAGAGGTTCCAACAGCCGTGGGGCACCAGCAGGCCTCCCCTCTGCAGGATGCTGCATGCTAGTTGGCTGACTACTGGTGCTCATGTGGAAACCACCCTGTGCCCCTGCCTACACACACCCAGTGAGTTGCCCTCCTAGAGCTGAGAACTCACAGAATGTCAGGCTGCAGGGGCCCTCTGGGGACGCATCTCATCTTAAGTTGTGGTTTTCAAATATATTCTCCCCAGTACACGTTTTCTTCTTCTTCTTTTTTTTTTTTTTTTTGAAACGGAATCTTGCTCTGTTGCCAGGCTGGAGTGCAGTGGCGGGATCTCGGCTCAGTGCAAACTCCACCTCCCGGGTTCAAGTGATTCCCCTGCCTCAGCCTCCTGAGCAGCTGGGACGACAGGCACATGCCACCATGCCTGACTAATTTTTTGTATTTTAGCAGAGACGGGGTTTCACCATGTTGGCCAGGATGGTCTTGACCTCCTGACCTCGTGATCCTCCCACCTCGGCCTCCCAAAGTGGGTTACAGACGTGAGCCACTGCACCCGGCCCACATTTTCTTCTTGAAAATCTTCAGTTAGGCCCAACGTAGAGAAGAGACAGAAGTGAGCTGCTCTAGCTGAAGGTGGTTTTGCTTGCTCATCCTTCTTGGTTACCCTGAAGCACCTTGAGGGATTATGGCTTGAATCTTGCTGCTCTGGCCACATTCCTATTGGACAGAAGAGGAGGTCAGAGTTCAGAGAGTGGGTGAGCAGTCTGCCTCTGAAATCCCAAACCCAGAAGTCTTACACACTGAGTTGAAACCCACTGACTTTTTCTAATCGCCTGGCCAATGCTAGCCCCTAGCATATATGCTTTTTCTGGCTATAAATGGAAGAGAAGCTTTTCCCTTTCCATCTGAATAAAAGCGCAAATATGCCATGTGGCCCCCAGGTAAATCCACATCCCTCTCCAAAATTCTGTTTTTTCCTCTGTTCAGTGAGAGGATGGAACAAGATGATCCCCATGGTCCTTTCAATTCTGGAATTGTAATCCCAATCCTCCTCACCAGAACTTCCAAGATGACCCCACCAAACACTCCTTATCATAGTCAGGATAACACCAGAAAACAGAAATCGTATGTTTACAGCAGCTGCTTCTCAATGTTGCATAACTGCAAGCACTCCAGTAGGAGCCTGCAGCCTGCTGGGGATGCCTTGGTGGTATGTCATCACAGAACTTGTAAACATATCATGCCAACACTGTTCTTTACCAAGAAACTTAAAATATCACTGACTTGCCTTTGACAGGATAAAATTCCCTGTTTTGAGGCATTTTTCCTCTATGACTAAATTCTCCTCACAGGCCTACATAGGAGTAGGTTTAAGAAACCTTCCAACTCACAGGAACATTTTCCAGCCCAGCCCAACCCCGCAAGCTGCCCTTCCCACCCAGGCCCATAGGGGCGATGATGATGGAACTGCTCATACTGCTCATCAGTAGCCTGAAGAAGAGCAGGACTCCCAAGTCTGTGGTCCGGATGCTCACATTTATGAAAATTCCTCTCCTGCCTGATTTCCCACAGTTCTTGGTCTTCAAGACTCATGCACATCTGCACAGCAGCATCTGCTTCCTTGGCATGTGGCTGCAATGTTTAGATTCCTGTAGTGTACGGATGAGGCATACGAATCAAGGCTGGTTAATGCTGCAGGCAAGAGGCAAAGCACAGATACTAGTCAGGGAGTCAGGCAGCCTGGGTCCTGGGTGTCATTCTATACTCATTAACCTTGGGCAGATGACTGCACCTAAAATGGACTCTGTTTCCTCCTCTTTCAAATACAAACGGTTAAACCAGATGGTCTCTAAGGTCTACTTTGCCTTGATGTTCTGTGCATCTAAGACCTTAGAAATCATGATCCAACCCCATGATCAACATGTCCAAAGTCCAGGGAAGGGCAGTTGATTGGCCAACATCATGCTTGTATTAGAATTTACATCTTAAGATTCTCAGTCTTTTCTTCTATTTATTTAACAGAATTATTTAACAGATTAAAAAACAGCAAAGTCCCATCTTGTGAATGACTAGTTTTTATGTTGTAACATAAGACAAATATTGTCTCTAGTCAAACTTACCATTAAAAAATCCCTTAAATATTGCAAAGCATTATCTTTTAGATGCCCAGAAAAGAATTTTTTTCCAAAAATGCAAGAAATTAAAGTTCCTTTGGTTGAGCACCAGATGAAGTGGTCCATTTATACTTACAAAGAAACTATGAAGCTATAGTTATGGAGAGAGTCTAGATAGTTAGAAACCAGAACCAACAAGAGAACAGCAGATTACACGTTCCAATTTCAAGTTCATTTCATGGCATCTATTCACTGTAAAAGGAAGCATAAATCATCTGCATTTGGATTGCACTCTCTTTCTTTCTTTCTCTTTATGTCACCATGTGTAATATTTTAATAGCATCTGTGACATGTTTATGTAATGCAATGCCACTGTTCTCCTTTTAACCCTATATCCTTGATGTATTCGACATTTCTTCCATCCTCTCCACTGCTAATTCCTTAGTTCCAATTCTTATTCCTCTCAACTAGTCTATTGTAATAGCCTTCTATATGTCTACCAGATGTCAGCCTCTCCCCATCTAGCCTACCTTCTATGAGTATCCAGAAGGATCTTCTTGGAACATAGCTTTGATTATGCTACTCTAAAAATCTTTCAATGCCTCCCCATTGTCTATGGAATGAAGCACAGTAATCCTATTGAAAATCTACCATAAGCTGGACACTATGCCAAAGACTGGGTCTGCAAAGATCAGTAAAAAGAATTCTTCGAAGTAAAATGAACTATAAAGTCCTCAAGGAATTCACGGTTCCATAGAATATAATGAAATAAGTGCATAATAAAGCCAGACAAAGTAACACAAGGGTTATCAGTCAGTATATAAGTTTGGGAGTGGTCATTTTTAGATGGCCAGGGAGGGCTTTGGAAATAGTTGATGTTTGAGATTAGTCTTTAGAGGTAAATAATAATTTGGCAGTGCAGTTCTCTAAGTAGGATTTCTTAGCAGAGCTACCATCAAAGCAGGGAGGTTGAAGAGGATGGGAATGATGCAAAACTGAGAATAATCAGAGTTGGCATGTTTTGGGGAGACGTAAAGCCCAGAAAGGTTATCTGAGGGTCAACTGAGAAATGTTTGGTAAATTTGGGTTTAAGCATGTGCTCCCCAAATCACATACGTGTGGTCAAAGGTTGAATTAATTTCACAGATGGATTTTGTTGGCCAGCCTAATATTAACTTATACTATGATTTGGGGGTGTAAAAAAAAGAAAGAATTATGACAACATAAAATTTCCGATCTCACACAACAATCTGCATTTCCAAGTTCTCTTAGAATATTAGAAAATCTGGCAACTCTTGCAGCTTCCTGCCTTCAACAATCAGCCAACACCAGGAAGAGGTGGCCTTGTGGGTAGGGTCCCCACCATTCTCTATAGCTCCCCCATGCTAATGCTTTCTGGCCTCTTAATGGCACCATTGCTGATTTTACAGTAAAGAAAGTGAATCATTTTTCCCCAGTGTCTCTATCAAAAGTAGAAAAGTTGAAAGTTCTTGAGAAAGACACGTATTTCAGGAAAAATTTCTTTGCAGAGTGAAGAATATCCCTCTGTATTTAACACGCAAAGTGTATATTTCTGTCTAAAGAATTCATAGCAGCTTGTTTCACTCATTTATGTTTTCTGCCTGGCATCTTTTAGCATTTTAGTCTAGGACGTCCAATTAGAAGCTGTGATGTGGCGGAGGGGTGGGGCAGTGGGGTTCGGGGATGTGACACAGTCGAGGGTATGCTTGAGGAAGGTTAATCTGGAGCTACATGAGGGATGTCAAGGACTAGTAAAGTCAAAATAAACTGGAGCTGCTGAATGAGGCCATTTAGGTGGCTGTGCTAAATAGATTGGATATGACTATGTGGAGCGTAGTATACTTCAAGAAAGCCCACAGGCCTCCTGGACAGCTATGGAAGAGCAGGTAGGATGTGCAGAGGTAAACTCCACAGGAACTGGCTGCGTATGGGAGAGGAAAAAGGAGGAATCAGAGGCTTTAAGCCCCAGTTATGACAACTTATTGGCTACTTACCCAGAAATTGAGATCAGGAACGTGAAGATGTGTAGATTTAGAAAGATATAGAGTGCACTGAAGTGCATTGAGTTTTGAATACAGCTGGAAATGCTGGTCTAAATTTTGAGACAGAGCTTAAAGAGTCGTAAGAGTGGGTGTAGAAAGAGCACAGAGACAGTGATGGAGAGAGGATTAACACAGTGAGGATTAAATTCTGTCTCTGCCACCATCTGAGTGAGGAACCTTGGTGAAGCTCCTTGATCTCCCTCAGCAATGGTTTTGTCATCAGTTGAAAGGAAGAGTTCCTAATGAATACAACGTCTTCCTCACAGGTTGTGGGAGGATTTGAATGACATGAGGGTCTAAGTGGAATCAGTACTGCAAAACGCAGTTGTGCTCAGTGGTTGGGAGCTCAAACTTTGGAGTCATTCAGACCCAGCGTCAAGTCTTGCCTCCACTTCTTACTGGAGCAGTTGCTTAACCTTGCTAAGATTTTCTTCTCCATCTGTAAAATGGAGATAATAATGATGCTTATTTCATAGACTTACTGTGAATGCCAAATGAAGTAAATGCTTTAATGTCATATGTCCAACACATCTCTAATTAGCTCAAAAGTACTATTATAGTGGTAATGAAGGCAATGGTATGAGTAATAAAGTGTCTGCCTGGTATCACCAGATGTTCAATGAATGTCAGTTTTCTTATCAACTCTGACCCTACCACTGACTGCCTATGTATGACCTTGCTAATGTTACTGAGTTTTTTCTAGCAATTTATGGAAAAGTGCTTCCAAAGCACTATTCGAAAGCAGGAGGTTATTTATTTCTCCTTTGTATTTACCTTGTAGAAACACACATTTTACAGCAGTTTCTAATCTATTAACTCATTTGATTCCCATGGAATAGGAAGAGCACGGATTATTGCACCTAATTTACAAAAAAGGAAACAGGTACAAGTGAATTTGTTCAAGTCTCTGCAGGAAAGCCAGGCTTGAATCCCTGCTCTTCTAACTCCCCAAGTCATGGTTCTGTGTCTCCATGCAGCCTTCCTCAGAACAGGCTTTACTGTGGAAGGGGTCCTGTTGTGTTTCCTGGCCATGCATTATTCCTGAAACAATACTCTATTTGTCAAGATGATTTCATAAAATTTAGTAAAACAGAAGGTCCTTGAGGGTCCCTATATTGTCTAGATTATTTTAAATAACGTTCTCTTTTATCCTTTGAGAGAAAAAAATGTTTTTTAAAAATAATAGAAAATGGAGTCTGAACTACAGTGAATCTGCAAGTGCTTGTATCATCTGCTTGTAGTACATCCTTTCTGATGAGCTCAAGCTCATTCCCACTAGATTGCCAGCCCCATGAGTTCAGGGCCTATGTCTGTGTTTTCTCCAGTAGAAAGCACAGTCCTGGGCAGAACAGGAAAAGGCACATGTCTCCTGGCAGTGGAAAGGGCTCTGGCCTAGAAAACAGCTGCTGACTCCTGCTGAGAGCTTGGGCAAGTCACGTCTTCATTCAAGGCCTCAGTTTCCCCATCTGCCTGATGAGGGAACTGGACCAGCTGGCCTCTCCAAACCCTTCCAGTTCTGATGGTCTGTGACTCCCAGTCCAATGCCCCTTCCCTCAGGCCACATTGGGTCAGTCTGCATCCTGCTGTGTAATTGAGAGGTAAGTCGCTCCCAAGTGGGACTCTTCTGACCCCTAAGCTCCTAATTTCTGTGCAATGCTCTGTGTTTACTTAGAACATGCCCTCGACCTTCCGGCTGAACTCATTTCACCTACTGCATAACTCTGCTCATTCTCTGGGAGTGGACAGGAGGCCTTGGCCCCAGAAGGAAATGAGAAATGGGTAAACATTTCTCATGAATTTCAATTGTAGTCTCCGGTGGAATTCTCCCACTCCAGAGACACCAGGACCCAAACACCAATTCTAGCTTATTCAGAAGAATTAGAAAATGAAAATGAGCTTGCTTCAGGAAAGTGTAATGAAAGCTCATTTTATGCCAAAAGTGCAAACAGCACAGGCTTCAGGGTGATGGAAAACAAAAGGAAGCTCGCAGTGCTGAGGAAGAGCATGTGGGTGAGTGTGAGCTGGGAAGGTCCCAGGTGTGGGTGCACATGGGGTGCATATCTCTGTGCTTGAGTATATTACAGGTTGCTGTTGAAAACACCTTGGTGAAGAGCAGTGCCTGACTTTACTTCGATGTGCTTATAAAGGGAAAAGTTAAGGGACGAAGAGGTATTCATTTATTCAACAAATATTCATCCAGTGCCTACAATTTATTAGAGCTTAGGGTACAGCAGTAATTAGAACAGATAGAAATCTCTGAAGTGAGGCTTACATTGCACTGGGATAAACAGACAATAAACACTAAACATAATACATAACTAAATTATGTACTAAGTAATAAGTTTATGGACAAAAATAAAATAGAGCAGGGCTCTGCATGAGTTGAGATGGGGGCTCTGATTTAAATATGGTGCTCATTGAGAGAGTGACATTTGAGCAAACACTTGAAGCAGGTAAGGTTAGCCATGTGGCTTTCTTGTTGGGGGGGCTACCCTGGGGGGCACTTTAACCAGAGGGAACATTCAGTGCCCTCAGGTGGAAAGTGCCTGGTGTGTTTGAAGAATAGCAAGGATGGCAGTGTGGCTGGAGGGCAGGAACATGAATGAAGACTGAGAGGTACAGATGGGGGGCGGGATGGGAGACTGGAAAACAGGGTTCCTGTTAAATGCTGCCAGCCAATGGCAGGCTTTACAAGCTGCTTTCATGCCCCGAATCTCATTTGACCTGATGCTCAGAGTATTAATGTCCACTTTTTACGTTTGTGAAAACTGTGCCCTGGAGACAGGGGCATGGGTGCTAACAACCAGATTGGGGGGTGGGGGCAGGGAATGGGGGCAAAGAGATGCGCAGTGGCTTATCATTCGACATTCAGATAGCACAGACACAGAGAGCCCGCAGAGCATAGAGCATAGAACAATCACATAATTAGGAAGTAATGAGTTTTCACAGAACTGGTTTTCATAGAACTGGTTTCTAATAGAATGTACTTAATTTTAAGTTTATGAAACTTGATGATGGCTGGATTTAACAACAGGGTAGCAAAATCTCTGAAAAGCTGACAGTTGGCTCTTATAAACTGGTGTGAGCTGCCGGCTCCAGCACACCTACCGCCTGGGGAGGTTTAAGTGACCCCTGAGGTATGAGTGGCAGAGCTATGACAGTTGGTCCTTATTCCAGCACTCTTGTAGGATTTCTGTGCAAAGATTTGAGGATATAAGTTTAGCCTGAGTCAGGGCAAGGTCCTGGGCAGTGTCACAGGAACACAGCAGCTCACAATCCTTGAAACTCTGCTGGAAGACACTGGCCCAAGGCGGCCCCTTCTGTCCACTCAGCACAAGCCTCATCACTGCCTTCACCCACGTCCTGGCTATGACACACCTGGAGCCACGCAGCTTCTGCCGCAGAAGAACACAGCAACCCTTTGTGTTTCCCATCCTCAGGCTATTTTCCCGTCCTGAACTGTTTGGGGCCCAGCCTCCAAGTTGCTGAAGGGATTTGCATATGAATGAGCTCAGCTCTGGAGTCCCAGAAGGGGTGAGGTGGGGGAGTCTGAGCCATTCTCAGGCCAAACAGTGCCAATCCTCCCTGGCTCTCCCTCCCAGACACAATTCCAGACTCTTCCCTCCCACCCCACCCCCCAAGCCCAGCTCCCTCTGAGACGGTGGGCACTGCTGGTTTCCCACCTGCGGGATGCCCGCTTCCCAGGCTCTTGGCAGGACCCCTCCCCTGCCAGCTCTTTCTTCTCCCTCTGCTCATGCTGCCCTTTTCTGTCCAGAGCCCTCCCGAGAATGGGCAATCCTTCCTGGCAGCAGTGGGATTCTTGGACTCTTAGGACCTGCCAGCTGTTTCTCTGGCCCCCACCAGCTGTTTCTCAGGCCCCCACATTCTTTATGGCGCCAAGCATTTGCATGTACACAATACCTGCTTAGGGGCTCACTCAGCTCTGTTAGGAGGTTTTCACCCTAATTAACAAATAAGAACACCATCCTGGAAAGAGCAGTGCACCTAGGCCCCAGTACTGGCTCTGCCATTGACTGACTTTGAACAAGTCTGTTCCTCCGCCAGGTATAGACTTGAGGTCTTTTCATGTTCTTTTCAGCTCTGACCTTTGCTCTGGCAGGTGGCTTATCAGCTGTGTGATTCCAATTATTGAGCCAAACCTGGATGTCAGAACATCCTGATGTTGTCTCAGGTCTGCTACTTGTAGGCTATGTGGACTTGGGGGAGTCATGTCACCTCCATGGACTCAGAACTGTCTCCCTGAAGTGCACTCACTACATGACTGCCATTAGGAGCAAATAAAATAGAGAAGGTAAACGTGCCCTGTCAACTGGAAAGTTCCACATAGAACAAGGAATTATTATCATCATCATTATTTTTATTACTTTTTTTTTTTTTATGGAGTCTCGCTCTGTCACCCAGGCTGGAGTGCAATGGCACAATCTCTGCTCACTGGAACCTCTACCTCCCGGGTTCAAGCGATTCTTGAGCCTCAGCCTCCTGAGTAGCTGGGATTACAGGTGCCCGCCAGGACGCCCGGCTAATTTTTGTGTTTTTAGTGGAGACAAGGTTTCACAATGTTGGCCAGGCTGGTCTTGAACTCCTGACTTCATGATTTACCCACCTCGGCCTCCCAAAATGCAGGGATTACAGGCATGGGCCAAGGTGCCTGGCTGATTATTATTACTCTTTTTTTATGGCCGAAAGACTTGAGCCAGGACTGGAGCATCAACCTCCAGAACCTCTCATTTGAAGTCAACTTGAGCTTAGATCTGCCAGCTGTGTTATTTTTACTTTACATGGCTTTCAAGAGTTTCTGAAGTGCAGCACACACATGCAAACACATACCAGATGCCTCCTTCGTTTCTAGACCCAAGTTTCTATCTGGTATCAGGTGCCTTTAACTTGCTTCTACTCAGATCACTGACTGAAATTAAAGCTACCTGGTGAAGTAGCAGGACTGGGCCATTAACCACTGGCCCAGCAGCTGGGAGTGATGGACTTTCCGTGAAGGTGAGCTCAGGAGTACCGAGCTCGCACAATGAGCAGGAGTCAGCCCGGGGCTGTCGGTGAATCATTGGCCTACGGCTCACGCATCTAGGAAAATCTTTTGAAGCACAGCAAAGTAAAGAGAGAAATTCCTAGACTTAATGCCATCTTCTTGTGGACAGAAGCCTTTAGAGATCCCTCACTTTGCTCTGATCGTCTTTCATAACTTAAGAGTACCCTTTTGATGTCTCTCAGCCCCAGGACTGTTAGAAGGCTTTGTAAAGTGCAAAGAGCCAAACAGCTAATATGCCACCTGCCAGAGGAGGAGGCTGGGCTGGGAGGTCTCTCTAGGTGCCCTTCCAGCTCTATCAGCCTGGGTTGTGAATCCTCACAAAAGGGGAAACCACTGCTGATGGCTTCAGCGAGATTAGGAAAGGAGTGAAATGGAGAAATAGTATCCAGGGACAATCTCAGCTTCTTAATGTTCTCCAAATGCATGAAGTGACCCTTGCCCCACTAGCTGGGAGCCAGAACGTGTCATCTCAGTTGGTGGATGGATCTCAGCAGTCCTGTTTTTCTCATTGATGTACTGAGTGCTCAACGTATCCCGGGCACTTTTCTGAGTGTTTTATGTATATCACCTCCCATCCTATTTACAACAGTTCTGTAATATAAATAGGATTATTTTCACTATTTTACATATGAGAAAAACTATATACAGAGAATATTAGTTTCCTAGGACTTCTGTAATAAATGTCCACAAACTAGGTGGCTGTTTAAGTTGTTAAATTTCTTAACAACAGAAATTTGTTCTCACGCAGTTCTGGAGGTGAAAAGTCTGAAATCAAGGTGTCTGCAGGACCATGCTCCTTCTGAGGGCTCCAGAGGGGGATCCTTCCTTGCCTATTCTAGCTTTCTAGAATAGGCAGTTGTAGGCGGGCCGTCTTTGGCACTCCTTGGCTAGTGGCAGCATAACTCTAATCTCTGCCTCTGTCTTCACATGGCTGTCATCCCTCTGTGTGTGTCTCTGTGTCCAAACTTCCCTCTTCTTATAAGGATATCAGTCATTGGGTTAGGGTCCACTCTAACCCTTTGTAGTGTCATCTTAACTTGATTACATCTGCAAAGACCTGTTTCCATATAAGGTCACATGCAGAGAAACAGGGGTTAGGACTTGAACATGTATTCTAGGGGGACACAATTCACCCTACAGTACAGAGAGTTTAAGTAATTTTTCCAACATCTAATCATTGGAGAAGATCATATAAAAATGAGATGCCCCAATAAGTAAGGCGTTGCATCCTAAAGAAACAGAAAACCTAACAAATTGAAAACAATTCACAATTTGACTCACTCTTGAGAAGTCAACAAAGGGCACAGATGTTCTTATTGCAACCTTTCTTGAACATCTAAGATCTGTCTTTCTTCTCTTTTTCTGTCTCTCTCCCTTTCCTGTCCTTTAGGTCTTCATGAACTCTGGACTAAGAAACTCTTCTCTCTCCCCTTAGCCATCCACTTACACCCACCTACTCACTCCTTGGACTTCACAGTCACAAAAACTGTCCCCTGACATGAGACCCTCCCTGCCATACGCTGCCATCTGTGAGTTTTAGGTATTCTGAGTTTCTTGATATTTTCTCAGAATTTTACTTTTCACCTTATTGTTTATGAAGCAAAGATCTCTTTTTCAACTCTGTTGCGACCCAAGGGCTAGAGAAATGAGAGGAGGTGACAGAGTGCTGAGGAGTTCCCACGCCATGTTCTGTGATGAAGGGAAGACAAGGGGGGAGGAGGGTGATAGCAGATGAATGACCCTGCACTTCCAGGCTAGTTAAGTTGCCCTTCCTGTGTGCTCCCCTTGTTTGTTGACTGGAATTAACCAATTTTATACCATGGGGTGGAAGCTAGAGGGAAGCAGCTTTGAGCTCAAGTTTCTTTTTAAATGTAAAAAGAGAAGAAAAAGAAAAATTACCTATAGTTCCACTAACCATTGCTAACAGTTACTCTAATTCCTTCTACTTTTTATTTTCAATGCGTACTTTCAACATAGGTATAATTATACCATATATACTATTTTTTCTGCTTTTTCACTTAATATTGCCTCCTAAGAATATTTCCATATTGCTATAAACCCTCGATTAATGTGATAATTAATGGCTGCCTTGTATTTAGAAGTTAATGCTAACTTATTTCTCTAGAAAAGGATATTTACAGTTATTTCTAATATTCTAATATCATATGACTGCTATAAATATCTTTGTTTATAAAAGTTTTTTTCCACATTTGGAATATTTTTCCCTAGGTTATATTCCCAGATATGGAACCAACAGATAACTTTCAAAGTCAAGGATAATCCAAAACAGCCTGATCTATCTTGGAAGATACTGAGTTTCTCATCCCTGCAGCTGATAGTGAAAAGGTGGTATGATATTTGCTAAGGGTGTGGTAAAAAGATAATAAGTTAGACTAGGTGACTTTTGAGGCCCCAGAAACCCATGAGATTGTGGTTCTCCAAATTTCAATTTACAAACGTGAGCCTATTCTTTGTCCCAAATCACTTTCTTACTTGCTATAAAAGTTATCTATTGCTGTGTGATAAACCACTCCAACACTTAGCAGCTAAAACAATATCCATTTTGTTTGCTTATGATTCTGTGGTCAGGCGTTTGAGCTGGGCCCAATGAGATGGTCCTTTTGCTGGATTAGCCTGAGGTCCTTCATGCAGCTACAGTTGTTCAGAGGCATGTCTGAAGGTCATCTTTGGCCTTAGTTTCTCATCTGGTAGCTGATAGTGAATGCCAGTGAATTGGTCTAGACATTTTAATCAGATGGTTCATCTCTGCCCTATGTGGCCGCTGAGCCCTATGGCCTCACAGGGCTTCTTCACACAGTTGCCTCAGGGCAGTATTCCACATGTGAAAGTGTTAAAGAAAAAATTATTCAATGACACTTGTTAAAGTGTGGTAAGGCAGACTTTATTCAGGACAGGGATGAAAAGGATAGGGACCACGGCATGGGATTTTTGCAGTGAGGGAGAGAGATTGGGCTCTATTTTGAGTATAGCATGGGCAAGTGGGGATTTATAGCCAGGGAGCATGGTGGTGGTCAGTGGATGTTAAATTACTAATGGGAAACATCAGGGGTAAGAGGGGTTCTAGCTAAAATGACCTAACAGGATTCTTGCTGGTGACAGGCCAAGATGATCAGACAGCACCCGTGGGGATGGTGGAGGATGAAGATCCCAATTGGAACTCTAGGGTGAAAAGATTTCAGGGATGGGGCGTTCTTGCTGCACTGATTCAGCAAAGATTTTGCTAAAACTGAGTTTTACAAGGAAGTGCACAGATGAGTTGAGGAGACGTTTCAGAAGCCTGACTAAAATTTGGCTAAGCAAAGAATCTTTGTTAATAGCTGCAAGGTCCCTTGAGGCCTAAATTTGGAAATAGTATACTGCTTTTAACGCATCGTATACTTGTTGTCAGACCAAGTTAGGCCAATCAATGAGCAGTGAAGTTACATTGCAGAATTATCTGTGTGCAGAAATGGAAGAAAGTATTGTGAATAATTTTTGCAAACAATGTATTATTATCTATCTTAGGGACAAAATAATTCTTGTCCTTTGCATATGTGAAATGTGCTTTTGCCCCTTCTCTCAAAGTTTTATCCCATTAGCCGTTCAGGCTTGAACTCCAGGACCTCATGATCTAAATCATGTCTAGAATTAGATGACACACAAAGGTATAGCTCTTGAAGTATATCTCTTCTTGATCTAGAGATCTCTGAACCCAAAAGAAAAGTTATTTGCTCTCCACATGCTCAATATCTCCTTGTCTTGGTGAGAGAAGAATAAGATAACCACAATAGAATTTCCATTGAAAAATGGAAAAAATGAGAGGCATATAGCAATTACTGCTCCATAGTAATTCTGAAATTTAGCCAGGCACATGTTGCCAACTCCAGATACCAAGAATGTTCCTTGATTAGAGCCCAGTTCTGCTTCCTTGGAGGGGTGAGAGTGGATCCCCAGTCCATTGCTCTCTGGGAGTGGTGAGAGTGGCTCTTGCCTCTGATCTTGACTCTGCCTCTGGCTTCTTAGCTTTGTCTTCTGAGACATTCTTTCCTTTCTGTAAGAAATGGCCCATGTTTGTAGCTGAGTAGTCTATTCAGTTCGCTTTCTGTACATAGAAACCTGAGGCTCAGGAGCCTCTTTTCATTTTGAATTGCCACAGTCATTTCTAGTCCAAGCGGATATAGCTCCCTTAAAATCTTTTTGGGTCTCCAATGTAGCAGAATATAGTTCACTCCACTAGATGAAAAACATATCCACAATTCTTTTCAAAATAGGTCTTCCTACTTTGAAGGGCATGTCAGGGTGCTACAGAATAATGCTCTTAAGATTCTTAGGTGCCTTGTGGTCTGGCTGATAGGGAGTACTGGGTACTGCCTTAAATCTTCTAGGTCTTAACAAATGATTCTTACAGTCACACCATTGATTTGACATTTACCCTGAAGCCATTTTTGGTTTTAAAATCTTTTTTTTTTTTTTTTTGAGACAGTGTCTTGCTCTGTTGCCCAGGCTGGAATGCAATGGCATGATCTCAGCTCACTGCAACCTCCGCCTCCCAGGTTCAAGCAATTCCTCTGCCTCAGCCTCCTGAGTAGCTGGGACTACAGGCACACACCACCACGCCCAGCTAATTTTTGTATTTTTGGTAGAGATGGGGCTTCACTATGTTGGCCAGCCTGGTCTCGAACTCCTGACCTTGTTATCCACCCACCTTGGCCTCCCAAAGTACTGGGATTACAGGCGTAAGCCACCACACCCGGCCTTAAAATCTTTTACTAGTGGATAAACTGTTTTCCAACCCAGCTAGTTCTGGGCCCTCTATATTTCCTCTAAGTTCTGCTCACATATTGAAGACTTACTTCTTCCTGAAGTACATTGCCATACACAACCAGAAGTACACACTGACACTTTCAACATTCTGTCTAGAGATCTCCTTAGCCAGATATGCAAGTTCACTACATACAGTCCTTCCTTTCTTTTCTTTTCTTTTCTTTTCTATTTTCTTTTCTTTTCTTTTCTTTCTTTCTTCCTCTCTTTCTTTCTTTCTTTTTCATAGACAGAGTCTCGCTCTGTCCTCTGTTGCCCAGGCTGGAGTGTAGTGGCATGATCGTGGCTCACTGCAGCTTCAACCTCCCAAGCTCAAGTGATCCTCCCACCCCAGCCTCCAGGGTAGCTGGGACTACAGGCACATGCCGCACCACCACACCTGGCTAATTTTTGTATTTTTTGTAGAGACAGGGTCTTGCTATGATGCCCAGGCTGGTGTTGAACTCCTGGGCTCAAGTGATCCTCTCACCTTGGCCTCCCAAATTTCTGAGATTACAGGTATGAGGCATCACACCTTGCCCATTACATACATTTTTCTACCTTCTAAGTTGCCGCAGACAAGTTTTGCCAATTGATTCACCATTGCATTATTCAAGTGGTCTGTTTTAGACTCCTATAGCAGTCTCTTCACTGTTTTTCTAGAATTTACTTGCTAGCCAATCCTAAAACTGAAGCCACATATTCTAGTTTTTTGTTACTGCAGCATTCTACTTCTGGTATCAATAACTATTTCAGTCAGACTTCAATCAGGAAAGCAAAGTCTTTATGAGTAATGTGAGATAATGAATATTTATGGGTATTAGAACTCGTAATTATAGAAGGAGCTGGGCAAGTAAAAGTTGGAAATGGGGATTTAAAGGATTAGAGAAAAGGTCACCAAGCAGTTCTCTTAAAGCCCTGGCATGGGTGGAAATATTGGCATCTGCAAGGGAATCTGATAAGTCAATTCTACCTAAGGGGCCAAAGTGCAACAATGAAGGGGAGGCTCATGGAAAAGGGTCTCTGAGAAGCTGTTGGCTGTAAGCAGCTACCACCTCTGTGGTTTCACCTGAAAGTATCTGATGATAGGCATGGGCCACTGTTGGTCATCAGAGCCAGTAGTTATAAAGAGCCGGGTGCAGAGTAGAGGAACGTGAGAGCAAGTGAGGATGTGTTGGACACATCTACACATTTCTTTCTCTGTATGTGATTACAAAACAGCCTTCAGTGAGTAATGACTATTGCCTTTCAAACTTGCACAAATTCCTCTTTTGGCCAACTCTAATCTAGAACTATACAGGGAAAGAAAGTCTGGGGAACGTAGCTCCCAGATTAACTAAACTGGCAACAGGGTAATCCAGCATACTCCCTAAATGTCTGCCTAAATTAAGTCTGCAATGCTCCTCAAGGGCCCTGAGCAGATTTCAGAAAGGCTCCAGGAGATAGCTCGGGAACATTGACAAACAAAGTCATGAGGCATTTGGGTTATAAGACAGCCTTTGTTTATTTGCCTAATGTCTTGAGGAGCACTGGCTAGGGAATCAGGATGCTGCAATTGTGGACCTGGATCCACCACTCACTAGATTCATTTATCATGAGATTCATTCACCACTCACTAGATTCACCAGTCACCTTGCCCAATTTGTTCAAATTATCTGGGCTTCAATTTCCTCATCTATAAAAGGAGAGCAATCCCCCCTGGGCTGCTTTCTCTATACATTGCTTTGAGGAGCCAGTTGGTAGCTGTCAATGCATTTGTTTAGCTGATGTAATGAATTTATGGACATGCAGAGAGCAGCCATACATAGCGAGAGTAGCTGTCCTTCCCTAGAGTAGCTGTTCTTCCATAGAGTAGCTGTCTTCCCATAGAGTAGCTGTTCTTCCATAGAGTAGCTGTCCTTCCACAGAAATTTGGCCAATCCCAGCTGCCCTGCCATAGTTTTGCCTAGCAGGTTTGTGCTGTTTCTGCTGAGGTAGAAAACTCATAGAAACCAAAGCCTCTTGGCTTCTCCTTATCAGATGTGCCTTCCCAGCTCTCTGTCCTTAACAGAGCCCCTTTCTGACGCCAGGTAATGGGTAGTGGGGAGGAGCAGCTGAGATTTGAATACCCCAGGCCTTCACTATTTCCTCTCCCTACATACTCTACCCACCCCCTACCCTCCATCTATGATTTCTACCTGCCTACATTCTATTCACGTTTCAGTCTCCAGCTCAAAGATTATTCTCTTCTTCCTAAATGTTTTCTGATTTCCCTCAGCTGGATTCAATCTTTTCCATTCCTTAAACCCCCAGGGCAGCCCATCTTTGATTGCATTTACGATACCCTGAGAATACCCCAACACATATACCTTTGAGTACTTATCTTATTCTTCTACCAAGTGTCACATTCCTAGAGGCAGGGAACTTGCTTATTGAGCTCGTATAACAAATAAATAATTTTTGGCACCCTTCACATTAAAGTGTAGACAGAACTTAGTACACACATATTTGGTGAATTGAGTTGAAAGAAAACAAATTGAGGACATACAGCCACATGTTGGTGTCCTAAATAACAATAGTCTCTAAGGACATAGTCGCCCACAAGAAGAAATAGAAAAATGAAGAGTTTATTATTCGCAGCCACATGGGTCTCCATTATTATGAATGTTTTGTCTTCACTTGATAAGGTCCCTCCATCATGTTGATATGATGACCTCTGAGAGGGGACAGTCCAAATAGAAGCTAGGTCTCAATCTGCCTATACTCAGAGGTAAATGATCTTTATAGAACTCCATATTCCACAGCACAGGATGCAAATATTAACCGGGACCAGTGACCCCTCTGTTTAGGTTATGACTGGAGCTGTCACTGAGCCACATCCTCTCTAAGAGACAGTCCATGCACCCAAGATAAGGTTTCAAGAGGCCTTTGAGCCAGGAAAATTGTTTGGCCAAGTGTCTGTGTCTTTAGTCATGTACTCTCTGGGTTGGTGGGTTCTTTTCTCTCATCTCAGAATAGTTCCCAAAGCAAAACTGATATCAGAAAATGTTCATGTTATCTCTCCAGCCTTGAGCAAGTCACTTCCCCTCTCTTGACCTCTGTTTCCTATAGAAGGAGGCAGATAGAAATAGCTCTTAAAGGTCCCGCCCAGCTCTGATATTCCAGGACTCTATTCTGAGCTGCAGGCTGAATTCCCAGGGCCCCAGGCTACTGGCCTTCTCTTCTCTGCTTCTAAAAGGATGTATGGCTCAAATTTTCCCATGGGCCTCAGCTGGGGCATGCTTCCTGTTCTCTGGAATACTGTGGCTCTGCAGGTGATAACCATTTATCTGATTTATCTGCCATTATGAAAAGGTCCTTCAGCCCAGACGTTACAAGGAGGGAGGTCATTTATCACAGACCCTCAGTAGTATCTCCCTAATCCAAATGACCAGTGTGTTCACTTGAAAATGTTCATGTCCCAGTCACTGCAGAACCCAAGAGGCACTGGGGATACCAAGTTCCAGAAAGAAGCCTGTGTAGCTGGAACTATTAATGCCCAAGGCATGACTATTCATTATTAACAAATTCAAGTTCATCCGCAAGCAGTAATCCTGCATATGTTAAAACTCCTGCTTACCATCTTCTGGTTGGTTTATATAATATATGACTATGATGATTTGTTAGAACTGTGTTAGACTATGATGACTGCTATGTCTGGAATTGGAAAGGAATCTAGAGCTCAGCTAGTCCAAACCCCTGTTTTTACAAGTGGATAACTGAGAGCTAGAAAGGAGATGGCCCAAAATGCAGAATACGGCAGTGTCAGGAACAGGACCCAGGACCTCCAACTGCCAGGTTCCTGTATATCGTATTACTCCAAAGCAGAGGTCACCAAGATGGTGTACTCTAGTTCATGCAGTTACTCACAGAAGAATCCCTTTCCCAGGCCCTCATTCTAAATCTATTTAGCTTTTTTTTATTAAGTTCTAGCAAAAGCAGTTAACTGGTTTCTAATTCACAACATATTAAAAATAAGCAGACAGAAAAGTACAGTGAATAGGCTGATAAAAAGACAGGAAATAAAACATGACATAAAGAAGACTTCAGAAGTTCAAGGCTTTATAGTCCGGCAATGTTTAACGCCAGGTCAAGCGACATTACACAACTCAATATCCCCAAGATTATCACTTTAATATAGTATCACAATGGTTGACATTCATAACAATGTCCCTGGATCACCAAGAAAGGGTTAGCATGTTTCACTTGAGAAAGTGGGTACTTCTTTAAAGTACTTTTTTTTTTTTAAGTGTTACACCAAAAAGAAAATTTTTAGTTATAGTTAGGTAAAGCTTTGGCTATCTGGAAAACTGAGTCAGATAAAATAACACAGCAGCTGGGAGGTTCAAGGAAGTGACATTTCAGCTGTGTGCAGATAGGCACATTCTATAGTAACAAGACTGGTGTGAGTTCGGCTGGTATCTGCAGAGAAGAGGAATAAATAGCAAAGCCATGATCTCATCTTCTGTTTACACTTCAATTCCCAAAGTTAGTGATTAATTGTACTTGCGTTTTGTTGCCAGGGCAAATTGTTTTTCTTTGAAACTCCCACTTATTTTAAATAAATAAACCATTAGTTTCAAAACAGGAGTGTCAAATGTCAAGATATTTCTGACATGCTAAGCTAACGAACAAAACAATGAATTCATTAGAAGCTACTAGAGATAGCCGCCTTTGAGAACTTTTCTCTAATGACTTTGAAAGGCAGCAGGAATCATTCTTGGTAAGAGATTTTTTTCATGCATCTTGGCTAAAATTTGGTCCAGAGGTTGCAAACACAAATACAACTTAAAAGAATTGGATTAGGTATAAGATAATCGAATAGATACGTCAAGAATTTATACTCAAATAAATATACCAACTAGCTATCATACGAAGCTTCCCAAACTCCTGTCTCACATAAAATCAGCTTTAAGCCACCAGTTTAGGATCTCTGCTTGGATCTCTGAATTCGCACAGGGCCTCTGGCTCTTCCAAAGAAGGGAATTCTTTTAGCAAACAGGCATGTTTTTTGCATCTAAGTCTTAACACAAACATGTACACACAGAGATACACACTCAAACTATTTTTGGGTGATTCCAATAAATAGTTTCTGTATTAAGACTGCCTATTAAACATTAGTTTTCATTACATGACTTTCCTGCTTAAAAGTTTTCAGTGTCTTCCACTTACTCACAGAATTAATGGCATTCAAGGTCAACCATAATTTTCTTTCCATGTATCCTTCCAAGTACATCTCCTCCTACAATCCCCACAGACTCCCTGGCTACTCACTGTTCACAGAATGGGGCTTGTACTTTCAGTTCTTGTAAACAAATGTTTATTGGATAACTATTATGTGCCAGGTCCTGTTCCATGCACTGAAGACACATCTATAAAGAAAATAAAGTCCTTCTCTCCTGTAGCTTATATTCTAATGTGGATTGTTTGCCTGCTTTGAGTGCATATGCAGTGCTTCTGCTTGTGTGAAAGCATTTGTCACACTGTGTAATACCTGCCTGTGTCTGTGTTCCTCAATCTCAACACTGCTATTGTGTGCACAGCACTGTGTCTATCTCTCATCACCTCCATCTCATGCTTTGCTCGGCAGTAGGCACACACTGGATACTCAATGAATGACTTATATTGTGTATACAGTTTCCATTCTTTGGAAATGTGGTAAGTTCCTGTTGTGCAGAGAATCTGTCTGCGAGGTTATCTAACTTTTTAAAACTTTCATATTGAGTTATTTTTAATAAATAAGCTGCTTGGTTATTGACAGCAACAACAAATATCAAGCTACTTCTAATGGAACTAAATAAGACGAATGAAACTGATCAGATGTCCACATTGAATTAACTTGTAATGCGTCTTTTCTCAAGAATCCTTAACCTCCTTTCTTTGGGTTTCTCAGGCTGACTAGCCTACTCTTGGGTGGCCCCTTCCTTTTTCTTTCTAAAGATAAGGAAAGAAGCCTAGCTGGGAAACTGCTCATCTTGTTCCCTTTCTCTTTGACCTCAAAGGTAGAAACTGAGGACCAGGTGCTGGCAACCTTCTGTGGCAGGGAGACCACAGACACAGAGCAGACTCCCGGCCAGGAGGTGGTCCTCTCCCCTGGCTCCTTCATGTCCATCACTTTCCGGTCAGATTTCTCCAATGAGGAGCGTTTCACAGGCTTTGATGCCCACTACATGGCTGTGGGTAAGTTGGAGAAGTGACTCATCCTCAGGTCTCTCTCTCTCTCTCCGAAGATGAAAACTGCCTTGTGACCTCTCCTTTACGATGGAAATCTGTGTGTGCACCACATAGATTTTACCATTAATGTCTTAATGCATTTGCTCTATCACGTATCTATCCATCTATCTACCCTCTATCCATCCAGCAATTCATCTTTTACAAAGTGTTTTAACGTAAATTGCAGACATCAGTATACTTCTTCCTAAATAATTCAGCATGCATATTATTTTGCTAGAGTTTCATATTTGTTCACAGCATTTTTTCTTTTTGTGTAAAATTGACATAAAATGGAATATACATATCTCATGTATACATTTGTTGAATTTTGAAAAATCTGTATTTGTGTGTAACCCAAACCTCTAACAAGACACTGAACTTTACCACCAGCCCAGGGGGTTCCTTTGTGTCCCTGCCAGTCAATCTCTGCTCCCACTTCCCTTAGAGGAAACAACTGTTTTGATTTTTTTTCTGCTGTAGATTAGTTCTTGCCTCTTCTAAAACTTCATTTAAATGAAAACATACAGAATACATTTTGGGGGTGAGGATTCTTTTACTCAGCATAATGTTTTTGAAGTTAATTCATGTGTCGCATGCATCAGTAATTTGCTCCTTTTCCTGGCAGAGTAATTTTCCATTGTATGAATATACTAAAGTATGTTTACTCATTCTCTTATTGACGGCTACTTGGAATCTCCCCATTTTTTAGCTCTCACTAACAAAGTTTTTATGAACCTTCTTGTGCAAGTCTTCTTGCAAACATATGTTTTCAATTCTATTGAGTAAATATGTAAGAGAAGAATTGCTGAGTCATAGGATAGGTATACGTTTAGCTTTATGAGACATTGCCAGACCTTTTCCAAAGCAAATGTAACATTTTTTATCTGTCCACCAATGTATGAGAGTTCTGGCTGCTCCACATCTAAACCAACATTAGATGTTGTCAATTTTTAAAAATTTTAATCACTCTGGTGAGTATGTAGTGGTACCTCATTGTGGTTTAAACTGCATTCCCTTAATGACTAGCAATGTTGAACATCTTTTCATGTGCTTGTTGGCCATTGGTTTATCCCTTTTGGGGAAATGTACATTCAAATGCCTAGGACAGGGCTTGACCCACATTAGGGGCAGAAAGAAAGAAAGAGGTAGCATGAGGTAGAAGTTAAGAGCACAAGCTCTGTACCCAGCTTGTCTGTATTTAAATCCTGGGTCTGCCACTTATTATCTGTGTGATTCTAAGTTTGTTAATGCCTCTATGTCGCCATTTCATCCTCCATAGAATGTGACTAGTAACAGAATGCATAGTAACAAATGTGTAATTCTTCCTGAGGTTGTTGTCCCACACACAGTTATTATTATAACTGTTAGAGGATAGTGGTCCCACCAGAAGTCAAGTTACCTGGGTTTGAACTTGGCTTTTTGTGACCTTGGGTAAGTTGCCTAACCTCTCTGAGTTCCAGTTTCCTAGTCTGTAAAGTGAAGATAATGGCTACCTCTGGGCTGTATGAGAGGATTAAATGAGAGAACGCATGAATCTCCTAACATAGTGAGTGGCCCATATCAAGTGCTCTATAAATGTTGGCTGTAGTCTTCATCATCATGCATGTATTGATGGAGAGGCTTTACCTGCCCTACAGATGTGGACGAGTGCAAGGAGAGGGAGGACGAGGAGCTGTCCTGTGACCACTACTGCCACAACTACATTGGCGGCTACTACTGCTCCTGCCGCTTCGGCTACATCCTCCACACAGACAACAGGACCTGCCGAGGTAGAGCCTACCAATGATTGTATGCATTGCCCTTATAGGCCACATCCTCAATAACATTAGATGAGGCTCAGAGAAAGACAGATATGCAATAGGAACAAGTAAAAATGAAGTCAATGATGCACCTCAGACACCACATGGATGAAGATGCAGAAATGCCCACCCAGCCTGGAAACCTGATCTTGGGTTCCCAAAGGAGAGAAGCTCTAGACTATTTGGCCATCTTTCTTTCTGGGGCAGCATTTTTCACTATACAGGTTGCTGTCTCCTATCCTATTGTAGGCAATTGGTCTGGTCAAGTTAGGGGAAAACTTGGGTTTCCCAGTTCCTTCTCTTTGAGCCACGAATTATGCTTTACCCAGCAACTCCTTTTCTCTTCTTTTCCATGGCCCCTAAGTTCCTCTACAATAGAGAGACCTCAGTCCAAAGCAAAGAAGTGAGAGAGGAAAGAGGCAAACAGAAACAGCCAGAAAACTTCCCATTCCTTCTATCTATCTTTGTTTTCATCTATCATCAACGTACCTACTATGCTATAGTCTCGTGCTTAGGGAGGGATGGAGAAATGGAAGGGTTTAGCCACTTTCTAGGAGGAGCTCTTGGGCTAGTGGGGTAATGGGCATGTAAGCAAATGGTGAAGTGTCTTATGGTCTCCATTTTAACATTAATGTTTCCATTACATTTATGTAATGGAAGTATGGACATAGCACAATCAGACCTGTGCAGGCAAACACTTCCCAGAGTTGTGACCCTTGACAGAGATGAAAGAATAAAGAGAAGAAGGGCCTTCCAGGCAGAGAGAAGAGCTTCTGCAAACAGTCAGAAGTGTGGTAGAACTTGGAATGTTTCAGGGAACAGTCAATAGATTAGTGTGGTCCAGGATAAGCATCTGTGCTTGAAATCTCACTTGGAAGCTGAGTGAGGGATCACTGGGGGAGCACAAGTCTGGAGACAAAAGTTTTTTTCTTCCTCCTTCAAAACCTGCTATTTGCTTCTGAATAAAACCCTATATAACACATCAGTATAAAGCAATCCAAAACCAAAAGAACAGGCACGTGCAGGATTTTTCTTAAAGAGTGTATATTTTCTATTTTTTTATTCGGTTAAGTTCTTCTTGAGTATCTACTATGTGTTCAGTACAGTCAGGGCCAAGAATGCTTAGGGCAGAGCAAGGTTTCTCACTCATTTTCTTCATTTTCACCCTTCACCAGGAGCTTTTTTAAATATAATTTTCCTAAGGCCCCCACCATGAAATTTTAATATCACAGATAGACTATATATCTGTTTATGTACTGTATGTCCATCTGTGTATTGTGCATTTAAAAAGCAAGACCTTCCCCACCAAGAAGGAATTTTAGCTTTCTTGAGGGCAAGATCGCCCCCATGAGAATGCTTGGGGTAAAAAATGAAAACAGTCAGGAACTCAGGAGACTTCCATCTTCACCTTGTCCTGCAGCTCATAGCTGTGAAACTTTAAGATAGTCAAGACCCCTTTTTCAGAACTACAGTTTTCTCATTTGCAAATAAGCAGAATGAACAAGGGCGTAGAAACATTGACATCCCAGATCTAGGATGAACTGGCCCAAGGGTAAAGACTTAGTGACACATAAATGTTCCTTAGCAGGGCTAAAGTCACGTCTGGGTTCCCAGGACAGTGGATTCTCGCGTGCAGTAAATGCAGTGGGGAACGAAGCAGAATTCCTGCACTCACAGAACTTACAGTCTACTGGGAGCAAGAAAATCAATATAGGGAGCTGTTAAAAGAAAAACTTCAGACAAATTAAATTTAACAGAGTTTAACTGAGCAAAGAACAATTTGAGAATCCTCCCCTGCACCCACCCTACCACCACCAGAATATGTTCAGAGCAACTCCAGGGTTGCTCATGCTGGATAATATTTATGGGAAGTAGAAGGAAAGTGATGGACAGAAAATGGAAGTCAGGTACAGAAACAGCCAAATTACTTACAGCTTGGTATTTGCCTTGTTTGAAGGCAGTTTGAACAGATGGCCACCCGTGACTGGCCAAAACTCTGTGATTGGTACTGTTAACTTAAAAATCAAGATTACAAATCTGTAAGTTTAGAAAAAGAGAGGAGATTTTATTCCTTATGAAGGGTTACAGCAGGTGGCCGTCCTCATAGTCTGGGAAGCACCACCTCCAGCCAAGACCAGAGACAGGCACTTAAAAGGAGGAGGGGTTGAGATAGGAGCTTTATGCTGAACAGGTTGGCTAAACATACATATTCAACAGGTTATAGGAGGAGCTGTGAATATTCATAAGAGTGGTCCTGACACATGCATATTAAACAAATATGTATGCAACACATGACCCATGTTCACTTTGGGATGGAGACTTCACATTAAATGTATTACAGTTAGGGTCTAAACGTCCTTTCAGGATGGGAGACATTCAGGTGTGCAGCCTCTGTAAACTGGCGAGAACCAGGCCATGGTCAGAAGTCTCTTATCAAAAGAAAGTGACTGAAATCAATGTCTTGTCCATTCAAAGCTACAGTTATGGCTGGTGGAACAGGGTGGGGATCAGACAGTCAGCATCTGGTAGAGCTGAAAATTGTTTTCATATCACTTACCACAAGGCCAGTACTTGTTCAGCTGCTGGAGAAAAAGAAAAACTTTGTAGCATCGTTAGAACATAGTTTATGCTTTCAGTGTAGGGATGCGTGACTTAACCCTTGCCTGGCATGGCCTTAGTTCCTTCATCATTTATAATTTGGTATTTTATTTCCACAAGGAGTCTGTTTTCTCACTCTCATGATCTCTATTTAACATTAATGTTGGTCAGTTGTTGTGTCCAAACTGCAGAGAAAAGGGGATATAGAAGGAGTGTCTAACCTACCACTCCATCATGGCCAGGAATTCCGTTTTAAGGTTTTTCTGGAGATCCTTTGCCACAGGGGGCCCATTAGGTCAGTGGAGGGCTTAGGATTTTATTTTTAGTTTACAGTAAGACAGTAGATTACAGTCTACTTAAAAATCCAGTTAGGTTGCAGTTCACCATGTACGCAGAACCCTTCAGGCTGAATTTAAAATATGTAAGGAGGCCGGGCGAGGTGGCTCACACCTGTAATCTCAGCACTTTGGGAGGCCAAGGCAGGAAGATGGCTTGAGTCTAGGAATTTGAGATCAGCCTAGGCAACATAGCAAGACCCCATCTCTACAAAAACTTCAAAAATCAGCCAGGTGTTATAGCACGTGCCTGTCGTCCCAGCTATTCAGGAGGCTGAGGTGGGAGGATCACTGGGAGAAGGTGGAGGTGGAGGTGGAGGCGAAGGTTGCAGTGGGCTGAGATGGCACCACTGCACTCCAACCTAGGTGACATAGTAAAGTTCTGTCTCAATAAAATAAAATAAAATAAAATAAGTAAGAAGGAAGCTTAAGGCTACATTTAGTTGAACAGAGTGAATAGCACTATAAAGAAAAACAAAACAAAGACAGGGGTTAGACAGTGAGGAGTGAGGGTGTGTGTCAAGGGCCTGTAGGAGATGAGGGATCTCCTGAAGTTCTGGGTACAGGGAGGACATGATCACAGAGGTCCAGGCATCCCCCTGACCACTCCATCTCAAAACCCTTCCCTCTCAGATCCCTCTCCCTGACCCCCATACCAGAGGATCTGATGAGAAGGATCTTCACACAGGGTAAACAGCCCTGGACAGACAATTAGAAAATCTGTGCTTGAATCTCAGCTCGGTAAATTACTAGACATGCGACCTTGAGCTTCATTTTTCCCATCTGTAAAATGGAGATGCCGATACCTTCCCTGTCTACTGCTTGGGACCATTGGGAAAATCATATAGTAACAGATAAGCCAGGCTTGCTATGGCTGTGGTTGCGATGCGCCATTTTCTCTATTATGTTTCCAACAGTGGAGTGCAGTGACAACCTCTTCACTCAAAGGACTGGGGTGATCACCAGCCCTGACTTCCCAAACCCTTACCCCAAGAGCTCTGAATGCCTGTATACCATCGAGCTGGAGGAGGGTTTCATGGTCAACCTGCAGTTTGAGGACATATTTGACATTGAGGACCATCCTGAGGTGCCCTGCCCCTATGACTACATCAAGGTGAGCCTGCAATGAACACTTGTCCTGGAGATGCTGGAAAATCTTGGCTGAGTTGGGAAAATTGATATTGCGGAACCTTCACCTTCTTCTCCCAGGATAGAGAGCCTAGCAGCTAGTTCCTCAAAAAGGCATTATTTAAAATAATATCTACCATCTTAGTTAGATCTATTCCAGGAATCTCTGATCCGAAATGACCCCACTGGCCACTAGGGTGGCTTGAGGAGGAGAGTCGTGAATCTGCATTTTAGAAAGGTCTCTGGCGGGCACGCCCAGCCTCATGAGCACGCCTCCCATGCCGTCACACAGGGCCCTGTGCACAGAAGGGCCTCATGCTTGGTTTAATAAACATATGAAACTATTTTTCTTCTGTTTATTTTTTTAACCTACTACCAAGGCAAAGAAGAATGTATGAAAATTTTAATTTGTTTTAAATAAGGGTCCCCGTATTTTCATTTTGCCCCAGACCTCACAAATTATGCTGCTGGGCCCACTTGCGGGAAGAGGCTATGTCAAAGGCAAATAAAGACGGAACAAATACCACAGGCAAATAACTACTCAACTTGTGGTTATTTCAATATTATAATTAAGAAGGAATGGCAGCCTGAATTTGAGCCATGGCTGGGATAATGGGGGAGATATTTTCGAGATATGTGGAAAGTAAAACCAGCAATTCTTATAGAGTGATCAGCCAAGACATCCAAGTAGAGCTGAATATTAGGGTCTAGCTCAGAAGAGACCCTGAGCTGGGGATAAAGATGGGTGCCATGAAATGTTTAAAGAGGTGCTGATTTAAACTGTGGAAATGGCGGGATGTCCTAGAAAAAAAAAAAGGAAGCTAGAACATAATAGATTATGAGACCTAGATGGAGGAAGAGGAACCCACAGAAGAGGTCAGAAAGAGCCAGAAAATGAGACTGCCCAGGAGAAAGCTGTCAACAGTGAGAGAGGCAGAAAAGCCTGAGAGGACACAGAAGAAAACTCTAGAACTTAGAGCCTGGGCTGTCCCCTACTTGTGTACAGAGGCTAAGAGGCAGCTTGACTGGAGGGGGTTAGCAGGAAGCATAGGCCACCGGTTTTCTATTTTGCTGTGTTAGCAAACTACCACAAACATAACAGCTTAAAACAATGCCAATTTCTTATCCCAGCATTGTGTCAGTCAGAAATCCCAGTGAGCACAATGGGGTTCTTTGTTCAGGGTCTCATGAAACTGAAATCAAGGTGTCAGCTGATGGAGCTCTTATCTAGAGGCTCTGGAGAAGAATCAACTTCCAAGATCATTTAAGTTGTTGGCAGAATTCAGTTCCTTGCAGATGTAAGACTAAAATCCCCTTCTTCTTCCTGGCTGTCAGCCAGTGGTGGCTCTCAGCTCTAGAAGTTGCGCTCAGATACTTTTACATTGGCCCCTGCCATCAGAGACAGTCCCTTCCATCAAATTCCTATTACACTTCAAATCTCCCTGACTTCTGCTGCTGCTACCAGCAGGAGGAAACTGTGTTGAATGGGCTCGTGTGATTGGGTTAGGCCCACCCAGATAATCTCCCTCACTTTAGGTCAACTAATGAATAACTTTAATACATCTGCAAAATCCCTTTTGCCATTTAACATAACATCATCACAAAGTAACACTAGGGGTGAAGGTCAGGAGGACCACCCTAGAATTCTGCCTGCCATGGTGTCCCAGAAGCTACACATGGGAGCCTCACCCAAGCACACAACCTCTTGGGGCTTCATTTGTTTCCCCTCTCCTCAATAAGGACAGGACAAAGATATCACTTGGGATTGCAGAAGTCACCAAATGATAGATAAGGAGTCATGGCCCTCAAAGATGGGGAAAAAACAGGTTAAAGACATGGAAAAGAACCAGGACTGAGAGGTGGGGAATCCGGATCAGATAATAGAGCCTATTGCCTTCTCTCCCCCACTGCCCCCAACCTCCTGCAAACTCATCACCTCCCTCCTGCTCAGCTGCAAAACTTCCCAACTGTTTTTTGTTTTGTTTTGTTTTTTTGCTTCCACTCTTGCCCTACACAATCTATTCTCCCATAGCATTGAGGGTGATCTTTATAAAAGCTAGATTCGATCGAGTTTGCACTTGAAATTAAACCTAAATCTCTCAACACAAAGTGGCGTTTGTCTGTTTTCCAACCTCATGCCACAGCACTCCCACTGCCCAGCCAGCCTGGATTCCTGCCTGTTCCTAACACTAGGCAAGCTCTTTCCCACCCTTGGCTTTGACCTTTACATATGCAGTTTTCTCTCCCTATAAAGTGTTCTTCCCTTCTCTTCAAATAGGCTCATACTCATCCTACATATCTCAGATCCCCAATGCTACCTCAGAGAAAGGCCTTCCTTGATTACCTAAAGTTATTATCTATTATATTACCATTATAGGAATGATTACTTCTATAGGTTACATAGATTTTACATCAATTATAAACATACAGCATATATTTCTTTTGTATATGCATATCATCTTGATTATTTTTATAACCCTTATGACAGCCTACAATTATTTTGTTTATTATTTCTTATTAGTCCCCCCAACTAGACTGCAGGTTCTTTGACAGCAGAGATCATCTCTGCTTTATGCACCAGACAGCACTCTGCCCTTCTCTGAGCCACAATACGTTCATCTTTAAGCAGAGGATTTTTTTTTAATTTTACTTTAAGTACTGGGATACATGTGCAGAACATGCAGGTTTGTTACATAGGTATACATGTGCCACGGTGGTTTGCTGCACCCATCAACCCGTCACCTAGGTTTTAAGCCCCACATGCATTAGGTACTTGTCCTAATGCACTCCCTCCCCTTGCCCCGCCACCCCCTGACAGGCCCTGGTGTGTGATCTTCCCCTCCCTGTGTCCATGTGTTCTCATTTTTCAACTCCCACTTATGAGTGAGAACATGCAGTGTTTGGTTTTCTGCTCCTGTGTTAGTTTGCTGAGAATGATGACTTCCGTCTTCATCCATGTCCCTGCAAAGGACATGAACTCATCCTTTTGTATGGATGCATAGTATTCCACAGTGTATATGTGCCACATCAATGCCAGTCTATCATTGATGGGCATTTGAGTTGGTTCTACACCTTCGCTATTGTAAATAGTTAAGTAGAGGATTATTAACCTGCCTTGTCCACGTCAAGAGCCATTGTAAATTATAAAAGAGAGAATGAAGATGAAACCATTTGGTGAATGGTAAGGCTCACTAAAAACCTAAGTGAATACCAAGGGTTCATATGGAAGCTTCCAGAAAACCCAGAGTGCAGTGGAGAGGTGTTACCTGCAGTGGCCATTTTGGCTGCTCAGATGGAACACTCTATTTCTCTCTCTCTCTCTCATATTTTGCAGATCAAAGTTGGTCCAAAAGTTTTGGGGCCTTTCTGTGGAGAGAAAGCCCCAGAACCCATCAGCACCCAGAGCCACAGTGTCCTGATCCTGTTCCATAGTGACAACTCGGGAGAGAACCGGGGCTGGAGGCTCTCATACAGGGCTGCAGGTAACCTCTTCCCTCCCAGGTCACACCGAGCTGCTGTGCTTAGCCCTTGCAGAGGCAGTGGCTGAGGGAGGAGGTGTGCAGGCTTGGATCTCCTCTGGAGACCTGATGGGACTCCCAGTTGAGCAGCTGGGGACCAAGGCACGTGCTTTCTCCTGACTCAGTTTTCCATCTATAAAATGGGGGCAAGGGCAACAATAATGTTGGGTGGACTAGACTGATGGTTTTCAAAACATGTACTTCAGTATCGCATAGAGAGATTAAAGAAAAAGAAATCTTGTTTCCTGAACTCTACCCCTCACACAGTGATTCAGTAGACTTGAGGAGGGCCTTTTCAGCTCCAGCCTTCTCCAAGTCTAGGGCTAGAATTTGGATGTGGGTTTCTAGCCCAGAATGTTTCATTATGGTGCTTTGCCTCCTTGTGGGCCCCCCATCAGCAAAGCCCATGGGTCTCATGCCCCCATCCCCCAAGTCAGCCAGTCCTGGCCCAAACCTTGATCGAGCCATTCAACCTGCAGTAACTGGTCTGTAGGAACCCAAGGAAGGAGAGGGTGAACATCAGTGACAAAAGATCGCAGCTGGGCATGACTAATCTAGTTCATAAACTAAAACTCTGGCCCTGCCTGCATTATCACATACACTGCTCAGATGCGGGAGAGTAGAGAAGATCTTAACAAAGGAGAGTTTGTCTCAGAAAAAGTGTCAGGGATAGGCCCAGGCCTGAAGAGCCTGTCAGATTTAGCCTTTCAAGGAGAGGACTCAGAGGCATATGATCACAGTCTTTCTAATGCTTTGAAGAAGGGCCTCGGGAAGAAAGAGCAATTTGGGTCATCCTTGGTGGCCCAAGAGGACAAATGAGTGAAAATTACAGGGGCGCAAATTTCAGTTAAGTAGGAATGCAGTGTTCATGTAATCAGCAGAGTCCGTGCCTGAAAGGTTAGGGAGGCATTGAGCTCCCTGTCACTGTGTCCCTGAGCTGCCATGCTTAGCCCTCCCAGGGGTGGTGGCTGAGGGAGGAAAGATGCAGGTAGTGGCTGAGGGAGGAGGGATGCAGGTTTGGACCTGGTGGGGCTCCTAGCTGAGCAGTCTGTTTGGCATCTACTGCGGAGGATATTTTAAGAGAAGCATCAGACAAGGATTGGATTTAATGACATTTAACATTCCTCCCAACCCTGTGTTTTAATGAAATCATCTGGTCAACCATTTCATTCTACAAGTAAGGACATGGTGGTCCAAGTTGGAAACTGCCCTATTCACGGTTCCAGAATTAGTCTCTTGCAGGGCTTGGAAGATCCATGCCTCCAATACCCAGTTCCATGTTTTATTCACCTTCATCAGGCCTTGCTTTCTAGGGACTGGCCCTTTAAGGTCAGAATTCTCTTTTCTCACCTGCTGTTCTTTCATTTGCTCCTCACCAGGAAATGAGTGCCCAGAGCTACAGCCTCCTGTCCATGGGAAAATCGAGCCCTCCCAAGCCAAGTATTTCTTCAAAGACCAAGTGCTCGTCAGCTGTGACACAGGCTACAAAGTGCTGAAGGTGCAGAGCCTTGCCTGGGAAAGGGGAGTGACCAGGCCACAGAAACTCTCGAAACCTGCCCCTCCCCAGGGCAGATGGGCTGCCAGAACTTGTCATAGTTCCAGCACAGAATTTCCTAGCTGCCCATCAACTTCTCAAATGCTCCAGAAATTCCAAAGCATGCGTCCCAGGCGGTCTCACACTCTGAAAGTGGCACAAAAGTTTGTTTTTTTTTTTTTTTTAATCAGAGCATGAGCTGGTTTGAATTTTTAAAATATGGATCCATACAGCTCTATAATCAAGGCTGAGAACTGTAACAAAGTTCATCGGGCTTATAGAGGGGAGTGGAGTGGGATACCAGGAAAGGAAGTAAACAGTTTAAAAGTAGCAAATGGGGCTGAGCATGGTGGCTCATGCCTGTAATCCCAGCACTTTGGGAGGCCCAGGCGGGTGGATCACCTGATCTCAGGAGTTTGAGACCAGCCTGGCAAATATGGCAAAACCCTATCTCTACTAAATAATACAAAAAATAGCCAGGTGTGGTGGCGGGCGCCTGTAATCCCAGCTACTTGGGAGGCTGAGGCAGGAGAATCACTTGAATCCAGGAGGCAGAGGTTGCAGTGAGCTGAGATCACGCCTTTGCACTCCAGCCTGGGTGACAAGAGCAAAACTCCATCTCAAAAAATAAAAAAAGGAACAGATGGGTTCCCCTCACTCTCCCACCCCCAGAAGCAGTAGTTCTAGGAATCACATGGTTCGCTTTAAAAAAATCACCTCCCAGCTCTCACTTGAGATCAGTTAAAGCAGACTTTTTGGGGCTGGGACCAGTGATTGGTGCAGCCAAGCTAGAGGACCATCGCTTTCAAGGAATGGTTCTCAAAGAGGGGTGTTCAGTTTCAGCATCACCGGGAACTTGTTAGAAATGCAAATGCTTGGGTAGGCCAGCCTCACTGAATCAGAAACTCTGGGGGAGAAGCCCAGCAGCCTATGTTTTAACAAGCTCTCTAGGAGATGCTGACCGCTTGCCCTGGTTTGAGAAGCACTGCTCTGAAAAAGGAGTCAATGCTTACCGTTTTCCCTTCAGAGATAGTTGCCCAAACCCCTTCTTGCACACAGCCCTTGCCCCTCTCCAGAGTATGAAAAGGAGGTATGAATTCAGCATGTATCTTTCCCCTACCTTCAAGCTCACCCTTGGAAGCCCATGGGTGGAAAATCTCAGTCGAGATCAAGACACGTGTGGAGCTTGAGTTGGTTTTGCTAGGAAAAAACCCCTGACACCACCCCCACCTCCTTCTTCCCACTCCCTTCTTCCTGTCTCTTCCCAGGATAATGTGGAGATGGACACATTCCAGATTGAGTGTCTGAAGGATGGGACGTGGAGTAACAAGATTCCCACCTGTAAAAGTAAGAAAGCCTAATGGGTTGTTATAAAGATACTGAGCTCCCCAGCACTGGCGGGATCCGAGCAGAGCATGCAAGGGTGAAAGCTTGGCAGGAGCACTCTAAGGGGGATGGGAGCAGGAATTTAACAGACACACAAGGGTTGGGAAAAAAAAGAGTATCAGTGCCCCTTTTGGCAATAAGATGTTTGAATCCCAAAAGAAACTTCTTGTGGGCCCAGTACTTTGTTAAATACCAATTTTACTTCAGCCCACGGATGGGTTGCCAGACTTACTAAAGGAATAGCACGTGTCCAGGTTCAAAACCAGCTTTGGCAATTGCTAATTCAGGAAACTAGTTTGGTGCTGGTGCCCAGAGCTGAGTGACCTTGCTAGTCTTCACATGGCCATCAGCCATATCCCCTTCATCTTCTGAGACAGCTCATGATTTAGGGCTGTGCAGGAAGGGCTGTGGGATCAGCACAGTGGGCCTGCATGAAGCAGAGGATACAGCTCTTCACTGGCTCCTGGGACCCAGAGTTCTTGCCTTGGCTCTGCCCCTAACCAACTCTGTGACTGTGAATAAGACCCTTCGCCTCAACTATAAAATAAGGAGTTTGGACTAGCTTTATATTTTAGAATATGTGCCAGTGGTTTTAAAATGATATAGTCTATATAAATCATCTACTGAGCTTTGTAAAAATACAGGCTTCCAACCCCTTCACCTCACCACCACCCCCTGCAACCACCCCTCAACACCCAGGTGATTTCAATGAAAGACTTATAAGGACCACAGTTTTAGAAACTTATTATGGCCAACATTGATGAGAGGAGGCACAGTGACAGAAATAGTCAGGGAAGGAAGGGAGAGAGAAGGGAGAATTTGCTTTACAATGGCTTGGTGAGGTCAAGAATTAGAGCCTGGCATGGTGGCTCACGCTGGTAATGCCAGCACTTTGGGAGGCAGAAGCAGGTGGATCACTTGAGTTCCGGAGTCCGAGACCAGCCTGGCCAACATGGTGAAACTCAGTCTCTACTAAAAATACAAAAATTAGCCAGGCATGGTGGCGCACGCCTGTAATCCCAGCTACTCGGGAGGCTGAGGCGGGAGAATTGCTGGAACCCAGGAGGCGGAGATTGCAGTGAGCCGAGATCGTGCCACTGCACTCCAGCCTGGGTGACAGAGCAAGACTCCATCTCAAAAAAGAAAAAACAAACAAACAAACAAAAACGAATTAGAGTTGGTCCCACCCATCTTCCTTTCATGAATTTTCATGCAAACTGGAGCGCTATCCTCTTCCCTTTCTCCTACATGGCCTTGATTCAGCAGGCAGACAAATCTCCTGCCATTGTCCCAAGGGGGACATTCCCTTAACGCAAATCCCAGGAAGAACTTTGAAGTAAAATACGATTGTTCTTTTCCTTTTCATATGATGAAATTTTTCCTTTTCATATGATGTAGCTGGAGTCAGAGCCTAGCATGGGGAAGGAGGGGGCATTTTATGACTTTAACAAAATGTTTCAAAAAATGTTGACTGGATGCCTGCACAGAGTTCCATAGGGAAGTCGGACGGAAAAGACAAGGTCCGGGCATGGCGGAACTCAAGTGGTGGTGGCCACAGCCACCACCTCCTCCAATCTGAGGCTCGAGGTGCAGTGCTGTGACTGGGTTCTAAGCAAAGCACTCTGCAGAACAAAGCAAGGGCCATGTTGAAGGAGAAGGTAAAGGAGGATATGGGGTGTCCTGGATAGAATCAGGCTTTGGAATTAGGAAGTTCTAGATACAAATGCAGACTCTACAAGCTGACAGTCCCTCTCAGCTGTAATCAGTGTATTCAGACTCTTTGGCCTCAGTTTCCTGCCCTCAAGATTGCTGTGGGGATTAACTGGGTTAATATACATACCATACCCATGGAGGGCCAGAAACATGCAAAAGATAAACGGACTCCTCCTGCCCCAACCCAATCCCCTCACTAGGAAGTGGTTTCATTTCTCTCATTCACATTTTTGGAAAGTAGGAAACATTAATAATTTTTCCCTGACTTACATTAGCATACAACAGAACACCCTGTCATTTTGTAGTAAAGAGAAACTGTTTCCCTGATATGACCCTATTCTCCCAAAATAGGCTGGATTAAGACTATTAGAATTCCCATTCAGTCATACCCAGCATCTTTGCTCACTCTGTAGGTATTTATTGAGCATCTCTCTGTACGAGGCACTGTGCTAGGTCCTAGGGGAGAGGCAAGGACAGGACTGAGGAGTCGAGAGTCCCCAGGCTTCTGGGGCTTACAAGTTCTATGTTTCTTAAAATTCGCTGATTAAAAATTTTAAAAAGATAGATATCACACCTGAAAGCAGTGGCCCCAGCTCTGTGCCATGGGATATCACAGGTCCTAAACAGTGATAGAGAAAGGGCTGGGGAGTGGCAGCTGGAATCTCTGCTTCCAGACAAGAGGGGTGCACTCTGTGGTAAAGAAACGTGCACTAGAAAAGAAGCTGGGAATTATGGGTCATTGTTCTGGCCCTGCCTCCACCTTGCTGTGGTGACCCCGGGACAAGCCCTGTTCTACTCTAAATGCTGTCAAGTGAGGGTTTGGACCAGATGCAGGCAAAGCTCCCTCCAGGGGCAGAATTTTATAATCCTCATGAGCCAGGATGTATGACTCTGCAAATTCTCAGAACGATACAAATTCCACAATCCCAAACTGTTCTTCACACTGGCTGTACCTAAACTATGCATTCTTAATCAATTCTGGTGGAGTAATTTCTGTATTTCCTGCATAAACTGTTTCTGCTTTGCTTGCTAATCTCTCTCTCTTTCTCTTCCTCTCTCTGCTTCCTTCCTCTGTATCTCTTGATCCCTCTTTGATCTTCACCATGGTGGCAGAAAATGAAATCGATCTGGAGAGCGAACTCAAGTCAGAGCAAGTGACAGAGTGAATGACGGGACCCCACACAATGCAGACATCCAGAAATGGATCACTCCCAAGACCCCTGGGGCCCAGAGCTGCACCACCCCTCCCCACCCACAACACCCCCGTGCCCCTTTCCATGTGGATTAGAATGGGTGCTGAACAACATGATCTCAGCAGTTGAAGCTGCTACGTGTGTGAAAGCAAATTCTCCACTTGAGGGTTTGCCCATCATTCAAACACTATTCCAGAAAATAATGAAAAAAAAATGTGGGATTTATTTTAGCACCTCTGAGTGGACTGTACTTTTCTCAACGGAAAAAAAAAATGCCCTTGGTCCTTGAGACAAAAGATTTAATATACAACCATGTGGCCTCAGGCTGACCAGATCAAAGTGGTTTCTAATCCATTCTACATGTCAAGTTTAAATGAACCAGACTGCCTGTGACTTTATGAATCTGAAGGTATTACCTGTTGCTGCTTTCTTAACCACCATGAGTAGGTAAAGCAAATAATAACTCACAGAGTGTGGATTTTTGAGAATCTGAATGTTTTCTCATTCACAAAAGTATCCCTTCTACCCCTATCTGGCGCAGGGCTGAAATGTCATCATTAGAGGTTCTGTCTTCTGGGGCTTACAAGTTCTATGTTTCTTAAAATTCGCTGATTAAAAATTTTAAAAAGATAGGATCACACCTGAAAGCAGTGGTCCCAGCTCTGTGCTGTGGGACATCACAGGTCCTAAACAGTGATAGAGAAAGGGCTGGGGAGTGGCAGCTGGAATCTCTGCTTCCGTCTGAACATCTGGACACACATGTCAGAGAATCTTTGCATTAAATGGACTGCCCGATCTATTTGGTGATTAAATGGCTGTGCGGTGAGGGGAGAACCCTGGGCAGTCTGGAGACTGAGGTGCCATTCTCGGCTAGAGACACCACCCAAAGAAGAGATGGGCTGGCTACTAAAGACAAGTGTCAGTTGAATAAATGTCTTTAAACCTACAACGTATTAACAGCATTCATACTCAGTGACATACAGGGCATCAGAATTTAAGAGGAAGATTTGATATGTACCCAAATAATTGTAATAGCTTTGATGCAGACAACATTAGATATATTCCATCAAAGAAACATGAGTGAAGAGTTCCAGAACAAGGAAGCAGCCCTGCCCAGTTAGAATTAGAAAGGCTTTCAAGAAGAAGGAGTGTTTCATCAGGACTTCAGGGTGGCCAGAGCATGGACACAGGGTGCCCCGTGCAGCAGGGATGGCACCAGAGAGGCCTGGGAGCAGGAGGCAGCAGGGGAGCACACTGAAGGAGCTGGTGTTCGGAGGGTGGGTGCACCAAGGGGAGGAAAGAAGATGAGGCCAGGGAGGGGGCTAGAGCCCAAACCCCCAGGCCTGAGTGCCAGGGTTAGCTGATTGCACATCGTTCTCTAGAAAGCCCCCCAGTACAGCAAAGCACACTTGGAACTGTAGGTCAAGAAATGTGTGTCTGGAGAAAAATAAGTGGCAACAAGAAATTACCATGGAGATAGGGTGTTGGGCGGTACCTCCAAGGCAAGGGGAAAGAGAAGGGTGTTTTGATTCCAGAGTGCGGAACTGGCCAGACAGGACTTTAGAGAAAAGGATAAAACCCTTCCTAAAGCAAAGAGCATAAGTCAACGGAGGAAGCAGGGTCTAGTGTGTGCTGATTGTGCCAGACAGAGCTGCTCAAGGCCTCTTGTGAGGGGTTAAGTCACTTCCATGTCCCAGAGAAACATGGCTTTTTCCCTGCCACTGTGGACTTGGGAAGAAAGTACGCCCCTCCACACTGCCAAGACCCTCTACCTTCCACTATTTATCACCCCCTCTACCTAGTTGTAGGGCCAGCTGTATCAGTGGGCAAAGTTACTTCTCTGAAGTGATGTGAAAGTAGGTCCTCCACCCAGAAAATATCTATCCGCCAGCATCAGCCACATAACAGGCTCCCAGGGGCCCGTCCATCTAGCCACACTAAAGCCAACCCTGGAATTCCTGAACTGGGCGGTCAGGTGGACCAAAGTTAAGGGAGATGAGTGATACCAATACCTAGGCACCAAGTCAATGGCATTTTCTGAAAAAGGAGGAAAAATCGGCTTTAACAGAAAATAAATTTAAAACTGTTCATAGTATTTAAATAATAAATATTATTGCCTCATTATCCTAGTGTTGAGCTGCACACATTTACCTCACAAAGTAGAAGAGCATCTGTACTTTTGGATCATCAAAACAAATGGAGATGATTTGTCCAGGGTGATTGGACTAGAGGCCAGGACAAAACCAGTTGTCTTGATTGGCCTTCTTAGTGGATAAGAAGTACCTATATTTACTCCCCTCCTTCATCTTTTCCTCCAACCCGGAGGGACTTGAAATTATTTGCATTTTGAGTGGACTCTCTAGCTAATCAAAAAGATGAATTTGGAGTCCTAAAGTTAAAATCACAATGTCTAAATGGCACTCAGGGATAAATTATATCTCACTGTTTCCCAAAATGACCAGGTAAAATTCAGGAGGACATGGAACTTTGGAAATTTTACCAGGGCTCTGGAAATTCTGACAGTTGATGTCCACCATTGGCCAGCTAGTACCTAGAATAGGCCATTTAACTGGAAAACAGATCCTTAAGAACCACTAGTTCCATTTACTAAAACAGCCCTGGGTTTGAGGTCAAATCTTGCTCTCATTCTGATAGTAACTTGCTGTATGTCCTTAGACGAGTCAAGTCTCCTCTCTGGGCTCATAGATAAAATAAAGAGGACATTCTAGATTGCCTACTTCAGGTTTCTTTCCAGCTGTGACATTCTATGATTCATCTATGATTCTTCGACTCTGGCATAGGCTGTTATACCTAAGATTAGGATTTCCTTAAGAATGAAAAGATTGACAAATTTGGGTCCAGAGCCTCTGATATGGCCATGAAAAGATGCCCTGACTCTCAGCTGACTCACACTGGGCTCCATCAGTGCTGACAACTCCCCTAAGACTGAGCTGGACTGGAAAGCTCCCCAAAGACCACCTCTGAGGAGCAGGCATCTTTATTCATGTCCTGTACTGGGAATTATGGCTCAAACATGCGGCCATCAACAATTATAGAAAATGAACAGGGGAAGACTGAAAGCTGATCCACCTCCAACCCTGCCTCCTGGCTTCTATGGCCAAGCAAGCTGCCTGTAGAGAGGCAGCAGGGTGGGGCTGTGTACTCATACAGGAGCTGGGTTTTTTTATTTTTTGTGCCAAACTCCAATGTGAGCACATTAGCTGCTGTTACTCAGCCTAGGATTGGGACTAGAAGAACAAAAGATTATTTAGTTTATGTCAGCTAGAGTTTTCTCACTAAGCCAAGGGCTTCATTCTTGGGCAGAAGAGGCAGAGAGGATTGCACAATAAAACTAGAAGTAAAAGAAAGAGGCCCTGGTGGGTAAAAGACTGGAGTCTGCTTAAACCTCAGTAGACCTTCCCCTACCCAAAATTGACACTGGGCAGGTGAGTTGACCACACAGTAGTACCATAATGAATGGAAGAGACCTCAAAAGCAGGACCATGGGTAGCTTCACAGGCTGTACACTGCACACCCCAGGGGTGCCCTTCAGAGGCATTATAACATTGCTTTCTGGAATTGTGTGCAGTGCACAACCTGTACATCTGCATGAGATAGATCCATCAGATAGCCAAAGGAGGATGAGCAAAAGGCAGTTGAGGGGTCTCACTTCTTCTCTCTCAGTTGTAGACTGTAGAGCCCCAGGAGAGCTGGAACACGGGCTGATCACCTTCTCTACAAGGAACAACCTCACCACATACAAGTCTGAGATCAAATACTCCTGTCAGGAGCCCTATTACAAGATGCTCAACAATAACACAGGTAAGCCATCCATGCTAAGCCATCCCACTCCCGTTTCACACTCTCGGGGCCTCAGGGTTGGACTGGGGGCCGAGACAGCTGTGAAAGGAAGAACTGCTCATAAGTGTGTAGAGCCTGATAATGCAAAACGTGTCACTCACACATCTCAGGTTCTCACTTTTCATGAGCTTGTGTTACTGTGTCCATGTGGAGATGCAGAAACAGTCTCAAAACCAAAAAGCAGGCTTTTTTGTTTTTAACTTTAAAGCTAGCACTGATTTACTAATGAGTTGTTGGTGGGAGCGTGAAGGAGTCACACACTGACACAACTAAGAGAAGAAACGAGACCCTAAAGGAAGCCTGGAATCCCCCAAGTTAAACTCCTTCATGTGGTCTGAGGCTGAGTTGGGGTTTCCAAAAAAAGGCCAGTATTACTGCTTCACCCAGACTCTGCCTTGGCTTCTGGGTGAGGGCAACATCTCACCAGGCCAGACCCATTCAGCAGGTAAGGGACCTTCCTTCAAAGACCTCTTCCCCTGGTACGGACAGGGGTCCAGGCAGGGTTGGGGAGCGAGGAGTGGATCCTCTGTCTCCCCAGGTAGCCCAGCATATCCCCTGACCACAGCTCAAGCACAGCCACAGCAGTCCCTGTCCAGGCCCCATCCATGCCACCTGGCAGAGACCCCTGGCTGCCCCAGGGGCTGGGCAGCAGCACACTGGCCAGAGGGTGAAGGACCAGCAATAACCTGACCATTGGCCACACTGGGGGTTTGGGAGGAACTGGGAGGAGAAATGCTTAGAGACATAACCCGCCTCTCCCTGCCTTGTGGCAGCCCAACACCCGCTCACATGCACTCATAGTCCCTAGCAGAAAAGGAACTCTCAGGGAGAAAGGAGGGCCCATCGGCTCTGCCTCTCTGGCATGCAAGCACTGAGAACATTCTCCTGACTCATCTAAGCCTCCAACTCCTCTTTGTTTTTGTTTTTGTTTTTGAGACAGGGTCTCACTCTGTCACCCAGGCTGGAGTGCAGTGGTGTGATGTCGGCTCACTGCAACCTCCACGTCCTGGGTTCAAGCAATTCTCTCGCCTCAGCCTCCCAAGCAGCTGTGATTACAGAAGCTTGCCACCATGCCCAGCTAATTTTTGTATTTTTAGTAGAGACCCGCTTTTGCCATGTTGGTCAGGCTGGTCTCAAACTCCTGACCTCAAGTGATCCGCCCGCCTCGGCCTCCCAAAGTGCTGGGATTACAAGCGTGAGCCACTGCACCTGGCCCCAAGTCCTCATTTTTAAAAGAGGGAAGAGTTACAAAGCTCTTAGAGCTATTTCAAAATGCCAGTGAGATGGTGGCCACAAATGTATGCTTATTAAAGAGTCTGTCAAATGGAGAAGAAAGGAAAGGGCATCTGTGCAACAGGGAGCCATGTGAGCCCAGGTCTTTGTGACAAGTGAGGCGGAGGTGCCTTCCAGGACCTGGGCAGCGTGGGGTGGGGAGGGGAGCAGCCCTCAGCCAGGCAGGAGTGGGATTCCCCAGAGCTTTGGACAGACACCATGCTGAAGAGTGTGGTGTTTATTTTTGGGGGTGACAGCAAGCCATTCGTGATTCTGAGCTGAGAAAGGACATGGTCACATTCCCATTTTAGAAAGATCCTTCATGTTGCAAAGGGAGTTTGATAGAAGGACTAGGATGGTAGCCCTGTGGGTATTTGAAGATATTTGGAGGTTAATTGGTCCCTTTGGAGGATTGTATCCCAGAGAGTACCTGCCACATTCTTCCTCATTCTTCTTAGTACATCTAGGCTCAGAGACAATCGTATCTGAGCCTAGATGACCATTTGGAGGACTTTGTAATAACTCACTTTAGAGAAATTAAATACCCAGATCTATTTTCCATGTGTTACAAATCAACCATTTTCTCCCTCCTCTCCTAACCTCTTTCACTAATCCAGGTATATATACCTGTTCTGCCCAAGGAGTCTGGATGAATAAAGTATTGGGGAGAAGCCTACCCACCTGCCTTCCAGGTACCTCACCCTCCAAATCCTTTGCCTCACAGTTTTCCATCCAAGGCCCTAGGACCCCAGGTTTTCTGGCTGTTAACAGGGTGATGGGGGACAGGGGAGGTGATGCTTTGGTTGCTTTTTAAGAGATGTCTTCAAAAGGTTAAAGGTCAGAGAAGACTTGCTTCACACCTTCTCAAACCAGCCTGTATTTTCTGCCTGCTCCATCACTCTGAGAGCCCTCCTGTCCCGTCTCTGTGCCCTTGCCACAAGATTTTTCATATAACACAGTTTGCATGTGCATCTGCTGTTGTGCCGGGGAAATTTAAAAAGTGGGCACCCTGTCCTCAAGCACTCACCATGCTATCAAGGAGATGATAACACAAACAACATCATGATAAGACAGAGTGACAAATTCTTTCTTCCAAACAGCAACGTAGTCAAGCCTTTCCGATTCCCATGGTTTACTTACTGACTCCACTTTAAAATGGAAAGAAAATTTTGTGGTAACAGGAAGTGTTACTGTGCATACAGATTTTGAGGATATTTGCTTTAGCATTAAAAGTATAGGCCAAGCGTGGTGGCTCATGCCTGTAATCTCAACACTTTGGGAGGCCAAGGCGGGTGGATCATCTGAAGTCAGGAGTTCAAGACCAGCCTGGTCAACACAGTGGAACCCCATCTATACTAAAAATAGAAAAAAAAATTAGCCAGTCGTGGTGGTGTGCATCTGTAATCCCAGCTACTCAGGAGGCTGAGAGAGGAGAATTGCTTGAACCCAGGGGGCAGAGGCTACAGTGAGCTGAGATTGCACCATTGCACTCCAGCCTGGGTGCCAGAGCTAGACTCTGTCTTGAAAAATAAATAAATAAATAGTATGGGTGATTTGCATTGCAATCACATGTATAGCTATTCAAGTCAACTTAGAAAAGTGTAGCCCCAAAATGCACACTCTACGGTTAAACAAATAATCCACAAAAAGTTAAATTTAATATTCACAACATAGTAATTTACATTTTTTTTAAAAAAAAGCAAGAATGGCAGTAGTTTAATGATACAATCACTCAAGACAGCATTGAGGAATACTGAAAATTAAATGCCTTGTCTAATTCCATCTGCATGTTTGCACAAACAGCAGGAAATTTGCAATATGGTTAAGCATTGGGTGATATTTGTATTTTGCTGAATGAGAGTGTTGGGTAAACTGACATAGTGTATTATATTAATGGTACATTTCAGTAACCCTACAGTATACAGTATAAAGAAGGTATACTAGTACACGGTTGGTATATTAGTCTGTTCTCACACTGCTGATAAAGACATAACCCAAGACTGGGTAATTTACACAGAAAAAGAGGTTATAGGATTCACAGTTCCACATGGCTGGAGGGGCCTCACAATCATGGCGGAAGGTGAAAGGCACATCTTACACGGTGGCAGGCAAGAGAGAAATGAGACATAGCCAGTTTGGGACATAGCCAAACCATATCAGGAGGTTTCTAGATATCAGATTAGACACTAAAATGGAAAGGCTATGGAGTTGTCTACCATTCATCCTTAAGAAGCGAAGAACATGTTAGCATTTGGGAGTCAGGTTTTGACCATCACAGGTGCTATGGGATCCCAGAGAAGAAGGAAGTAACAATGCCTGGTTGTCTATGAATGAAGGGGTAAGAACTGACTAGGAAGGGTTCACATAAGAGGTCTTTATTTCTGAGAAAAACTTATGAGGATGTGGAATAAGGGAATGTTCATCCCACCCATTCCGCTGATTCCATTTACCTCAATTAGGCTTGCCCAGAAGTACAACCAAGGACTCCAGGCAGTGAAGCCTCAGAGAAGAGAGGAATGGCGGAGCTGTAGAGGAATGGTGGGGCTGTAGCAAACCAGAGGATCTAATCCCCATTTGGCTAAAAGACCATGTGAGCAAAAAAAAGCTAGGGATAGATTCCATGCTAGAAAGCCATGTGGCCACCTCTGGAAGGGGAAGAAGCCCTGGGCAAGGAGTCAAGGCCCTAGGTACTAATACTGATGCTGCCATTTCCTAACTGTGATCTTTGGTAAGTATTTTCATATCTCTGGGTCTGGGATCCCATACCTCAGAAGTAAAGCATCAGAACCAAGAGACCTATGATATTCTGACCTTTTTTTTGAGACAGAGTTTCGCTCTTGTTGCCCAGGCTGCGTGCAATGGTGCGATCTCAGCTCACTGCAATCTCTGCCTCCTGGGTTCAAGCAATTCTCTTGCCTCAGCCTCTCGAGTAGTTGGGATTATAGGCATGCACCACCATGCCTGACTTTTTTTTTTTTTTTTTTTAATTTTTAGTAGAGACGGGGTTTCTCTATGTTGGTCAGGCTGGTCTCGAACTCCCCACCTCAGGTGATCCGCCCACCTCAGCTTCCCAAAGTGCTGGGATTACAGGCATGAGCCATGCACCCAGCTATTCTATGACTTTTAATGGTCATCATCCTCTATGTTTGTACAAAGCATCTTGGATACAATGAGTCATGACATTCTTTTAACACCCAGTGTTGGGCAGAACCATGGTGTATCATTGGACTAGGCCAGAAATTTGTAAATTCTCTCTTCGCAAAACACTGTGATTGAACCAGGATGCAGGCCAGGATGGAGAAGGCCATCTCATCTATTGTCAAAAGGCCCACCATTTCAGGGGTCCTGCTAAGCAAATATTACTTGCCCTTTTATTTTATAAATGAGAAAACTATCAGAATAGTGTAGTGATTTGCACAAGGCTACTTGTAGAAAGTCAGGGGCAGAACTGAAAGGTGAACTCAATACTTTTGATGGCAACATAAGCAATGCCGAGCCATTTTTTTACCATGATCATGTTTTATGCCATCCTCAGGAACCTTGAATCCTAGAGTATCACATTTTTTTAAAGACCCTCCCTCAGTAACCACTGTCCTCTAGAACCCAAATCTGGCTTCAGCATAGCCAAAGCTATAACATTTCAAGAAGATCCCTTTCTCCCAGGAAAGACTGGGTGGGGAATGGCAGCAGCCAATAAGAATGACCCCATTTCAATGAGCTCTCCCAAGAGCTTGTTGAATCATTCAGCCTCTTAAAAGGACAAGAACACATCAAGGAGAAAAACAGATTTCAGTGGAGATATGAAGCTAGACTCAGGATAAATAGGTTCGAGTTCTGGCTTTCCCATTAACAACCTTGAGTAAGTCACTTGCCTTCTCTGAACTTCCATGTTTCCATCTGTAAATTAGCTGTTCTCCAAGGTCTCTCCAGATCTGATCTGTGACCTGCAGTGTGCCACTGGCACCTTGGTTGGAGAAAGGTAGCGTTTAATGCTGGCTTTGTTGTGACCATGGACCAAGCCATAGACGTGTCCCTTACCAGATTAGGGCCTTGAAGCACTAAATATATGTAGGACCAGTCACAGAGCTGCATTGAGATGTTGCCTTGCAGCTTGCTACTTGTAATTGGAAGGCTGACCCTCAACTTTGAAAGGCCAGGCCACAGAGAGTTACAAAGACCAGTTCACATCTGGCCTGGGGTGAATGGCAGGGTGCCCCAGGATCAAGCAAGAAGCATCTGGCCTCAGGAAGAAGAGCATCTGAAAAGCATTAGGTTGCTAAAAGCCTGCTCTCCCAAAGTTGCCAAGAAAACTCAAATGTTCCATGATGTCTAAAGGATTGTCAAAAGCACCCAGGCCAAGGAGTGTAGCCTGGCCATTTGGAACCAGGAGGAGGCCCACACTCATAGTAGGTCTACCTCCAAGACCCAAGCACCCTGCCTGGGAAGGGCCATGCAAGCATGTTCTTAGCCAGCGGGGGCCTGGTGCCGAAGACCTTCTGCTCATTGGCCAGAGGCATTTGGCTACAGGAGGCTGGTGGTGCATGTGCATGCTCAGGGTGCAACTCAGTGGAACGAAGTTTGCTCAGATCTTTCTCCTTCCCCTAAAGGTACTACACAGCTCCTGGGTGCAATGATGGGTGGCCCAGAGTAGGGTCCATGCATCATTGCTTATAGATTATGCCACCTTTCCCCAACCCTGGATGCCCTGGGGCTTAATCCATGGGCATCAATTTATAGCAAGATTCTGTTAGGACAGAGAAGAAAAGGTTTGAGGGCCTATGCCCATGGTCTTAATATCTGTTAAGTCCGTGTGGGATACAAGACTTAGAATCTAGTTAAGCTTCTGCTATCTGACTTAAGAGTCATATCCTTTTGGGCTAGTCACTTAAACTCAGGAGGTTTACTCACCTAGAAAATGGTGATGGCCAAGGCAAATAAAATGAAAATTAAAGGATCTCTGGAATTTGAAGGATCCCTGGAGATCATTGTGACCAAATGCCTCATTTGGCAGATCAAAAATTGAAATCCAGAGAGGGATATTTGCTGACTCAGAGTTACATGGGAAATGGAAGAGAAAAGCCAGGCCAAGGCTTCCAGCATCTTTGTTCCCAGTCTAGCGTTTGCTGTGACCTGCTAGATGGTTTTTTAGGTTCCTTCCATCTCTCTGTCCCCATGGACAGAAAACTTTCAGAAGTATTCTAGGTTCCCATAGCATGGACCACTTCTGAAATAAGACCTGCCTTTCTAGAGAAGGAAGGGGAGAAGTGACCACTACTGGAAATAGATGGCTGTAAATGGTCTGGGTCACAAGTGGTCTTAGCCAGAGGTGGTTCAGGGTAGAGAAAGCCCAAGCACAGAGTGGTCCAGTCCAGAGACAGTCCCAGCTACAGAAAAGCCAGACTAGAGATGGGCCAGCCTAGAGAGACTTAGACCCAAAATGACCCTGAGTAGAGCTCTCCCAGGCTAGCATGACCCAGGCAGGTTAGGGTCCCATGGTGGCATAATCTATAGTGGGTGAAATGTGAATTTATCTTTGTGGCTCCTGTCACATGGCTGACCTGACCAGTCTCTGTCTCTTGTCCCTGCTCCCTCTTTCTCCTTACAGAGTGTGGTCAGCCCTCCCGCTCCCTGCCAAGCCTGGTCAAGAGGATCATTGGGGGCCGAAATGCTGAGCCTGGCCTCTTCCCGTGGCAGGCCCTGATAGTGGTGGAGGACACTTCGAGAGTGCCAAATGACAAGTGGTTTGGGAGTGGGGCCCTGCTCTCTGCGTCCTGGATCCTCACAGCAGCTCATGTGCTGCGCTCCCAGCGTAGAGACACCACGGTGATACCAGTCTCCAAGGAGCATGTCACCGTCTACCTGGGCTTGCATGATGTGCGAGACAAATCGGGGGCAGTCAACAGCTCAGCTGCCCGAGTGGTGCTCCACCCAGACTTCAACATCCAAAACTACAACCACGATATAGCTCTGGTGCAGCTGCAGGAGCCTGTGCCCCTGGGACCCCACGTTATGCCTGTCTGCCTGCCAAGGCTTGAGCCTGAAGGCCCGGCCCCCCACATGCTGGGCCTGGTGGCCGGCTGGGGCATCTCCAATCCCAATGTGACAGTGGATGAGATCATCAGCAGTGGCACACGGACCTTGTCAGATGTCCTGCAGTATGTCAAGTTACCCGTGGTGCCTCACGCTGAGTGCAAAACTAGCTATGAGTCCCGCTCGGGCAATTACAGCGTCACGGAGAACATGTTCTGTGCTGGCTACTACGAGGGCGGCAAAGACACGTGCCTTGGAGATAGCGGTGGGGCCTTTGTCATCTTTGATGACTTGAGCCAGCGCTGGGTGGTGCAAGGCCTGGTGTCCTGGGGGGGACCTGAAGAATGCGGCAGCAAGCAGGTCTATGGAGTCTACACAAAGGTCTCCAATTACGTGGACTGGGTGTGGGAGCAGATGGGCTTACCACAAAGTGTTGTGGAGCCCCAGGTGGAACGGTGAGCTGACTTACTTCCTCGGGGCCTGCCTCCCCTGAGCGAAGCTACACCGCACTTCCGACAGCACACTCCACATTACTTATCAGACCATATGGAATGGAACACACTGACCTAGCGGTGGCTTCTCCTACCGAGACAGCCCCCAGGACCCTGAGAGGCAGAGTGTGGTATAGGGAAAAGGCTCCAGGCAGGAGACCTGTGTTCCTGAGCTTGTCCAAGTCTCTTTCCCTGTCTGGGCCTCACTCTACCGAGTAATACAATGCAGGAGCTCAACCAAGGCCTCTGTGCCAATCCCAGCACTCCTTTCCAGGCCATGCTTCTTACCCCAGTGGCCTTTATTCACTCCTGACCACTTATCAAACCCATCGGTCCTACTGTTGGTATAACTGAGCTTGGACCTGACTATTAGAAAATGGTTTCTAACATTGAACTGAATGCCGCATCTGTATATTTTCCTGCTCTGCCTTCTGGGACTAGCCTTGGCCTAATCCTTCCTCTAGGAGAAGAGCATTCAGGTTTTGGGAGATGGCTCATAGCCAAGCCCCTCTCTCTTAGTGTGATCCCTTGGAGCACCTTCATGCCTGGGGTTTCTCTCCCAAAAGCTTCTTGCAGTCTAAGCCTTATCCCTTATGTTCCCCATTAAAGGAATTTCAAAAGACATGGAGAAAGTTGGGAAGGTTTGTGCTGACTGCTGGGAGCAGAATAGCCGTGGGAGGCCCACCAAGCCCTTAAATTCCCATTGTCAACTCAGAACACATTTGGGCCCATATGCCACCCTGGAACACCAGCTGACACCATGGGCGTCCACACCTGCTGCTCCAGACAAGCACAAAGCAATCTTTCAGCCTTGAAATGTATTATCTGAAAGGCTACCTGAAGCCCAGGCCCGAATATGGGGACTTAGTCGATTACCTGGAAAAAGAAAAGACCCACACTGTGTCCTGCTGTGCTTTTGGGCAGGAAAATGGAAGAAAGAGTGGGGTGGGCACATTAGAAGTCACCCAAATCCTGCCAGGCTGCCTGGCATCCCTGGGGCATGAGCTGGGCGGAGAATCCACCCCGCAGGATGTTCAGAGGGACCCACTCCTTCATTTTTCAGAGTCAAAGGAATCAGAGGCTCACCCATGGCAGGCAGTGAAAAGAGCCAGGAGTCCTGGGTTCTAGTCCCTGCTCTGCCCCCAACTGGCTGTATAACCTTTGAAAAATCATTTTCTTTGTCTGAGTCTCTGGTTCTCCGTCAGCAACAGGCTGGCATAAGGTCCCCTGCAGGTTCCTTCTAGCTGGAGCACTCAGAGCTTCCCTGACTGCTAGCAGCCTCTCTGGCCCTCACAGGGCTGATTGTTCTCCTTCTCCCTGGAGCTCTCTCTCCTGAAAATCTCCATCAGAGCAAGGCAGCCAGAGAAGCCCCTGAGAGGGAATGATTGGGAAGTGTCCACTTTCTCAACCGGCTCATCAAACACACTCCTTTGTCTATGAATGGCACATGTAAATGATGTTATATTTTGTATCTTTTATATCATATGCTTCACCATTCTGTAAAGGGCCTCTGCATTGTTGCTCCCATCAGGGGTCTCAAGTGGAAATAAACCCTCGTGGATAACCAACAGCCTTGGCTTATGGGTTTTGTTATTGTTGGGGAAGTGTGTTCATTTGTTTTAACTTTTTTGAAAAGAAATTGGTCTCCTCATTAAACCAAAATCTCCCTTGTTGCAGAAAAAGTACAACTTTTGGTATCTGGACATTATCCAAGAGGTAATGAGGAAAGGATTTGGTTATTGATCTGTCTCCTTCTCAGAGGCTACTTGTTCCTTCATTTAAGTGCCTGCCATTTAAGTCCTTGTCTTCAAAGGACTTGAGCCTGAAGGCCCAACCCCCCACACGCTGGGCCTGGTGACTGGCTAGGGCATCTCTAGTCCCAATGTGACATTGGACGAGATCATCAGCAGTGGCACATGGACCTTGTCAGATGCCCTGCAGTATGTCAAGTTACCCGTGGTGCCACACGCTGAGAGCAAAACCAGCTATGAATCCTGCTAAGGCAACTACAGCATCATGGAGAACATGTTCTGTGCCAGCTAGTTTCTAGTACCAGTTTCAAAGTGTTGAAACTGGCATGCAAGACAAGCTTATGTGCATGTAGGTCTTATATAGGCAAAAGGAGTTAAATGTAAAAGGAACAGAGATTTAAGTACTATAGGAACTTAAAGAAGGGGCTATATCATACAGCTGGAGGGGCTTGGAATAGCTTTGCAGAGGCTTCAAAGGATGTGTGGGAGATAGGAGGGAAGGGGCAGAGTGGAAAAAAGCATGAAAGCTGGCCATGGTTAAAGTGAGAGCAGTGGGCATTGAGTGGGAAGAGTTTTAAAGGGCATGCTCTATTTGAACTGTCCTGAAACGAGTGATTCTCTAAGTTTGGGGTATATGAGAATCACTTGGGGTGCTGGTGAAAAATGCAGATGGCTGGGTCTCACCCACTGGAAAATTTGAATTCAGTATGTCTGAGGGTGGGCAGCATGGTGTGGAAAGTGGACAGGAAGGGGCTGAGCTAGGAAAGCAGTTATGCAACTTCTGCAACTGTCCTGATGAGGGATGGTGCAGACCCACCACCCATAGGGCTGTGACAGTGCAGACAGGAGGAGGGGCAGTTTAAATCGATTTAAGTGGTACATACAGCAGGGCTTGGCCTATAGGCATCTCTTGATAAGTTCAAGCATGAGTGGCACGTGATAGTGAAGTCTCACCATGGGACGCACTCATGGTTCGCCTTTGTTTTTGGTTTGTACCATAATGAAAATGCCATCCTTTTTACACTATTGAGAATGAAAATAAGAGCTTATTTACGCTTTGCACTTTATGGTTTGAAGGACTATCGTGTCTCATGTTCTATTACATTTCCAATTTTTGTTTTTCTTTTGATACTTGGACTTTATGTTGTGACATATTGAGGTACTGAGGTATTGAGGTACTGAGGTACTGAGGTTGTGACATATTGAGGTACATAGAGAGCACTTTGTGACATGGAGTCGGGGAGACACATCACTCTCCTTCTCCTAGGGATTTACCAGCAGCTCAGCGACTGATTGAACATGGGGTTGAAGAAAAGGGAGGCAACAAGGATGTGATTGATTCAGACATTAGCAGACATCTGGAAAAACAAAGGGGAGAAGGTTAGTGAAGGGTGGATACTTGGGCTTGGATTCACTGAGCTGGAAGAGTTTATGAGCAATCCAGCTGGAAATGTAAGTAGGCAGTAAAGAATGGTGAGTTTTAGAGGACAGGGCAGATTTAAAGACACTGATTTGAAGTTCATCAGCACATGGGTAGTATGATGGCATAGAGGTAGAGGGCATCATCTACGGGAAATTTACAGATAAGAAAAGGATACCAAGGCCTGAAACACCAGCATCATGGAAGGCATGAAGAAAAGAGAGGCCCCAAGGAAAAAAAAAGGGGGGGGGGGGAAGGGATCAGAAACACAGGGAGAAAAGTGCTTCAGAAGCCAAGAGGAGGAGTTGTAAAGAGGGATGAAGTAGTCAACAGCACCCAATGCTGCTAAGAGTCCCAATAAAGGACTCCAGGATGGAAGTTCCCTAAGAGAGGAATCAAGTCTCTATCATCATCCCTGAGGGGTATGCAGGCAGGAGGCTCCATGTGTGAGTTTCAAGTCTCTAGGACTTCTCTCTTCCTTTGTCCTCTCTCTCTCGGTCCTCTCTCTGTACTCCCTCCTTCCTCTCTCTCCAGCCTTCTCAGTCTCCCAGGATGGGCTTTTAGCTCTTTTCTCAGAGGTAGGAAACTGCCCATGCATCTTCCCTAAGCCTTATGGTAAAAATTACATGTTCAGTTCTCCATGTTTTGGTTCCTTGAAACCTACAAATTTTTTATTCTTACTATGAAGCCTGACTCTTCAAAATGAAAGTCCGTCTTACCAGACTTTGGTTTCTGCTTTGCTCTTTCAAGTCAAAGCTTTATCCAGCCTTTGCTTAAAACCGTGGATGCTCCAGCTTCAATGGCTTGGGAGCCACAGTGCACAGCGAATTCCTAGGGATGCAAAATGTATCTGATAAGATTCAAAAAATAGTATCCTACTCTGTATGTAGATATCATGGTTGGAGTTCCATTTATGGTCTCAGAGACATTTTATTTCCATCTATTTGTAGACCTGTTAAATATTCAAATGGCTGCCTATTTCCAAGTTTGTGCAGTACATGGCACTTTCTTCTTCTGAATCCGGCTCCAAAGGGGGAGGAAGAATGTGGGAAAGGAGTGTCAACTCGTCTTTTCAGAAGCTTTACTATAGAAGGGAGGAGAAGGAGAGACTGTGGAATGAATGGCAAACGGGGAAATGGAAGCTGATTTTTAGGATGAAAAGTCTTGACTGTGTTTTGGAGGCATAGAATAAGGAGAGATGAAAAATACAAGAGAGGGGTGACAGTCTCCAAGGCCAGGTCTCCAAGAGTTCAAAAGTTAAGAGATCCAGAGTGAAAAATTAGTTCTGAAGACAATAAAGTTTATAGGAAGAAGAGATGGTGAGGAGGATGGTTCCCATTCAGTGGGGTTCCCACTCAGGGAGTTCCCACTCATTGGGCTCTGAGCGTCTGTTGGGAATGGAGGCAGGGCATTAGCTTGGGGAAGCTGGCTGTGGGCATGTGGAATGATGCTGGGAGATGCTGAGGCTGCATCAAGGTTGTGGATGCAGAGCATTTATCTGTGATATTCTCCAGCCTGGTGACAGCTACAAAGGTAGCAGGTGACTGCCTGGATCCAGGGGCTTGGGTTATGAGTGTTCTGGGAAGCCACATAATTAAAAGTTTATGGGGCTGGCCAGAGTAAGAAAAGCCCAGAATTGGGAGTCAGGAGACCTAGAACTATAGTCTTGCTACTAACTCATGGAATACCTTTTGGAAGTCAATTTCCTTCTCCAGGCCTTGGTTTCTTTAGCTGAATGATGAAAAGTATAGACCAGATGGTCTCCGAGGGCTATTCAGTTGTAAAGTGTGTATGTGGGAGCGTGTCTGTCAATCCAAGCCAGTGGAAAATGGGATGGAGCAGGCAGACACTGTGGTGGAGGGGATCTTCAACTCCACAAGGCCCTGAGGAAGGGCTTCTCTGAGGAGACAAGATTCATGTGGCTGGAGCATAATGATTCTTTATTAGCTGTGACTCTTTCATTTGTAAGTGACATAAACCAAACATAAGCAGCTTAAGGGGAAAAAAGGGAATTTATAGGCACACATAACTGAAAAGGCTGTACCAAAAGGCTTCACATATAATTAGATCAAAGGGCTCAACTATTAGGGTGCAATCTCTCTGTCTCTTTGTCCCTCAACTTTCAGCTCCACTTTTCTTCATCATTCTCAGCAGACTCTTAATGAAGTGATTGTTGGCAGATCTGGGCTTATGGCTAATAGCTTGGCAATTCCAGTAGGGAATGACTTTCTCTTCTGTAATATGTTTAGCGAAATTCTCAAGTAATGCTTTCATTGGTCCAGCCAAGGTCACATTCCCATCTCTGAGCAATTGCTGTGACCAGAAAGTGCATGGCTTTGATCAGTCACATTCCTATCCCTGAAACCAGAGGTGAGGTCAATCCAACTCTAGCTGCATAGACTAAGAATAAGGAAAGTGCAGCCTCCAAAGAAAGACTGGGATGCTATTATCAGGAAGGTCAATTAATGGTGGAGGAGCAAAAATAATAGATGTTCCTAACAGGGTGAGGAGCTGGGAGCTCTGGCAGTGGGCAAGATGGAGCCCAGAGTCTGATCTGTCTCTCCCTCCCTCCCTTGGATGCAGTGTGTGGGCTCCCCAAGTTCTCCCGGAAGCTGATGGCCAGGATCTTCAATGGACGCCCAGCCCAGAAAGGCACCACTCCCTGGATTGCCATGCTGTCACACCTGAATGGGCAGCCCTTCTGCGGAGGCTCCCTTCTAGGTAGGGAGAAGGTGGAAGGGGTGGAAGCTAAGGAACTGAACCCCCTCCTTGGAGACTGACCAAGGTTTCTTCATTGAGAATCATTGTGCACACTAGCATCAGGGCACAGAAGCACAGTGCGGTAGAAAGAGTTCTCGGCTAGACTGGATCCTGGTCTGTCTCTGGCACCGGGAAGGACAAAGTCAGGGAGTCTCTCAACCATGAATTTAACAGTACATGGAGGTCAAAGACAGGGCATGCCAGGGCTGTGAGTTCAGGGAGAGCCAGGAAACTCACCCTTGGGAATCAGGGAAGGTCGATTTACAAAGACCTTGAATGCTATGCTTAGGAATTTTTATCTTGTCTTGAACGCTGCTTTAGGTTGATAAGTATGCTCTGGAAAGTTCTCTCCAGAGGCAGCAATGATAAAAAGGAGGGTGAAACTGGAGGCCAGGAGATCAGTGAGACATCCATTGCAGTGGTGGGGAGAGAAGGCATAGCCTCAGAGTAAGAACAGGGTATGATGGATGGAAATAAGGAGGCAGATTCGATAACACTGGGAAATAGGACTGTCACCTTTGTAATGGAATGTGGGTGGGAGTGGGAGCAAGAATGAGAACAGCCGATGGCTCTCCCTGACACAGTTTGGTCCAGGCAATCTAAGATCTATTCCAGTTCTGATGTCAAAAGAAAACTGAATAGCAATCTAGGCTATCTAGACCACTTCTGCATCGGATCCCACCCCCAAGGAAGAAGGCCCGGCTTGGCCCATCTCTGCATGAGCAACTCCCAGGCTGATGGGCATGCCTCTCACTCTGCCCCACCCTCCTCCAGATCCAACCAGGGGTGGACAGCTCTGGGGCAGGGATCCCTTTGGCAAGGCATCAGGTCTGGGCTAGAGCTGCAGCCAAAGCACCAGGGCTACATAAATCCCTACTCTGCAAGGAATTTATCCTTACATTCTCTCAGACCCAAAGATGAATGGTCTCACTCAAAGAAGTCCCCCAGAGAGGTAAAGAGAGTGAGGGAAGGTATTATAGGGCCAGACAGGGCTGAGGGCAGTTCAGTGGGAGCAGAGTCGGGGAGAGGACCAAGGGAGAGAAGGGAAGGGAGACAGAGGACCAGAATTAGAAAGACAACAATGGAGAGGACAGAGAGAGACAGAGAACACTGAGAGATACCTGGAAAATAAGATAGAGGATTGAAGAGAGTAAAGAGAAAAATGAAAGGGAACAATACAACAAGAGGAGGAGGTACTGGCGGGCACAAGATACCCAGGAGAGAAGAAGCCAGGGAAGGAGGGACCTGAAGGGAAGTTGGAGAGAAGCAGAGTGGTGTGGAGGAAGAGCTGCCAGCGAGGGCAGAGGGAGGGAAGACTCTGCTTCACCAGACAGCTCCGATTTTGTTAGAGGGCAAGTAAGAGAGATGGATTGTGTGCACCTAATTTTAAGAATGAATTCATTTTCTTAAACCTTGATTTTTTTTTTTTTTTTTTGAGACGGAGTCTCATTCTGTCACCAGGATGGAGTACAGTGGTGCAATCTCGGCTCACTGCAACCTCCGCCTCTCGGGTTCAAGCCATTCTCCTGCCTCAGCCTCCCGAGTAGCTAGGACAAACCTTGAATTTTTGAGTCCACTAATGTCCACCATGTATTGTGATTCATTGTATGTTTATTCCCTATGACTTATGTTTGAAAAATGTTTGACGTTCACTTCTCTACCCTCGGCCAAGCTGGAATGCCCTCATACTTCGCACTCCCTGCAGCAACCCTGATCTATCATTTCTGTCTCCCTCCTGTCATTCAGTCTTAAAGAGCAGGGGAAGGATAGGAGAGGGCAGAAGAAACAGGAAAGCAGCCAAGGGACAGAGGAAGGGGAAAGCACCTCATTAATGCCCACACTGACACCTGGGTAGAGGGATCTGCAGAGCTGGGAGGCCAAGCCATGTCTCTGAACTGGCCAGTGTACACCCCTGGGTTCATCTAAACAGCCCAGAGCCCCAGACCAAGGCAGGCTGTCCTAACCTGGGTACCTCAGCCCACCTGATCCACCTGGAAAATCTGGTCCTGGACATGGGCAGGGATCAAAAAATGCCCCAGGGCAGAGAAGAGTGGCCTAAGTAGAGCCCTGGCCAGGACCCAGGAGCACATAGCTGCTTCTCAGAGGGCCAAGTGGAGCCTGGAACCTGCTCTGAGACTAAGCACTTCTGCCCTCGACCCTGAACTTTGACCTGATACTCAGCCTCCCCCACCCCTGTGTTCTAGAGCTTTTCTTTCTGCTTGGCTCATCTTGGATATGTCTCTGGGCTCAGCCACTTATGGGCTTGTCATCTGCTCCACATAAGAGGTGAATGGAAGCCTGACCCTGCATTAAACGAAGGGCAGATGCCTGTCCATCCAGAGAAAGATGACAGCTGAGACACAGGAAATGCATTAAGCTGACTATCAGGAGCCCTGGGGTCTGGCCCTGGCCCTGACCCTGAAACCAACCTGCTGGGTGACCCTGGACATCTCTGCTTTCTCCACGCCTCAGGGTTCCTGCCTATATAATGAAAGGTCTAGATCAGAGCAGTGATTCTCCACCCTGGCAGCAGTAGAATTAACTAAGGAAATGTTTAAAACATTATCTGTGCTTGGGCTCCACCCCCATGACATAAATGGTCTAGATATAGGTCCAGACACTGATTTACTCTTTTTTCATTCACCAGGTAATTCTAACGTGCAGCCAGTGTAGGTAGCTTCGGATTCATCAATTTTAAACTTTAATATGCATACAAATTACTGGAGAGTCTTGTTAAAATGAAAATTCTGATTCAGTGGATCAGAGGTGGGGCCGGCCTAAGAGTCTTCATTTCTAAGAAGCCTCCAAGTGATGCTAATGTTGCTGGTCCAGGCACCACACTTTGAGAAGCAAGGCCTGAGAAGGCAGCCAGTTGACCACAGGCTTTCTGTGCACCCACCTTGGGCTCTCTGGCTCTCACCAATGCCATGGGCTTAAAGGATCCCTGAAATCCTGTTTACAATGTTCAGTCCTGGCCTTGGTTGGAATAGGCAGGTAAAAATCACAGATTTAAATCCTCATCTTCAGATTAGGATCATATGAGCATTTGAGTTGGGGGCCATAAAATACAATGGAGAGAAGCATGGCCATTTTCAAGGTCTTGAGGGGTCCTCTGGAGTAGCCTGAAGATCCTCAGCTCAAGACAGAGGGAGGCAAGACCCAGTAGTGCAGGACGATGAGACGTGTGTTCTGTTCCCCAGGCTCCAGCTGGATCGTGACCGCCGCACACTGCCTCCACCAGTCACTCGATCCGGAAGATCCGACCCTACGTGATTCAGACTTGCTCAGCCCTTCTGACTTCAAAATCATCCTGGGTGAGTGAGTGAGGGGCAAGCTGACTCCCAAAGCCAGCTGTGGTTCTGGGAATGACCTACTGGCCCTTTCCAAGGCGTGTCTGCTCACTCACTCGCTCACTCATTTGTCAGGGCAGGACACCTGGGATGGAGGTCCAGGAACCTGAGTCCAAGTGCAAGATATGATTCTCCAGACACGTGACCATGAGAAGGCATTGAAGTCTATGCTTCAGTTTCACAACGATAAAATGAGGAGGCCTCTAGATAATTTCCAAAGACCTGTTAGATTTCCATGAACCTGTGGTTTCAAATAGATCATACATATACGATCCAGATTTCCCCTCTTGTTTATAAAATCAGATGACCAGCTGATTCAATTCAGGTCCACACATATTTACCTACTGACATTATGCCAGGATCTAAGGACACAGTATGATTAAGACCTAGTTTCTGCCCACAGGGAGCTTACAGTCTAATAAAGGAATAAGATGTGAGCACAGAGACCTCTAACGGAAAGTAGCCAGCAGTAAGTTTTGTAGAAGAAGAACAGATAAAATGCCATGGGAGTTCAGAGGGGAAAGACTTCTAACCCAAGAGTCTGAGAGGCTACCTGGAGGAGGTCATGTTTGACACAGGCACTGAAGGTGATGATAGGGATTGAACATGTGGCAGCAGGCATCAGAACAAGCATTACAAGGCAACAGCATCAGTTCCTGAAGAAAGACAGAGGTGGGGACCCATGAGATTATGTAGAGAATGACCAATAGGGTGGGATGTCTGGGAAAGGTGGATGAAGGCAGTGAAAGGGCTAAGGCTGGAAGCAAGGGCTGGATGGGGCTGGGGCGGGGGCTGACAGGGAACAAGGTGTGACCTTATCCTCCATTGCACCCATGCCTCACATGTCTTCTTCTTGCCCAGGCAAGCATTGGAGGCTCCGGTCAGATGAAAATGAACAGCATCTCGGCGTCAAACACACCACTCTCCACCCCCAGTATGATCCCAACACATTCGAGAATGACGTGGCTCTGGTGGAGCTGTTGGAGAGCCCAGTGCTGAATGCCTTCGTGATGCCCATCTGTCTGCCTGAGGGACCCCAGCAGGAAGGTACTTTCCCCTACCTCCACCTCTGCAGGGCAGCTGGTGCCTCCACAAGGAGTCCGTCTTCACGTTGGTGAAGCTCTGGTGCCAATTAAGTCAGCTGACAGTGTCTGCTTGACTCACCAACTGCTTCCCCTCAAACAGCCAAGTCAGAACTGGGTCCAAGGCAGCAAAAGTTGTGGGAAGCACATAGTAAACAGTCAGACCTAAGGGTCCAGATAGAAAAACAAAAACTAGACTAGTTATCGTAACAGAGAGAATTTAATATAGGGCACTGGAGGATTGGAGAAGTAAGAGGGAAGAGCTGAGATCATAGAGATGGTACCTGCAGGAAGAAACCACCAACCCTAGGGCTGGGGAAACAAAGGTAAGAACCTGGAGTTAGAAATTAGAAGCTTGGAAAAGGGGCCCTATGGGGCCAGAACCTGAACCGCTGCAGAAGAGTCTAACGTGCTAAGGAAAACAGCTGGAAACAATGGCCACTACTGGGGTGAAAAACCACTGCCAGGGATGATGCCAACAGCCAAAGCAAGTCTTCCTGCCTTTCTGAAAGTGCCCCCTGTTTTCAGGAAACCAGCTAGCAAAGTAGAACTGCCCACTTCAGAGTCTCATCCCTAGTACCACAAAGCAGAATGTAGAAGGGTAAGTCTCAAGCTGGGGGACAATGGCTTAATACTCAGCACAGGCCGGGCGCGGTGGCTCACGCCTGTAATCCCAGCACTTTGGGAGGCCGAGGCGGGCGGATCACGAGGTCAGGAGATCGAGACCATCCCGGCTAAAACGGTGAAACCCCGTCTCTACTAAAAATACAAAAAATTAGCCGGGCATAGTGGCGGGCGCCTGTAGTCCCAGCTACTTGGGAGGCTGAGGCAGGAGAATGGCGTGAACCCGGGAGGCGGAGCTTGCAGTGAGCCGAGATCCCGCCACTGCACTCCAGCCTGGGCGACAGAGCGAGACTCCGTCTCAAAAAAAAAAAAAAAAAAAAAAAATACTCAGCACAGGCTCAAACACCACTGTGACCATTTCCCAGCTGGGTGATCTTCAGGAAGTTATTTAACCTCAGTAAGCCTCAATCCCCTTACCTCTAAACTGGAGATGCTATCCCATGTGGTGGCTGTGGCATTTCCGTGTTTGAGATAATACTTAAACATAGGTGACCCATGTCAGCTGGCTTCCTTTTCATTCTAATTTCAGTGGTGCCACATCAAGTTCACTTCCTTTAGCTCAAAAGAAAAATGGCTGAGATGTAATCTGAGGAGTATTTAGGGGAACTGAGCCAACAGGAAAGGCACAGGTGTAGCTGGCTTTGACTCATTGGGTGCCATGTGCCCACCAGGTGCTTTATGTTCATTAACTTATTTACGAACCATGCAAGCCTTGCAAGGTGGCACTGTAGCCTCATTTACAAACGAGAAAACTAAGGATCAGCAGGGTGAGGTGACTCACCCGAGATGCAGCTTGTATGAAGCAGATCTAGGGATATAGTACAGGTTTTCTGACTTTAAGCCCAACACTGTTTTCAGTATCCAGGCTCTTTTTCAAATGAGAAAATAATTGCTCTGTCAGTGCTCAACCCACTTCCACATTGCCCCACAGATTTACCAACTTCATAGACTTCTAGAATGTCAACTCTGAAAGGGGTTTTAGAGAATACCAAGTCCAGCCTCCTCATTTTATGGATAGGAAAACAGAGGCTTAGAAGGGGAGCAGAGAGGAGGGCTGGCTAAAGGCACCATAGCACATAGTGGACTAGGCTGGGCTTTTTATTTATTCGCTGTTCTTGATTGAGCACCTACTATGTGACAGCATTGCTATAGGCACTGTGATATAGCAGTGACCAAGAATGAGATTCTGCTCTCATGGACCCTAGGTTTCAGACTAGTTGAGGGTGGGACAGAATAGAAAACTAAACAAGTAAGCCAGTAACACATCATAGAAACCAGTGCCCCTAGCTCTGCTGCAGGTAATCTGTAGCCCAGCTGCCTTTCACGTCTTCCTCCCCACCACACCACCTTTCTCTGAGAAGAACAATCCAGTCTTTCCTCCACAGAAGAGGATGATGGAGCTGCAAGCTGCACCCCTCCAAACACCCCACAGATAGCTTCTCTGTTCTCACAGTATCTTCTCTCCTCCAGGAGCCATGGTCATCGTCAGCGGCTGGGGGAAGCAGTTCTTGCAAAGGTTCCCAGAGACCCTGATGGAGGTGAAGTTCACTTTATAACCTACAGACAGTGACACCTCAGCTCTGCACTGGGCCTTCCTGCTCCGTATTGTTCCCTTAGGGATTTTGAGGCTTGGGTGGGGGTTGGTGAGTGGGAAACTAGGAGCCCAGACCCACCTCCAAAGTTCAATGGGACTTTGAACCCCAGAAAGCTTGATTTGTTTGTTCTACATGTCATGGACTCTAGCCTCTAAACACGGTTAAGTTTTTCTGGTAGCTTATTAAAGGCTTAGCTTATGAAAATTCTCCCAGAAAACAGCAAGTTTAGACACCCCCATGGTGACAATCCAGCTGTGCACCATGAGAACTGTACACCAAATTGGCCAGAATGAGCCAGGCTCTTGAGAACCACAGTCCTTGCAGTAATGAACTTGGCAGTTACACTTAGAAGTTCATATTCCTATCAGTTCAAGGAAAAAAAAAAAAAACACTTAACTAAAAGTAAGGAGCCATAGTTTCAAGTCTTGGCTCCCACTAACTTGCTGGGTCATCTGAAGCAAGTTATTTTGCCTCTCTAGACCATAAGATACTATTTCCAACTGCAGAGTTATGGGGCAACACGAGCTGCCATCAAAGAGTTGCTTGGCTCTGATATCACCGGGGCCTATGACTGACACAGCTAGTTTCTAAATTCTTCCACATATATTATTTTGACATATTTTAAAATTTGGGATTTGCAACAACCATTCATCCCTTCATTCACTAACTCCCGGGGGTCTATTTGGTGTTTCCTTGGTACCAGACACTGTACTAGCTACTAGCTGTGCTGGGGTAAAAGGATAGATCTGGTCCCTGGCCCCCTTGGGCTCATGGTCAAGTGGAATGGACAGAAAGTAGTTATGGATGTGATAAAGGTGGAGAGAGAGAAATGCAGGATGCTCCAGAACATATGAAAGAGAATCTGATCTTGTCTCAGGGGTTCAGGAGGCATTCCCAAAGGAAGTGATGCTGAAATGATACCTGAACGATGAATCAGGTGCTCAGCAGTTGCTGAGGATCTGTCCTCAGGACCACCCTGCCCTGGCTTCCTCTCCCCTTATCCAGGGAAGGCCATGACCCAAGAGGGATCTGAATGGCCTCTGGTTTCCTCCCAGCAAGGGCAACAGGAGTTGTCCATTTAGAGAATATGGCCCATTCAGTTCTTGATTTGACTGAAAGAGAATCATATGTTTCCTCTTTTTATTCCAGACATCTACTCCAACAGTTACCCCCACACTGGATCAAGGGCAATAATAGTCACAATGCCTTATTTTTATGTATCGATTTTGCTGCATTGCAAAAAATATATATATTTTCTGGGTATCTACTAAGCTCCAAGCAATGTAAGATAGAAATGCATAAAATACAGATCCAGCATCGAGACAGATGCTCATACTGTAGAGAGGGAGGACAACATAACAAAGTGCTTGCTGCAAAGCCAGCAGTGATAACTCCACAGTAGCTAATATTTATACAGTGTGTGTAGTTTACAAAGCACTTGTTCCTGCCTCTCCTCTTTGTACAATGATTAGTATATCAAATACTGCAACCTCCATTTTTCAGATGAGGAAAAAGGGTCTCAGAGTCTGAAAAACAATGAGTAAGCCACATGTTCTAGGTCCTACAGTAGGGGTGAGACAAAAGAAAACCAAACTTCATTTTTGTATACATTGTCCTATTGACTAATACATCTCCTAGGCAAGTATTATTACCTCTATCTTACTGAAGAGAGATCTGAGGCCCAGAGAGGGCATGTGACTTGCCCAAGTTCACACAGCCAAGGTCTTCACAGCCAAGACTGCCCTAGAACACGGGCCTCCTGATTCTCCATTCAACTGTTCCTTCACCTGTAGCATGGGGCAGTCTCTTAGATCAAGTCTAAGGTAGACACAGGTCCGTCCAGGTATGGAGTGGAGAGGAGCCGTCTTCAGGGGTGTCAGAATAGCAGAGGCTTCTCAGCCGGGGATGAGGACCAATAACAGCTTTGTGTTCTAGATTGAAATCCCGATTGTTGACCACAGCACCTGCCAGAAGGCTTATGCCCCGCTGAAGAAGAAAGTGACCAGGGACATGATCTGTGCTGGGGAGAAGGAAGGTGGGTTAAGAGGCTGGCATACAACAGGGGCGCTGCCAGCCAGGGAGTGGTGCAGAGCCAGCAAGGGAGCACAGAGGCCTCCCAACCTGGTGGGCTGGCAGTGTGGGGGCGCGGGGGACTGGAGGAAGGCCGTGGGAGGAGGGATTCCACAGGAGAAGATGCATCGGAGAAAAGATATTTACAGGATGCTCATCATTCCCTTCCCAAGTTCAGTGTTTCCCTTAAGAAAGAGGCCTTGGCCGGGCACGGTGGTTCATGCCTGTAATCCCAGCACTTTGGGAGGCCGAGGCGGGTGGATCACCTGAGGTCGGGAGTTCGAGACCAGTCTTGCTAACATGGCGAAATCCCATCTTTACTAAAAATACAAAAATTAGCCGGGCATGGTGGCAGGTGCCTGTAGTCCCAGCTACTCGGGAGGCTGAGGAGGGAGAATCACTTGAACCCAGGAGGTAGAGGTTGCTGTGAGCCGAGATCGTGCCACTGCACTCTAGCCTGGGTGTGACAGAGCGAGACTCCATCTCAAAAAAAAAAAAAAAAAGAAAGAAAAAAGAAAAAGAAAAGAAAAGAAAGAAAGAGGTCTGAATCAGGGCTTTTTAGAATCATTTGAGCTCTGATGCGGCCTGACCTAGAACTGCCCAGAGCTGAGGTTTGGGTCCAACGGTCTGCTATGCCCTCTAGTGCCCAATTCTCTGAACTACAACCCATACATGGGAGAAGGAGACTTGGGCTGGGAAGGGGCATTTTATCTTCATCTATGTCTCTTTTTCACCTAGGGGGAAAGGACGCCTGTGCGGGTGACTCTGGAGGCCCCATGGTGACCCTGAATAGAGAAAGAGGCCAGTGGTACCTGGTGGGCACTGTGTCCTGGGGTGATGACTGTGGGAAGAAGGACCGCTACGGAGTATACTCTTACATCCACCACAACAAGGACTGGATCCAGAGGGTCACCGGAGTGAGGAACTGAATTTGGCTCCTCAGCCCCAGCACCACCAGCTGTGGGCAGTCAGTAGCAGAGGACGATCCTCCGATGAAAGCAGCCATTTCTCCTTTCCTTCCTCCCATCCCCCCTCCTTCGGCCTATCCATTACTGGGCAATAGAGCAGGTATCTTCACCCCCTTTTCACTCTCTTTAAAGAGATGGAGCAAGAGAGTGGTCAGAACACAGGCCGAATCCAGGCTCTATCACTTACTAGTTTGCAGTGCTGGGCAGGTGACTTCATCTCTTCGAACTTCAGTTTCTTCATAAGATGGAAATGCTATACCTTACCTACCTCGTAAAAGTCTGATGAGGAAAAGATTAACTAATAGATGCATAGCACTTAACAGAGTGCATAGCATACACTGTTTTCAATAAATGCACCTTAGCAGAAGGTCGATGTGTCTACCAGGCAGACGAAGCTCTCTTACAAACCCCTGCCTGGGTCTTAGCATTGATCAGTGACACACCTCTCCCCTCAACCTTGACCATCTCCATCTGCCCTTAAATGCTGTATGCTTTTTTGCCACCGTGCAACTTGCCCAACATCAATCTTCACCCTCATCCCTAAAAAAGTAAAACAGACAAGGTTCTGAGTCCTGTGGTATGTCCCCTAGCAAATGTAACTAGGAACATGCACTAGATGACAGATTGCGGGAGGGCCTGAGAGAAGCAGGGACAGGAGGGAGCCTGGGGATTGTGGTTTGGGAAGGCAGACACCTGGTTCTAGAACTAGCTCTGCCCTTAGCCCCCTGTATGACCCTATGCAAGTCCTCCTCCCTCATCTCAAAGGGTCCTCAAAGCTCTGACGATCTAAGATACAATGAAGCCATTTTCCCCCTGATAAGATGAGGTAAAGCCAATGTAACCAAAAGGCAAAAATTACAATCGGTTCAAAGGAACTTTGATGCAGACAAAATGCTGCTGCTGCTGCTCCTGAAATACCCACCCCTTTCCACTACGGGTGGGTTCCCAAGGACATGGGACAGGCAAAGTGTGAGCCAAAGGATCCTTCCTTATTCCTAAGCAGAGCATCTGCTCTGGGCCCTGGCCTCCTTCCCTTCTTGGGAAACTGGGCTGCATGAGGTGGGCCCTGGTAGTTTGTACCCCAGGCCCCTATACTCTTCCTTCCTATGTCCACAGCTGACCCCAAGCAGCCGTTCCCCGACTCCTCACCCCTGAGCCTCACCCTGAACTCCCTCATCTTGCAAGGCCATAAGTGTTTTCCAAGCAAAATGCCTCTCCCATCCTCTCTCAGGAAGCTTCTAGAGACTTTATGCCCTCCAGAGCTCCAAGATATAAGCCCTCCAAGGGATCAGAAGCTCCAAGTTCCTGTCTTCTGTTTTATAGAAATTGATCTTCCCTGGGGGACTTTAACTCTTGACCTGTATGCAGCTGTTGGAGTAATTCCAGGTCTCTTGAAAAAAAAGAGGAAGATAATGGAGAATGAGAACATATATATATATATATTAAGCCCCAGGCTGAATACTCAGGGACAGCAATTCACAGCCTGCCTCTGGTTCTATAAACAAGTCATTCTACCTCTTTGTGCCCTGCTGTTTATTCTGTAAGGGGAAGGTGGCAATGGGACCCAGCTCCATCAGACACTTGTCAAGCTAGCAGAAACTCCATTTTCAATGCCAAAGAAGAACTGTAATGCTGTTTTGGAATCATCCCAAGGCATCCCAAGACACCATATCTTCCCATTTCAAGCACTGCCTGGGCACACCCCAACATCCCAGGCTGTGGTGGCTCCTGTGGGAACTACCTAGATGAAGAGAGTATCATTTATACCTTCTAGGAGCTCCTATTGGGAGACATGAAACATATGTAATTGACTACCATGTAATAGAACAAACCCTGCCAAGTGCTGCTTTGGAAAGTCATGGAGGTAAAAGAAAGACCATTCTGGTATGAAGGTTTTGGGGGAGGAGATATCAATCAAGAAGGCTTCCCAGAAGAGGTGACTGGACCAGAGCCTTGTCCACAGGTAAGACGGAGGAGGCCTTCCACATGGAGGGAGAACAATAGTAAATGTCCACTCAAGATGTCCTTTATTATACCAGCTCCTCCCACAAAAACACATGTCCAGTGGACTCTTTTTCTGGGATCAGAACCAACACCAAAAAGAGCTTTTCTCCTTAAAGTTAGAATTCTAAACAGGACTTGAAATGGCCTCAAGGTTTGTGCACAAATACTGACTTCTGGCTGGACCCAGCTTATTCTGTTTATTTCTCCAATTGCAATTTCATCCTTATCCTGAGAAAATGTCTAAATAGGCCATGGAACCCAGGCTTCCCCGTGACCTACAAGCACTTATTAGCTGTGCCAGCTCCTGCACTGCTGCTAAGGTCCAAGAAACCCAGATCTCTCACAGAGCCATAGAAGCAGAGGGCTGGAGTATCTGTGAGGACAACAACCTTGTCTAACTTCGCGACCTCATTCTTGAGCATTTCTACTGATGAGAAACTCACTACCCCCAATTGCAGCTCATTCAACTTTAAAATTGCTGCTTTTTGAATCACTGATTGTGAATATTAATTTAAAAAAATAAGTAAGAAAATGTTTTAAATGTGCTGCCTCTTTAAAAGGTCTCCTCTTTGTGCAACCAAAACCCACCTCTCTAGAATACAGTTTGTATAACTGAAGCTATAATTTCATACCATGAGTGCTGCTGTTAGCAATAATAATCATGCCCGGATTTTATTAACAACAGAAGCTGTTGCTCGTATGAAAAAACAAACATTAGTTCTAATAAACATCTGCATTGAGTCAAAGCTCCCTGTTTGTTTGTATGTCTTTTATGCACTGATGATTATAGTGAGTTGCTTTCATTTACCAACATTTTGTTGTATTCGTGTAGGATCACTGTACCATGAAGGGAGAGAGACTATGATGGGAAGATTGTTGTAGATACAAAAGCATGTCTTAGGTTTTTGGGTCAGTTCTGTTTAAATACCTGTCCTATTATTCCTGTAAATTATCAAAATATCCCAGAATGTCAATGTTTCTGCATCCACATTACAATTATTAAATGCCACTCATTTATTAAATTTACTATTATCAGTGGCATTTAATAAATTTGAATCATATGTTCAGTGTTTGGTTTAGAAAATATGGTGCCATGTCTATGAGTGGCCTGTTCTGGATTGGAGTACATGCCTTCTTTCTGCCTTGAGTTAATCTTACTCAATGGAGAACAAGAATCAAAGAAACACCACCACCAAGAAGCCCTTCAAGCTAGAGTTGGGCAAGAGTCAGGGAGGGGAATGTAGACCACTCATATGACAGAGGTGGAAACCAATCTTGGTCTAGAATAAGTCTCAAAATCAAAAGACTTGAATTCTAGTGCAGCGTAGGTTGACTCCCTTATTTATTTAATTTTCCCATCTCTACACCGCTAGAATAACCTCTCTCCTGAGGCTGTTGAATCTGATGAATTAGCAGATAGGAAAGAACTTAGAAAATTATAAGTTCACTCAAATGTAAAAGGTTATATGGGAAATAATCACCACTAACATTTTTGAGTACTTACTATCTGCTTGTTATACACATTCTCTAATTTAATTTTCACAAGAAAATTCATGAAAGGACTATACTTATCCCCCTTTTACAGGTGAGCAACCTGGAGTGCAGTGAAGTGTAAAATGTGGGCCGACTTAGGAGCACAAATACCCCAGCAACAATGAGCACTCTTAGTACACAGGTCTTGGTTTCTAAAATATCATCATCCGATAAAAGGAACACAGGCTCTTTGAAGAAATGACTGATTCCGGGATTGGGGCAAGAAACACACAAGCTGAGACTGGAGCATCTTGCAGTCCCAGAAAGTGAAGAAACGCTGAGGATATGTCAAAGGGACACAGGAGCCAAATGAAAGAGCTTCCACTGGCCAAAGCTGGAATGTTGAGCAACAAAGCAACATAGCATTGGATAATAACCCAAAGTATAAAATAAATATTCATGAGTACATACTTATGTGACTAAATTATTGAACAAATAAATCAACTGGAAGAATAGACCAATCTCCCCTTGAAAAAATGCAAAATCGTGCATCCCTCCAGAGATGCAGCATGAGTCCCCATCCCTTAAGTGTTGGCAGCACATAGTGATTTCTTTCCAAAGAATATAGTATAAAAGGTGGGGCAGGACACAATCATTCTGCTGTGCAGAAGCCTGATAAACACTACCTCAGCCGGGTAATCAAGGTTAATACAAAAGTGTTAAGTCACATGGATGCTATGTGACTTTGTGTGCCATGATGAAAATGGCTTTGTACCTCTGTGTTCTTCCCTCCAAATCCCATAACCCCAGGCTAATCATGAGAAACACATCAGGTAAATCCCAACTGAGGGACATTCTACCAAGTACCTGACCAACCCTCATCAAAACTGTTAAGGTCATCAAAAACGGGGACATTCTAAGAAACTATCACAGCCAAGAGGAGCCAAAATGGGAAAGATATGTTAAAGTCCCACCCCCCGGTACCTTCGAATGTGAACTTATTTGGAAATGGGATAATTGCAGCTGTAATTAGTTAAGAAAAGGTCATACTAGAGTACAGCGGGCCCTTAATTAATCCTATAGGACGGGCATCCTTATAAGAAGAGTAGGCCAGGCACGGTGGCTCATGCCTATAATCCCAGCACTTTGGGAGACCAAGGCAGGCAGATCACTTGAGGTCAGGAGTTCAAGACCAGCCTGGCCAACCTGTGAAACCCCATGCATACTAAAAATACAAAAATTAGCCAGGCATGGTCGTGGGTGCCTGTAATCCCAGCTACCTGGGAGGCTGAGGCAGAAGAATCACTTGAACCCGGGAGGCGGAGGTTGCAGTGAGCTGAGATCACGCCACTGCACTCCAGCCTGAGCAACAGAGTGAGACTCCTTCTCCACAAAAAGAAAAAAAAAGAAAAGTAAAGACACAGAGACACAGACACGTGAGGGAGAATATCATGTCTTGATGAAGGCAGAGATTGAAGTTTTGTAGCTACAAGCCAAGAAATGCTAAGGATTGCCAGCAAACCAGCAGAAGCTAGGAACAGGTGAGGAAGGATTCTCTTCTACAAGTTTCAGAGGGAACACCCTGACTGCAGACTTCTAGCCTCCAAACTGTGTAATAATAAATGTCTGTTGTTTTAAGCTACCCAGGTTGGGCAGCCCCAGGACACTAATACAGAACCTAAGGAGATATGACAAATAAATGTAATGTGATATCCTGGATGGGATCCTGGAAAAGACAAAAACATCAGGTGAAAACTAAGGAAATCTGAATAAAATTTGGACTTTATTTAATAATAACGTATCAATCTTGGTTCATTAATTGTGAGAAATGTACTAAACAAATATAAGATGGTAATAATAGAGGAAACTGGTGTAGTATTCATCAGAACTTCCTGTACCATCTTCACAACCTTCCAATACTTCTCAAAACAAAAATGTCATTTAAAAAAATGTGACCCAAGATCTCTCAGCTAGGAGATGGAGAAACCAGGATTTGAAACCAGTTCTGATGGACTCTGGAGCCTAATCCCTTAACTCTAACACCAATGGCTCTCAATCAAGGCTACACACAGGCATTACCTGGGGAGTTTAAAGAAATGCCAATGTCTGTGTCTCAACCACAGAGATCCAAATATGATCAATCTAGAGTAAGGCCTGAGCACTGGGATTTTCTAAAGATCCACAGGTGATTCTAATGGACATGCAATTTGAAAGTCATTATTATAGGCTCTCCCACCAGTGTGCAACCTCTGACTTAGGTCACTCAACCAGCAAGAGACAGAGATGAGATAGATTCCCTGATATTGTAGCCCGTGGTCCAGAACTATTTTGTGACTCTCAGTAGCAACACCATTGCTAAGACCTTTCTGCACTAGTGTTTTCTGGAAAGAATGGTACTGTTTTACCTTGCAGTAGTAAACCAAGAGGAGGAGGAGCATCCCAGGCAATGGGGAGTAGCATATGAGAAAGCGGAGATATGAAAGGACACCAGGCATTTGTGGAAAACTGAATGATATAGTCCCTAGAGAGACAGACAGTTTGGGAGAAAGAACATCACACCATTTGGGAAGATCTCTATGTGCAGGATTATAAAAAGCCTTGAATACACAGCTTGCTTTTGGGAATAGGGAGCCATCTAAGGATTTTAAACCAAAGAGAGATGTGATCAGCTTTCCCTTTCAAATGAGGCATTAAATGCAGTGAACTGAGGGAGACTCAAGATGGCTACAGTACATTAGGCAAGAGACCTAATGGTCCTGAACGAGGCAGGCCAGCTTACAGGGAGGAGAGGAATCTCCTTCTGGGGGCTCTGAGAACCTAGGGCTGGGCTTAGAGAAGTCACTTTTAACAGATTCTCAACCTCTGTTAACACTTCACAGTGAATTAGTAGAGAAGTAGAGAGAAAAGAGGGCAGAAACCAAAACCCAAAAGCAGAAATCGTTTCCCAGGTCCCTGGTCTTTCTGTGACCCACTGGTACCAGCACTTGTCCATAGAAAGGAAGCCATGGGTTCTCTGAACTTGAGGGAAGGAGACAAACAGTGCCTTTGCAACAATTTCCTGTGTTGGCATTTTTTTTTTCAAGAAGAAAAGAAAAATGTCATTTGAATGCAGAAACACAAGCTCAATTCCTAGCAATGAGCTTCTGATAATAAGGAAAAAGAACCAGGACCATTTCAACACCTAGGCAGATCACAAAGCCACCAAGGGAGTCTTCTCTGAGGAATGGGGTATTAGGATAAAGCAGTGTGATGACAATGGGAAGGTGTGTGGGGCCTGGACGGTACCCAGGGTGAGTGTCTGAATGACAAACAGATCAGCATGGGCAAAAACATGTCTTCCCTGCCAGCATCTTTCAGTCCCAAAGGAGACCTCTACAAAGTCAGAGGTTATGATACCCCAATGGATACCAACAGGCCAGCACCAACCAGAGCAAGCCTGGGGATCCGAAGGTCACAGTGTAGATGTAGACCAGGCCTGTGGTCTCAGAAGATGCTGACCTAGTTTGAAAGTGAGGACTCTCTTCTCCCCTTGGGCTATTTGTCCTGTGACGTTATCCCATCTTGCCCATCGCCTGGGACCATCTGGTTTATTTAATCCCTGCCAGTTAAATGCTCATGTGTGGCCCAGGCCTGCCAGTGGGATCCAAGACAACAGAATCCTTCTTTTAACAACTCTGACAACATCTCCCTTTGGTCTGAGTTTGCATGTCTGACGCCCAAATCCATGATAGCAGTCTGGGCCTCCCACCAAGTCTTTTCATTTGAGTGCATTTTAAAGTTATGAAGTACTTCAAGTGCACTGAAAAAAAAATAGAGACAAAAATCCACCTCCTGCTCAGATTCGATGAAACAATGTGTCCCATGCAAGGGACATCAGCAAGATTCCAATACGAGAAGTAGCTGGTGCCATGAGAGAGAAGGAGCCTTGGGCCAGTAGACAGAGCTCTGAACCTGGTTGTGAAGGCCTGGATTCCAGTCCTCACTCTGCTCCCAAAGCTCTGAAAGCCCCAGGGAATCCTGCTCTCTGTGCCTCAGTCCCCACAGTCTCCCTGTTAGTTTCTCCTTATTTTTCCAACCTCTCTACATGGGGATTCCCTGGGCTCAGCTCTTTGGCCTCTTTTCTTTCCTCTCTACCCTCACTCCCTAAATAATCTCATCTAGGCTTATGACATTTAAAACCACCTAAATGCTGATGGCTCTCCAATTTCATCTCTAGCTTGGGCACCTCCTCTAAACCACAGGCGTGATATTTCAACTGCCACCTTCGCATTTCTCATGTTTAATGTCTAACAGAATGCCCATGTCCAAAACTGAGGTCCTCATATTGCCCCAAAATTTGTTCCTCACGGCCTTCCTCATCTCAGAAAGTAGACACTCCATTCTTCCAGTTGCACAGGCCAAAAATCTTGGGGCGTCTTTGACTCCTCTCTCTCTCATACTGCACATCTGAGTCACCAGCAAATCCTCTCAGCTCCACCTTTAAAGTACATCCAGACTCAACCACAGCTGCTACCACCCTGGAACGGGTCACTACAGCCTCTTGCAAGGAGTACTGCAGGAGCCTCCTGGCTAATATTTCCTCTTTCATTCTTGTATCTCTATGGTCTGTTATCAACTGGGTGACAGTAAATTGGGTAACATCACCCTGCCACTCAACTTCTCCAGTGGCTTCCTATCTAATTCAGATTAAAAACCAGTGTTCTGACAGTGACCTGATCCCCGTTACCACTCTGGTCCTACTGCACACATTAGCCTCCTCATGTATGAACATTTCAGGATGCTCCTGCCTCAGGGCCTTGGCACCTGCCATTCCTCTTATTTGTTTCCTTCATCTTTTTTTTCCCCCAGTGTCATCCTCTTAGTAAGGCCTTCCCTCACTACCCAATTTAGATTGTAACTTCATTCCCTACCTTTCCTATCTCCCTTGCCTACTTTGTTCTTCTTCTTAGTATGTAACCCTATCTAATATACCACACATCTCAACTTACATTGTGTATTGTCTAGCTCCTCTATCCACAATAACAGCAATTTAGTAGCTCTTCTCTGCCATATCCCCAAGTGCCTAGAAAAATATCTGACACATAATATGCACTCAATAAACATCCATTAAATGAATGAATCTTGAAAATAGGGAATATTTTACGACATTCTGTAAATATCATTATGACCCTATTAAGATGGTGATGTAGGATTATTGAGCTTGTTTTAAAAGAAGTGAAAGGATAAGAAAAAGACGGAAATTTCATCACTATCACCCAAGTTCTTGTATAAAACAACACCTCTCAAGGTAACTGCCTTTAAAAACTTGAATTCCTTTAGAGAAAAGTCAGAGAGTAAGACATATGTTTGTTTCCAGATAAGAAAGGGAAAGAAAGATGTTATGAAGGTTTCAGATAAGAGGGTCAAACACCAAATCAACCTAGGCAGACTGAAATCCTGGGGTAACAATCAGATGACCTGTTGGAAGGGTCAGGGTTAGGACACCATTCCAAATTCCCCTCCTTCCCCAAAATAGGGCTAAGTAGCAGTTTGTGATTAAGGTCAAAGCTGGCAGAGACCCTTCGGGCACTTTATCTGATTGCTTTACAAATAAGGAAACTGATATCTAGGGGAGAGGAAAGACTACGTCGCCCAAGGCCAGCAGCCTAGATAATGGTTAAACCAGGTCTGAAACCAAGGTTTTCTGACTCCAAGGCCAATGAGCTCTTCTATACCACAACCACTAATGCAACCACCTCTACAGGACTCTGTAACAGCATAGTCATATAACAGGCGGATTTCATTTCCCTGGTGCATGTGGCAGTACCCAAGCAATGCCAAAAATGACTCCAAAGGAAATTCCTTAGCTAGGAGTCCCACAGAGAACCAGAATGGGACTTGGAAAAGAACTAAATTCCTCTGGAGTATTCCAGCCAATGGGAAGGGAGCCCAGAAAATTACTGGTGTTTTCTGTTTAAAGAGATGTTTTTAAACAGCTATCTTTGAAGAATGAAGAGTGACCATCGTGCTTCTGGAAAAATGAAATCATTGCTTTGAAATAAATATGAGGGAAGAAAATAAATAACTCTACAGTTAATAAATAAACCATTTCAAAGCTGCAAAATTAACCCTTGCCTTTTTTTTTTTTTTTTTAAGTATTTACCAACCAAGCTTAACTGAAATCATAGAGAAGGAAGAGCCTTTCAGGACTCAAAGAGGAAGCTGCAAATTAGAAGGGAAAGAGGATGAAAGAAGAGCATGAGCATTCAGTGAGCATGTGCCCTATAGCAGGCATTATCGTAGACAGAGTATTCTTTATTCCTGGCAATAGCCCTCCAAGGCAGATAGGATTATTTCCATTTTGATGAGGAGGAAAATGAGGCTTGCTTGAGGTTACAGAGCTGGTAAGTAGCAGAACCAGCACTCAAGTGTTTTCTGACCCCAAATTTCATGATCTTCTCTTACCCCATGATATACAATGCTAGTCAAGTTTCCTAATTTCTCTGGGCTTCAATTTCTCATCTGCAAAATAAGGGCCCTAGCTCAAAGCATCTCTAATTTGTCTTATAGCTCTGATAGTCTATGGACTTACTATGTCGGACATATTCCTTCCTTGGCAGTCCTCTCAGTTCTCAGGGCTCCTGAACCCCAGAAGGAATCCTCCCATTGAGCTGGTCCTCTGTCAAGATGGGCATGAGGAAAGCAATAGAGATAACAATTTTTCTCAACCCTACACCAAGAATTTCAGCCTCTGGAACTATAATTCAGTGCTTGTAGTTCTCTTCCTGGCTTGAACATCAAGACAAGCAAACAAAAGCTCCAGTGGGAGAGGCCCAGGATCCAGGAATTTCCCTGAGGAGTTTATTTATAACACATAAGATACATCTAACAAGTTCATTATGTGGCATGTGGCAATGTGTGCAAAGAAAGAACTATCACAGAGAAATCTTTGCCAAGACAGAAGCAAAGCCCATGAGCAAACCCAGAATTCCCCATCTGCAGCAAGTATAAGAGGCAGTAAGAGAGGCAGGTGAGGCCTCCTTAGATTGAAACATCTTCCTAGCAGATCAGGAAGAGTCTTGGGAAACAGTTCTGGACTAAAACTAGGTGAGACTTGGATGCTTTGCTCTACCATCACCTGACAGTAGGCCCCGGGGTTAGTTACTCCCACACTCTCACCACATTTTGTCATTTTTGAAATGAAGTGATTGAGCCTCTAATGGTTCTTCCAACTCTAACATCCCATGACTCTGTAAATACTTGCTTCCCTAAGTAGACTTTGAGAATCATAAAGTCTTGCAGTTGGAAGGAGACCCTATGAAATGGAAAGCAGAGGGAAATATACTTGTTCTTAGCAGGAGCATCTATTCTATTCTTGAATGGATAAAATGAAGAGGAAAGAGTGTAGGCTGGAAACGGAATGAGTTGGAATTAGCCTGGCAAAGAGAAAAGAGGAACAGATGGAACAGCATGTGTGAGGTATCATTATGGCCCTGCGTGGAGGCCGGGTTGTAGGAAGACAAGAACAGGGAGAACAGTTGAGTGTGTTGCAGTGAAATGGCAGACGAGGCAGATCCAAACCCATGTTCCCCTCATAGAAACATTAAAACAACCAGAAACTCAATGAAATTAACTTTATAGGAGTGTTGGAAAATGGTAAAAGGTCCACAGCAAAGAAGTGAAGGCTCAGTCAAGAAAAAGCCACATTCAAAACATCAGGAAATTCATGGTGTTTTTACTCACCCTTGACCCACACTTTCCCTGGTGTGGCACAGGGAGATGCAGCAGCCCATGCCCAATATCCTCCTTTAGAACAGAAGGAGCAGATCAGACCTTATTTGCAATGTTTTAACATCTTTGTGGGGCTGCCTGGAGGGCTAATCTCCCTCTTTAACCTAGGGTCGCAGGCATGGGAGTCTGCTTTAAAAAGCTCCACAGACACCTGTGGCGAGACATTACAGGTGGAGCTACACAATAGATCATCTAAGACCCAGAGGAGAAGCTGGAGTGAGACTCTGGGAAATGAAGACATTCAAAAGCAGGCCTGTATACTGGGAAATTGAAAAAGCCATAGGCCCAGTCAAGATGCATGCTCATAAAAGAACTGAAAAGACTTTAAGCTTTCACCTCTGGCTGATCCCTAGGTACAGGGCACGCCCAGCTAATTAGTGAAGGGCTTCTCTGGCACAAAGCCAGTCTGCAAAGACTGGAAGAGGTGGCTATACTCCAAATGCCCCATCTTGAACAACTACAAAATTACCTAAAGAATTGAAAGCAAGAATTCAAACAGATGAATCATTGCCCACTAATGTTTGTGGAAGCATTATTCACAATAGGCAAAAGGTGGAAACAATTCAAATGTTTTTCAATGGATGAATGGAGTTTTAGGTATCCTGTTAGAAGCAACAGAAAACAGACTAAGAGAGAAAATTGCTACCAAGGAGTGGGGTGCTGCTTGTAATGAATACCTGAAAATGTGGAATTGGCTTTAGAATCAGGTAATGGGCAGAGGCTGAAAGAATTTGGAGGAGCAGTCTAGGAAATGCCTAGATTCTGATGAAGGCTTAGAAGACAAAAAGACTAGGGAAAGTTTGAAACTCTTTAGAGACTGGTTAAGTGGTCATGACCAGAGTGCTGATGGAAATATGAACAGTAAAGGCCATTCTGATGAGGTTTCAAATAGAACTGAGGAACAAAGTATTTGAAACTGGAATAAAAGCCATCTTTGTTATAAATTTGCAAAGAACTTGGCTGAACTGTGTCCACACTCAAGAACTCTGTGGAAGGCCAAACTTGGAAGTGATGAGCTAAGGTATCTGGCAGAATAAATTTCTAAGCAAAACAAGCAGCTGCATGGTTACTTTTGGCAGCTTACACTGAGGCTGAGGAACAAAAAAAATAATTGGAAGAATTTATAATTAAAAGGGAAGCAGAGTGGAAAGATTTGAAAATTTATCAGCCTGGCCATGTAAAAAGTGAAAAAGCAAGGATGTAGCCCAGAGGCCATTTGCTAAAGAGATTAGCATGGCTAGAAGGGATCCAGGTGCTATTCCTCAAGACAATGGAAGAAAGACCTCAAAGGCATTTCAGAGATTTTCAAGGCTGCCCCTCTTATCACAGACCCAGAGGCCTAGGAGGGCAGAATGGTTTCAGGGAGCAAGCCCAGGCACTTTCTGTGGGCTTACTGCCCAAGACCACCTCCAGACTCTGTGCCCCAGCACAGTACTCTGAGGACACCCCAGCAAGAACTCAAGCAGGCCAAGGTGTGGCTCATGCTGCAGATCTGGAAGGTAAGTCATAAACCTTGGCAGCATCCACATGGTGCTAATTCTGCTGACTTGCAAGAAGCAAGAGCTGTGGAGGCTTATTAAGCCTTCGTCTAAGTTTCAGAAAATGTCATTGATAACGTGACAGCACAGACAAAGACTTGTCATGACAGTAGAGCCACCACAGAGAGCCTCTACTAGAGCAATGCCAAGCAGAAATGTAGGGTCAGAGCTGCTGTAGAATGTCTTCAGTAGGGCAATGCCTCATGGAGCTCTGGGAATGGAATTCCACCAAGACCCCAGCCTGGAAGAGCTGGGTGGACGGACCCCAATCAAGCTTCAGAGGCAGAGCTGCCCAAGGCTTGTGGGGCCCAACCCCCATACTAGTGTGTAGAAGATGCCAGAAATGGAGTCAAAGGAGATCATTCTGGAGTCTTAAGACCCAATGTCTACTTTCTTGGGTTTCTGAGTTGCTTAAAGCCTGTTACCCCTTCTTTCTTTTCTATTTCTCCCTTTTGGAATAAGAATGTGTACGATATGCTTGTCCCACCATTGTATATTAGAAGTAGATATTTTGTTTTGATTTCACAGGCTCATATATAAGACTTAGGACTTTGAACCTTTAAGTTGCTGCTGGACCAAGTTAAGACTTTGGAGCTATGCAGATGGAATATATGTCTTTGTATGTGGGAAGGACATGAGTTTTTGGGGGCTAGGACAGAATGCTATGGTTTGAGTGTCCTCTCAAAAACTCATATTGAAACTTCATCCCCAATGTGGCAGTATTGAAAGGTGGGGCTTATAAAAGGTGATCAGGTCATGAAGGCTTTGCCTCACAAATGGAGTAATCCATTCATGGATTAATAGGTTAATGGATTAATGAGTTATCATGGGAGGAGAACTGGCGGCTTTATAAGAAAAAGAAGAAAGACCTGAGTGAGCACATTAGCATGCTAAGTCCCCTTGCCATGTGATGCCACCTTGTGATGCCATAAATAGTCCCCACCAGCAAGAAGGCCCTCACTAGATGCAGCACCTCATCCTTAGACTCCTGAGCCTGCATAACTGTAAGAAATATATTTCTTTGCTTTATAAATTACACAGTTTCGGGTATTCTGTTGTAAGAACAGAAAATGGGCTAAGACAAAATAAATAAACAAAATGTGGTATATACATTCAAGGAAATACAATTCAACCTTAAAAAGGAAGGAAGTTGCGATACATGCTTTAATATTACATACCTTGAAAATATTATGCTAAGTGAAATAAGCCAGATGCAGAAGGACAAATATTGTGGCTACTATGCCACTGGAAACATGAAGTCATTGCTTGAAATAAATATGAGGGGAAGAAAATAAATGACTCCCTATATATTAAAGTAAACTAGGTAAAATAGTCAAACTCATAGACAGAAACTTGAATGGTGGTTGTCGTGGGGCTGTGAAATGATTTGATAGTTTCAGTTTGGGTTGATGAAACGGTTCTGGAGATAAACAGCAGTGATGGTTACACAGCAATGTGAATGTACTTAATGTCACTGAATTGTGCAATTAAAAATAGTTAAAATAAAAAATCTTATGGAACACCAGAGGGAAAACATACTTTAGAATCAGTTAGGACATGTTGACTTTGAAATGCCTGTGAAACAGTCAAACAGAGATGTCAAGGAGAACATAAATGTAAGAAGTCAAGAAGAAAATTCATGCCTTGAGATGTATATTTGAGTCATTAGCATACAGATATTAAAGAACACTCAGAATAGATTCAATCAGCCAGAGGACATGGACAAATATGAGAAGATCAAAGAGACTAAGACTTGGAATTGGAGCCTAAAGAATACCAACATTCAGGAGGCAGGCAGAGGCAGAGAAACCTGTAAAGAAAAGAGGAAGGAGACAGAAAAGCTGAAGGTAAATCAGGAGGGTGCATGTCCCTGAAACCAAGTAAAGCAAGTGTTTGGAGATGGTCAATAGTGTTGAACTCCTGTGAGAGGCCAAGAAAAATAAGGTTGAAATGTGTTCATTGTATGTAGCCATAAGATGCCTGATTGTGAGCTGGATGAGGACAATTTCTGCAACATTGTGGGGTGAACGTTAGCCTGTAGAATTAACTGGAAGTGTAAATGTGGAGGCAGCCTATGAACAGTCCTTGAAACATCTCATTGTAAATGGAAGGAGAAAAGGCAGGATTTGGCTGGGCGTGGTGGCTCATGCCTGTACTCCCAGCACTTTGAGCAGCTGAGGCAGGTGAATCACCCGAAGTCAGGAGTTTGAGACCAGCCTGGCCAACATGGGAAAACCCCGTCTCTACTAAAAACACAAAAATTAGCTAGGCATGGTGGCGGGCACCTATAATCCCAGCTATTTGGGAGGCTGAGGCAGGAGAATCGCTTGAACCAGGGAGGCGGAGGTTACAGTGAGCCAAGATCATGCCACTTCACTCCAGCCTGGGTGAAAGAGCGAAACTCCATCTCAAAAAAAAAAAAAAATAGAAGAAGAAAAGGCAAGATTTGTAGGGGAATGTGTGGGGTTGACGCAGGTGCTTCAGCACAGAGAACAGAGAAGTTGAAGGTCCAGGGAGAGGGCAGATGGAGCTCTGGTCTGAGCTTTCATCGTCAGAGTTGACCCAGTGGAGAAGTCCTGGTGTATCAGCCAGAGTCCTTTGGTTGAAACACACAGAGATGGCAGCTGATTTAAGCATAAAAGGGAAAGTATTGAAAAGCTATGGGGAAAGTTCGCAGAATCAGAAAGAGTGGAGAACAAGTATCAGCAAACGACAAAATTTGGCCATGCTGTAGAGACCATCCTGGCTAACACGGTGAAACCCCGTCTCTACTAAAAATACAAAAAAATTAGCCACGCTTGGTGGTGGGAGCCTGTAGTCCCAGCTACTCAGGAGGCTGAGGCAAGAGAATGGTGTGAACCCGGGAGGTGGAGCTTGCAGTGAGCCGAGATCGCACCACTGCACTCCAGCCTGGGCGACAGTGCTAGACTCCATCTCAAAAAAAAAAAAAAAAAAAAAAAAAGAAAAAATTGGCCATGCAGGAGATATGAATAGGAAAAACAATAGAAACAATTTTACAATTATGTCGGGGGCCACCACTGGAATTGATAGGCTCCATCCGTTTTTAGTGTTTTTATCACTTTGCTTATCATTGAAATTCCAATCAACTTCTCTTAGGGCATGTGCTCCTTGCTTGGGAGTTGAGGGGAGGTGCAGAGTTCTTTGATATGCCACCACGTTATATTGCATGGGGTACAGGTAATTCCCGGAAAAGGAAGTCAGAGTGCTATTTTTAAAGGATGTGGAGTGGATGCTGGGCCCCCAGAAAGAAACCCAACCAGAACAGGACTGCAAAAGTCAGAAACTGGAAATTGTACCTTGAGAAAGTCAGAGCAAGGACACTAACCTTGTCTTCTGATACTCTTTCAGTACTTATTCATTCATGTTTTCATTCAATTAGTGTACCACAACCCAGAGTGGAGGGAAGTTAACATCCTATGGGGCAACCTTCAGCTATTGGAAGACAGGAGCCAGGGGATAGATAGCCCTTTACTCCCAAGTGATCTGGAGATGCATTTCATCCGGCTTCTCAGATGGTTTTCTGGGACTGAACAACCCTTCACCAGCGGAGATGGCCAACTTGACAAGACCTCCTTCCATTGGATTTCCCTCCTGCTTTGCTGTGCTCCCTCTGCCTTACTCCAGCTTTCTGAGGTCATGCTCCCCAGTCAAATACTATCACATAAACCTCTGCCTTGACTTCTGCTTTCTGAAAACACAGGCTAAGGTAAGCGCAAGGCGAACCAGGAGCGAGAGGGTGGGGTGGGGGAACAGGTGACAGCATGAAGTAGAAGGCCTGAGAAGAGCATCTGAGTTGAGACTTGAGCCAACACTTGAGGGAGGTCACAAAGTGAGGCAAGTGAATTTCTTGGGAAAGACCATTCCAGGCAGAGGGAACAGGTAGAATAAGGCCCTAAGCACATACATGCCTGTGTATTTGGGGAACAGCAAAGAAACCAGGGTAGCTACAGAAATGAGGGCAAAGAGTACTAGAGGATATCAGTAACACGGCTGAAGCCACACCACGTTTGGCCTTGCAGGATTTGGCTTTTACAGAACACAAAAGGGAGCACAAGAATGGCAGGATCTGACTTAGGTTAAAAGGATTGCCCTGGCTGCAGTGCTGAGAAAAGATCTGTATGGGGAATAGGAAACATCCTCCCCTGTGGGATCCCACTTGTGAGAACCAGAACCAGAAAGTGAAAAAATTCAAACCCTTTTGAGGGAGGCTTAAAAGGAAAAAGTCTTCTTTAAAAGGCAGAACTATCCAAAGATGGCATGAGCTGCCTTGGGTGGTAATGATCTCCTGTCACTGGGGGTGCTCAAATACAGGCTGGAGAACTTGTCATTGGAAAGTGTGTAAAAATGCTTTATATGGGCTAATACAGGATGGCACAAAGACAGACTTCAGAATGCTTCATATCATAAGAGCATCTAAGACCCAGAGAGAATAATGACCCCCCCAAAAGTCCCAGCAGAACCCAATTAAAATAAAATGAGGACCCACAGCTCCCAATGCAGTGTTCAGGCCCCTTCACATGACCCCATGCTATCATCTTAAAACAAAACAAAAATAAAAACAAAACGCCGTCCCTACTTCAAGTACCTTAATTTAAACTGATTTGCTCTGGGATATGTAAGTTCAAGACATAGAAAGAATGAGTGGTGAAGTGAGAAGGAGACTCCGAATATCGTCACAAGCATAATATGCTAGAGAGGTGAGGATCTGGCTGGAGATGGCTCAGCTTATTGGTTCATTTATTCATTCAATACATTTTTATTGAACATTTGTTATGCATTCAATAGAGGTGAATGAAATCCATGGAGTCTATGCTTTTTGGAACTTACATCCTAGCAGGGATGAGTAATTATAACAAGTTTTATGAGTGTCCCAGCAAGGGTGGCAGAGCTCAGTGACAAAGACTCTCAGAGCAGAACACAGCCATTGTAGCAGCAAACCTGCAGGAGCAAGGGAGTGTGAGGGACGGTGAACTCCCCAGAGCACAGGCTGGGGGTGAGTAGGGCAGCTAGAGAAAGGGAAGCCGAGCCCCAGTCCTAAAGAATCCAGGGCAAATCATCAAGGAAGATCTCAGGGCTCATTTTTCATAAAACTAGATGCAAAAGGAAGTCTATCCCTCAGTTAGAAGGCATTACACCAGGCAGTACAGGTCGATCACCTGGGTGTTTTATTCTAATTCAGATGCTCAGGTCCCACTTCCCCCAAATTTTGATCCCATTGGTCTGGGGTAGAGGCTAAGTACTTATATTTCTTTAAAATCTCCCCAGAATTTCTGAAGTACAGCCAGGGCTGAAAACTTCTGTAGCAAGCAGAGATGTCTGAGAAACCAGAGAGCACCCCCTATATTCCGCTGCACCCACAGTATTCATTTCTTCCTCTAGTCTGCATATTCTGAACACCTACTGTCTAGCAAGTAAATCAGGACTTGCTAGATAGCAGGTGTTCAGGATATGCGGACTAGATGAAGAAATAAATACTCTGTGAATGAAGTAAAGGAAGCCATCGCTGCTTACTTGAATTCGAGCCAGGATAGGAGTAAAACTGACCTTATGCTGATCCCCTGAATGACTGACTTCCATCCCTCCTGACTGTGGACGAGACTGGCCAAAAACTGGAGCTAGATAGAGCCTTATGTGGCAGTGGGGTCAGGGGGCAGAAGGGAGAAAAGGGGAGACAGGGTGGCGGGATGGAGGGGACCAATAGCTCATTACAGATCTGGGACAGTGGGGGAATCTCAAACACACATTAATGACTACTAAGCCTTATGGAAGATATCCTGTCTTTATTAAAGTGTCCCATCTTTATATAAGTGACCCCCTTCCTCCATCACTACAGATGATGGTGACTTTCTATTAAAGAGGAGAGTAGTCAAGTTTTTAACAGAGGTGGGGTAAATGAGGCCCCTCAAAAGTGCAGCTTGCTGCCTGTCCCCACCAATTCCATTCCAGACCCCCCACTGTCAGAAAGTGTCTCCTCCCATTTCAAGCCATATCACATCTCATTTTAGAGCCTTGTAAGGTTCTCCCACATATCTGTGCACTTCCCCATGGACAAAGCATTTTACATCTTTAACGCCCTCTCTCTTGCTGAAGATACCCCATCCCTGTGGCTTTAGGGGGACAGCTGATCTTTGGCAAGAGGCCTCATGCTTGGCCAATGTGAGAAAGCCATTCAACTATAATTTCAGCAAAGAACCCAGGAGGCCAGGCCCCTGCTCCTGAATTCTGGCCATCAGCACTGCTGAGAATCTGCTAGACTTGGTCCCCGAACTCTGAAGACCCTCCATTATAATGCCTCCCAGAGATTTTGTGCTTTGCTTCTAAAACTCTGTCTTCTGAACCTCCCCTAAATTCTCTGCCAGTTAATACGCAGTGGGTGAGAAGCCTAACTCTATGAGACCCCACCCCAACCACCATCTTTCAGGCAGGCAGACCCCAGAATCTGCCCTGAGTGGAAAGAAGCTGGAATCTGAGAAACAAAAAAAAGAGACCCTGTGTACCTGGCAGCAAAGGAACAGCCTGATCTCCCACCTCTTGCACTTCAAGGGAAACCTCTGCTGCGTGTGTGAAGGCAGAATCACGGATGAGGCTCACAGGGTGGGCAAAGAAGCTAATTTAAGGCTGCAGCTAGAGAAAGTGGGAGATCATGAGGGGCAGGGGTGAGGGACTAATAAGAGCAAGGTCGAGCTCATTACTGTGGAAAGCCCTTTTGAGATCACCCAGTCCTCTAATTTTCAAACTTTTTAAAAGTAGTTAAACTTTTTTTTTTTTTTTTTTTGGTACAAAAATCTTAAATGGAACCCTATCTAAAGTAAAGCTGTTCTGATCGAAGCAAGAGGAGGAGGTAGGAGTTGGAGGATGGGTGTTTAGATCAGGAGTTGGAGACACCCACTAGCTTAGCCTACTTTCCAAATCCAAAAGTCCCTGAGGCACCTACGCAGAACTTTGGGGTCCTGGGTTTCACTATGATAAACCAATGATCTTGCCCAAACCCTGAGTTTTATAGATGGAAAAACTGTATAATTTGTCCAAGATCCCCACTGAGTCAGTGACATCACCAGCGCTAGAAGTTTACACTATTCTCAACCCACGTCTCTCCTCTACCCTCGCATCAGCTAACTGGCACCCTCGACAGGCTCTGGGCCCAACCACGGAATCTTATACGGAGCTACGGAAAGAGAACTGCAGGTAGATGATCAGCAGCAGGACCGTGGCCCAAAACAAGCACCAGGGGATAGAGCAGAAGTTCCAGCCTGAGCCCGTCTGGTCCTGCGACTTGGTGGGGCTGGGCGCCCGGGAGAAGGTGTAGGTGGTCGCCTCCTCCTCCAGCAGCTTCTCGCTGGGCTTCCAGTGCACGATGCCCTCCTGGCAGGCCTCGCAGAACTCTCCGCGGTGCCGCCGGTTGTCCTGGCGGCTGGCCACGTGGATGCGGTACTGGCCGCCACGCTCGCCGTAGCACTGCTCGCGCAGGCTGGTGATGAGGTTGTCCACCAGGCCCTCGATGTTCTCCTCCAGCATGCTGGACTCGTCCAGCCGCGCCGTGCCGCACTCATAGCACAGCTGCTTGAAGACGCGCATGCGCACCGAGCCCGCCCGCTGGGCGCGGTCCAGGAACATGTGGAAGAGGATGACCACGTAGGGCGACTGCCAGGTGTGCCAGCACCAGGAGCAGTGGAACCTGCGGAGACGGGAGGAGAGGGAGGAATAGAAGACGGGCGGAGGTGGTGGAAACAGCCCTAGGAATGGCGTGAGGGGACGTGGAGGCTAAGCAGAGCCTGGAGGTGGAGGAAGTGTGTTGCCGGCGCCCTGGGTTCATTAGCTTTCCCCAGGAAGCCACTCAGCCTTGCAAGTGCCCCTAGGACTACAGCAGGTTCCTCAGGATGTCACCGGGCATCCAGCAGTGCTCTACCTCCTCAGTGCTTTCCAGAGGCCTAACTCCCACCACCCCAGCATTGGGCGTCATTCTTATTCCTCATGGGCAAAATGCGCTTGGTGCACTAGGTGAGTCCTTCCTTCTCACACCAGATAAGAAACACATAATCCATCTGCACATTTCTATCTGTTAACACTGACTGTGAACAGGCTAGATCCAAATTAGGAGAAAATGACACCATTACTAGCTATCAACGTCCAGGCCAGTGTCAGAGTTAATGCATCACAAGGCCTGGAGGTGGAGGCAGTCTGTGCCCAGATCCCCAAGGCCTGTAGTCTCCCAGGCCTGACTGGGGCCAGCTGGGGATTACAGGTCCCCAGCCAGGTCTGGGGCAGCCACAAGCCCTCCCCACTCAGCCCCCACAGCCTTCCAGGTCTTCAAGAAGCTCCTGATCCTGCCTGTAAGTGTCCAGCCCTTGACACCCCTCCTGTCAGCCAGTTTAGGAGCTTCACATTTTCATTCTCTTCTTGTTCACACATCTTTTGGGGACTGTTTCCTCTCTCAGACCAGACTACAAAACCTGGATTGAAAAATGTCGTAACTAGAGGGACCTGGAAATCACCTAATTAATGTTTTCTTTTATGCTGAGACAGAGTGAGAGAGGCATCCATGTACACACAGCTAGAGGCAGAACCGGCGCCCAGCACGTAACAGGTGCCCAGTAATGTTTCCTGAATTGAAGTGAATTGGCTGAACCAGGGCAAGCAGGAAGGCCTTGCTTCTGACTTCCAGGCTGCACCACTCAGCCTCCCCATCTTATGTCTCAAAGGTAAGCCCCTACACTCTGGACCCATGAACAAGAGTGCTAGAAATTCATCTCAGATAGTTTTTACATACTAATCACCTAGAACTCTTCTTGAAATCAGATTCTGATTCAGATCTAAAAGGGGCCCAAGATTCTGCTTTCTTAACAAATTCCAGGTGATGCCGATCCTGCTGCTCTGTGGACCACAGGCTAACCTCTCACTGTGCAAAAGGAGAAAGCCAGGTCCAAGAAGAAAATCGAGTTCCTCAACAGCCATGGAGCCAATGATAGAGCCAGTTTCTGGCACATCTCATGTATTCAATATTTTAAGTGAAATTAAGTTGAGTTAAATAGATTTAAACCGGTCCCAGGACCAGAGCACGGACGTCTCGACCCCCAGTGGGCCTCAAACCCTTCTTCTCTGGTTTTAAACTACTTTTTAAGAGACTGTTAAAATAGAAAATATGTAAAATGTCAGTGTGTAGGACTCATACGTATATTCTATGTCTTTATTTTCCAGACGGAAAAATTGTGACTCAGAGAGGAAGAGTAACACAGGTGATCAGTAGAAGAGCTGAAATCCAACTCAAGTGTCGTAGTTCCCAGTTAGGGACTCTTTCTCTGACTTCCAGTCTACGCCAGCCTAATAGTGAGATTGAAGCTAAACACTTGGGTTCTACGTAATCTTCCTCTCCTTGGAAGGTGCCCCAGAGCTAGGGACCTAGAGGCGGCCTGCAGGGATCCACCTTCCTGGGCTACTCACCTGCCTGAAGCATGCAATTCCAGGTACTGCTTCCAACCAGGGCTCAGCACATTGTGCTTGAGGTTGGGGTCTATGATGAGGTCCCAGCTGTCAGCCGGCTTTGCCTCCTCCATCTTCTCATAGAAGACTTTCTTCCACTCATCTGTGGTCACGCTTTTACACATGGTCTCGTCAGTAGTGAGGGAAGGCAATTTCCACCTTAGTGAGAACACGGAGAGTGAGGGTAGGTGCAGGGCAGGGCAGCGCAGTCTCCACGGTCTAAAAATCCTCATCGACAAGACCAGGAGGAAGCAGGACCCAGCTCCCTCCTTTGTCCGCAGTGGAACCTGTTTCCACGGCAACCAGGCAGGTTGCCAGAAGACAGAGCTTGGGGAGGAGGGAGTCTCTGAAGAGGTGTTTCAAGGCCCTGAACTGAGATTGCAGAGGCAGAGTTTGTGGGTCTAAATGATCCAAGACAGAGTGGGGGACCTGACCAGAGATTGAGCTTCAGACCATCTCACCCTGGCCTGGAAAGAGTATGGGGAGGTGAGGACTGGGAACTGGCTCAGTTTCACCTTGCCGTCCCCTGGAGGCATCATCAGCATCTGGCTGCTACGGTAACCATGATGCCTTAGGCAGCCAAGGAGAAATGAGGGATGGGGAGATGTAAATTTGTTAGTAGATGGAGCAATAATAATAAACTCTCTCTCGGCTTCCCCAGCCATCTTGTGACCAGCACTTTGCCATTTTCAAAACACAATTGGAGGTCTCTTAAGTTATGATTACTATTGCTGCAGTACAGATCAGGAGCCTAGGACTCACCTAGCCTATAAATGGCGGAGCCTGTATACAAATTCAAGCTGTTGACCCCAGACCGGTTCATTAATTCATTCATTTCAAACATATCCGAGCATGTGGGTAGGGTTTGCAGACATGTGCCAAGCTCTATGTCAGTGCTTGTAGCTGACTGTGTACTGAATAACTGTGCAATAGGATCCATGCTGCAATGGCCTTGTGCAAGAACAGCCACCTGTGCACAAAGGTAGGAGCATTGCATCAGCCAGGCAGGAGCAGACAAGATTATTTCCAAGCTGATTATAGAAGCGCAGAAGAGGAGCACCACCCACAGGCAAAACAGCCTTTACTATACATGCCTCTGCTGCTATTTTTAATAAATTATTTTTCCTTTTAAAAAATCATATGGGTTTATTCTAGAAAAAATACAAAATATAGATGAAAGAAAAGAGAAGTAAGACTCTTCCATAAAACCCCACCCGAGATGACTACTGTTAACATTACGATATGTACATCCCGCTTACCATTTTTCTGTACATGTACAAGTGTATGTGTGTGTATATACACACACATTCTGTACACCACATACATTCTATATACCACATTGTGACATTTTCAAAAAATAATACGTCATGAATATTTTTCTAGGTCATATTCCGTAGTAGTACATTATGGGCTACCTATATTCTGTTATATGGATAGGCATAATTTATTTAGCCAATCCTGTCTTTTAGGGCATTTTGGTTTTATTTCAGTTTCTCACATTACACTCTTCCCATCTATTTGTATAAACTTGTTGACGAAGCTCATCGCATGCATTAGAAACAACACTTCCTACAATTGGAAAACACGTCTCTTGACTCCACTCTCTCCAAAAGCTTGGTGTGGCTAGCAGAATCTGAGCAGGCTCTTCAAACAGTATGAATTTTGGACAGCCAGCAGATCTTGAAGTTTAGTGATGAAAAAGAGGGACTTAAAATCACCCATCTGATACCAGAAACCATCTTCCAAGTGCTTCTCCTGCCGCTTCATGGATGTTTGATGCCTTGATTTACACTATTTTAACCTCAGTTTATTCATCTTCTCAGTGGGATAATAACAAAACAGTATCTGCTGTGATTAAAAGCAGGGGCTTTAGAATGGCTTGCCTGGTTGTGGTGTTGTTGTTGTTGTTGTTGTTGTTACAGAGTCTCGCTCTGTTGCCCAGGCTGGAGTGCAATGGCACAATCTCGACTCACTGCAACCTCCACCTCCCAAGTTCAAGTGATTCTCTTGCCTCAGCCTCCCAAGTAACAGGGATTACAGGCATGCGTCACCACACCTGGCTGATTTTGTATTTTCCGTAGAGATGGGATTTCACCATGTTGGCCAGGCTGGTCTCAAACTCCTGACCTCAGGTGATCTGCCTACCTTAGCATCCCCAAGTGCTGGGATTACAGGCATGAGTCACCGTGCCTGGCTGCTTTTACAAAAAAAAAAAAATTTCCATATAGACTCATAGGTAGCAATTCTAATGTATATAATCTGTATCTTTTCATCCTAGTAAAAAATACGTGTTAATGTTTTATGTGAATATAATTTTAATTTGCATAGTAACAGCAATCACCATATAGCACTTACTATATAGCAATCACTATACAGCACTTACCTGGTAAGTGCTTAGAAAGCATTGTTCTGGTGCTTTATAAATATTAATTTATTTCATTCAATAACAAACTTGACAGGTAGGTAACAGCAGCAGCAGCTCCATTTTACAGATATGTGAGCTAAAGTCTAGAGGTTAGATAACTTGCACAAGATTTAACAGCTAATAACTAGTTGAACTGGGACTTAAACCTATATGACTGTCTACAAAGCCCCAGCTTTAGCCATTGTGATGCTCAGCGTGGAATCTAGAACATAACATCTGCTAATTAAATGTGTGTTTCTTCATCACTCACGTGGCCGTTACAGACCCCAAGAATTGCAAATGAAGTTTATATCATTTCAGCAAATGGTTCACTGGGGCCCCCCCACACTGAGGCCACATCTCCCCAGAAGAGGGGTGAGTTGTACTTGACCCACCAGGCTCCCTGCTACTGCTGGGGATGCTGCCTCTACTGCCAAACTTAATGAAGCAATGGTGTCCACAGACCCCTGATACTCGGTATAAATATTTTAGAGCTGAGAGAGATATTTAGCTTGAAATCTTACCAAAGAAAATATGGTACAGAAAGTCATCTCTAGGCACAGCAACCCTGTAAAGCCTCAATCATTTGATGCCAGGCATCTTGGCTCAATGGAGAGAGCACTGAACTGGGAGTCAGGAGACACATAGCCCAGCTCTGCTCCTGGCTGACATTGTGACCTTGGGCAAGCCACTAATTTCCCTTGGCCTCAGTTTGTCCATCTGTTCAATGAAGAATTAGGGTAGATGACAAAGGTAAGCTCCCCTCTAACTTCAGTCATGTATGGTTTCAAACAGCTTTATACTTAGAAAACTGAATCCTGGGAGGGCAGGAGGTAGGATGGAGGCCACTGGTTGGAAGAGGGAAGCTTCTAAAGAGGCATGGCAGGTAATGCCTGGAGCCAGGCTCTGTTTCCTGGGGCCTGCTATATAGTTGACGATCTCTGGGGAGGTGCTTCTCTACTAGATTTGTACTGAACACAGCAAGAAGGACAGAAATTAAATATATCAAGCCACTGAACATTAACATTGGAAAACCCATTTTTTATGTAGAGACGGGGTCTTGCTGTGTTGCCCAGGCTGGTCCCAAACTCCTGGGCTCAAGCAAACCTCCTGCCTCCACCTCCCAAAGTGCTAAGATCACAGGCATGCGCCATCTCACCTGGCCGGCATTGGGAAAAACTCTTAAGTTCTTCAGGACCCTTCATTAAACTTTCAGTCCTTCAAGTCAGTATTCTTACCTCTGAATTAAGGCAACCAACACCTAAATAAGTAAACTCGTTTAACAAACCTCACAGATATGATGGGAACTGCCTCAGGTGGGAGTTACTGGCCAAAATGAGAATGGGGGCTGTGGACCTTCCCAGAAAATACGTGAAGCTGAGAGGAGCTTATAACAAACAGTGCTACCCAGAACAAATCCTCTAGAAGTATTTTGCAGGTGTTGCTACAATAAACACTATGATGACAGAAGACAGAAAGTAAGAATCACCAGAGGGGTGTGTGTGTGTGTGTGTGTGAGTGTGTGTGTGTGTGTAACCAGCTGATGCAATCCCCATTGGCACAAATTAAGTTTTATTTAGAACCCAAGCTTGCTGTGCAGAGGCCAATATAATGCATCCTTCTGGATAGCAGAGTATTTTCTCTAATAAAAATTTCTATCAAGACAGAAAAAAATACTGTGGTATTGCAACTTGCTCTCTATCAAATGACCTCTAACACCATGGAATCTACAATTTAGAGAAGGCCAATTCAGACATCTCTAAAGCTGTTGGCCTCACCCTGGTCAATTTCTTAAAGTTTGTGATCATGTTTTAAGTGGATAAAATGCTTTAAATTAAGTTCCCAACTAGAAAATAGAGCAATGAAAAGAAAAAACAAGCCTCTAATTTTTTTTCTTGAAATGATGCACTCATGAAAAATTCTCAACTATGCACAATTTTCTATCCCTAAATGGCATTTGAGAAGAAGGAGGGGTGTGTTTTAGGGCTGGACCCATGACTGGAAGTTTCTACTGGTACCCTGTACCAAAGATCTAAATGTGCCTCACAGTCCCAAAACAAAGACTCTTTCCTTCCAGAATGCCCCAACATTGCTGGACCAGAACAGTAAGCCCCTCCATCTGTTGATTTAATGATATTAAGAGCCCATGTAGTAGTCTCAACTTTAAAGGAATTTTTAATTTTCTTCTCTAATGGCAACATTTTTTTTCCTTGGGTACTAAGATTTCTAAAATAGCAGAGATCAAAGTTATGGGTACAGAAAGAAAAGGGAAAAAAAACTAGTTTACCATTAGGGCTAATTTTGAGAAAGCCAGTCCATTCTACCCTTTAATTCTTGGAACTAAGCACTATATCATCATGGTTGCTAATTCTGAGCATGTACCACATCCTGGAGAACATTATCCTAGCCCTGCAAGGTCCTGTCCCCCAGCTGATTCTATAACTGAGTCTTCCAAAGACCACCACATTGTTCAATCAGGCCAACTACTTCAGGATTATGGGTGATATAGTTAAGACTAATGAATTTCATGAGTGTGAGCTCATTGCCAGATTTCCTTTACTTTGAAATGAGTTGCCAGTCAGAAGCAATGCTATATGGAATATCACAATGGTATATAAGGAATTCTCTAAATCCACTGCTAAGTGCCTGATATGGTTTGGATTTGTGTCCCCACCCAAATCTCATGTTGAATTGTAATCCCCAATGTTGGAAGAGGGTCCTGGTGGGAGGTGATTGGATTATAGTGGTGGATTTCCCCCTTGCTCTTCTGGTGATAGTGAGTGAGTTCTCATGAGATCTGGTTGTTTAAATGAGTGTAGCACCTCCCCCTTCGCTCTCTCTTCCTCCTGCTTCAGCCACGTAAGACAAGCCTGCTTTCCTTCACCTTCCGTCATGATTGTAAGTTTCCTAAGGCCTCCTCAGCTATGCTACCTGTACAGCCTATGGAACCCTGAGCCAATTAAACCTCTTTTCTTTATATTAATAAATTACCCAGTCTCAGGTATTTCTTTTTAGCAGTGCAAGAATGGACTAATACAATGCCCAAATTCCAAAAACAGAGAGAGACCAACACTGAACAATTGATTGGGCCATGATTCCATGGGAAACAACCAACGACCTGGTGGCAAGTTGATTACACTGGACCATTTCCATCAAGGAAGGGATAGACCTTTGTTTTCACTGGAAGAAACAATTACCGTGAATATGGACTTCCCTTCCTCTCCACAATGCCTCTGCCATTTGTGAACTTTCATAATGCCTTATTCACCATTATGGTATTTCTCCACTTGGGTCTTTCCTTTTAGCTGCTCAGGCTTCTTCACTACATGGTAGTTTGTTTCCAAGAAGATTCATTCTAGGAAGAATAAATGGAAGCTTCCAGTCCTCCTTAAGGCTAGAGTCAGAAGTCCCATAACATCACTCCTGTCATATTCTGTTGATGAAAGCAATCACAGGGCCAGCCCGATATAGGGGAATGGGAAATAAACTTCAACTCTTGATGGGGAAATTGCCTGTGCCTATAGGAAGGGAAGGAATTGGTGGCAGCCATCTTTGGAGACTTTCTACCACAGTACCTGATTATTTTTCTTCATCCTTCAAAGAGCTTAGTGCCTTGAGAACACGATGTCCAATTCTATGATGTAGGTAGAGGTTGACATTATTTTGCAAAAAAAAAAAAAAAAAAAAGCAAACTAAGGATCAAAAAGGCAAAGTAGCCAAAGAGTAAACTAATCCAGCAAGTCCAATCCCAAAACATAGCCAGATAGGAACAGTAGGGCTGCTCCCTTTGGGTCAAAGCAAAGGAAAGCATTACAGGTACCCAGCCTGCCAGTACCACCCACCTCTGCATGCCCAGTCATGATTTATAAGAACCTCTTCCTTTGCTTCCCCTCCACCCCAACAGCAACCATTGAACTTCTTTTCCAAGCTCTTGCTCAATTTTGTGAGGCATATGTGCCTACCATCAGCGAGGGCCCTTCAGAGATATACAGCCCAAAATCCAAAGTCCCCCAGTCTTCATTCTCTTGAAGTTTTATCCCCATAAAACTCTGTGTTTTTTTTTTTCAGAGATGGGTTCTGTCTATGTTGCCCAAGTTACTCTTGAGCTCTCAGGCTCAAGCAATCCTCCTTTTCAGCCTCCTGAGTAGCTGGAATTATAGGCACACATCACTGTGCCCAGTCTATGTGTTTTGTTTTTTCTATGTTTGTTTTTTGAGACAGGGTCTCACTCTGTCACTCAGACTGGAGTGCAGTGGTTCAATCATGGTTCACTGCAGCCTCGATCTCCTGGGCTCAAGTGATCCACCCACATCAGCCTCCCAAATAACTGGAACTACAGGCATGCACCATCATGATCAGCTGATTTTTTAATTTTTTTTTTTTTTTTTTTTTTTTTTTTTTTTTTTTGTAGAGGTAGGGTCTCACTGTGTTGCCTCGGCTGGTCTCAAACTCCTGGGCTCACGTGATCTTCCCACCTCAGCCTCCCAAAGTTCTAAGACTACAGGCATGCACTACTGCCCAGTCTCTCTGCTTTTTTTTTTTTTTTCAAGTGCAAGATCTTGTCTTTGAGAAGAGCATTCATCAGAAAATGTTCTATGGATATTACCAAGGGAACAGTGCCATGGTCCAGGAAGTGAAGAAGGGCATACTTGAGAGAAATTATCAAGTCCTCAAAAACTAATTTCCCTATTTTCAGGATATTTGATCTAAAATAAAAGACAGCTTCCTTCCCCTTATTCTGAAGAAGGGGCAAGGCAACATTACATGTGGGGAAGCAACAATGTTATTCATTTATTTGTTTTTTAAAACACTCTGAATTATCAACTACCATGTGCCAGGCTCTATACTGGACACATGGGATATAGAGATAAATTAGTCTCACTCATTTCATGTCCAGTGAACATCAATAGCCAGGTGACCCACACTAACCCAGAGCCTTTGGCTTAGGACATGAAGACTGACCCTTAAGCATGTTCCTGTTGCCAAGCAGCCACTATTATGGGAACGTATCTTCAGACTGTAC